>NC_000011.10:61494770-61797801 GCF_000001405.40 Homo sapiens | reverse complement strand
ATTTCGGACAGTTACATAAGTGTCCCTGTTAACTTCAAATGGCCCTGACAGGAATGCTAAAACGTCAGACATTCAAATGGGCCAAGCTTTATCAGGATTATAAAACTTTCAAAGCTCAAAAACATGCCATCTCTATGGGAAACAGTATCTTGGATTTGATGTTACAAAAGGAACAAGAAAATGGTTTCTGAATGGCAGCTTTCAGTTTACAAGTAGTGGCAAAGTAAATGCTTGGATGTTATGAGGTAGTTGATCTAAATTGTGAGGCTTTCTTAAAGGCACTCCTTTGATCTCATGGAGTGAGAGACTAGAAATCTATTCAACGTATTAAAACTCCTCTCCCAGCAAAATAAAATAAACAAAACATCCTCCTCCTAATGGCTGAAGTTCCATCTAGCTGCTATGGCCATTTTATGGAGCATGGTGCCATCTTGTGGCCACTCTCAAACCACCCATTGTTAATCAAGTGCAATTACAGCATGTTAAGAGTGAAAAGGAAAGCTATTTGGAGCCATGGTCACTTGGGATATTTTCAAATGTTCTCAAAGAACATGACATTTTGGTTACTTTTAGAATTTTATTGACTTTTTTCTTCATAACTTTAAAACAAAAACAGCGCATGAAAACCAGTGTCTTATTCCAAAGTCTCAACTCAGCTGATTGCCAGGTGAACATCACCATCTTACTCCTCTGAATAACTAGACACAAATTACATAGCAAGTTCGAGTTTCTGCCCACCCAAGACACAGCCAGTAATCAGTCACAAACACAGACACAGCCAACTCCAGGGGCTCCAGCTTTCTGCCCATCTTCTCTCAGCAGTTCCTCCCATCTGCTAAGATGCGCCTTCCTGGTGGCTCTCTCTCAAGGTGGGTCAAGGCTGAACAAGACAGAAAAGCACAGTCTAGGTCCACCATCACCTCCCACTGGCCACCAGTTGGCCAGCCAGGAAATCATTTCTGTACATCTTTTGTCTCCCCCTTTTATCTCCCTCTCTCTTCTCCAAAACTTGTTGCTATCTATCACTTTCATGTAACAATGGACTTAGTGTCCATTAAACTGCCTGAGAAGTGGTTTGAGCCTGACATATTTTCCTGAGCTAAAAAAGGAAAAGTACCTCTGTGGCCTTCTTGCCATTAAGATCAAGTAAAAAAGGGACTAGCACTACTGAAAAGGGTCACGCTAGAAAAGCCTTAGAATCCTCTCTCCACCCCGTGAAGGTTTCTCTAGCTGTAGCTCTTAAGGGTACAAGACGGCAAATATTCTGGGGTGAAGGAGGTATAATGGGGAAACACATTTATTTTCCCCTTTTAAACTTCCCTGCTGCCCCAGTCTTTGCCTTCTTCTTAGTGGATCCCTTGGGTTCTGGCTCCTTGCGCTTAGCTGAAGAGAGTGAGCCGGTCACCTTGAAGAAATCATCCAGGCGGCCCTGGGTGCTGCCTTGGCGGCTCTTACTCAGCCTCTTGACCCCACTGCGGATTCGCTCCTCAGAGAACTGCTTTTCACCACACATGAACTTGATCAGCTCTTCTTCATTTGGCTCGCTCCACTTCAGCTCCACAGACTCTGGGTCCAGCACCTCAGGTTCCAAGAAGAGCTGGTGAGCCTCCTTGTGGAGCCAATTTTCTGGCACAGGGTACTTGTTGGGGTCAAGTCGCCGCACGATCTCCTCGATGCTCTTGTGCTTCTGGATGAGGTCCACAGCCCGCTTGGGCCCAATACCCCGGATACTCTCACAGTAGTCACTGCCTAGCAGGATGCACAGATCCACAAACTGTTCCTGGTTCAGGCCCAGCTCCTGCAGAATCCGGCTCAGGTGGAATTCCTGGATTGGCAGCTTTTTGGCTTCACTGGCAGTCAGGTGTCGCATTAGCACAGGGCTGCCGAAGGTGAGGCAGTCCATGTCCTCGGTAGCCGCAGCATAGACTTTGCCAGCCTTCACCAGGGCAGCACAGCTGGCCTCTGCCTCACTGGGTGCATCAAGATAAGGGATGCCCATGAGGCTCAGCAGATGTTTGCACTCATCATTGTGCTGCTTAGTGACCTTCACCAGCCGCTTAGTGAATTTTTCCACCTCCTGCTCGGCCCCAGCAGCCTGAGCCTGCTGCAGCTGCTTCTCTGCCTCAGCCCGCCGCTCACTGCGTTTGGCCAGCTCGCCTGACTTGAGCTGTGGCGGCTTGCCATCAAAGACATACACGGGCTTGATGCCGTTCTCCATCATGCGAATGGTGCGGTAGAACATGCCCATCAGGTGGCTGGTGGTCTCACCCTCCTCATTCTGCAGCACATCCCCACCCTGGCGAACAGCAATCAGGAACTGATAAATGCTCATAGAGGCATCAATGGCCACCTTACGGCCAAAGTAGCTCTTGATGTCATTCTCCCGGATGGCACTGGGGGCCACATCAGCAATTAGTTTGGCCAGGCCTTGAATTCCCATGGCAACACAGAGGAGGGATGACTAAAAAAGAAAGGCAAGTCAGAGACGGAGGAAAGGAGAAAGGTTATAACTGGTGTTATCTCACCAACTTCATGCCTTCAACTAAATTCCACACAACAAAAAGGACACCATGTCAGCACTGCTAAAGATAAAAAGATGAACAAGGTCCCCATTCTCAAAAAACTCAGTCTAGCAGGAGAATTTACTCAATAGTAAGGCTCAACGAGTACCAGAAATTGAACCACGTGCTTAGAGAAATAAGATACTGTTGATATTCTAAGGTAGCAGCATTATTTATTACACAAAAAAAACCTGCAACATAGGTCTCCATCAAGGACCACAGAAGGCCAGGATGCTTGGCCTGGCTTGAGGAGTCCAGGGACCATAATGGCAGACCTGAAAGACAGGCAAATACACCAGCTAAACAAACAGATCTGATTTGTTTTGAGTCTCTGGAGAACCCTGACTAATAAGGCAGCCTTGAAAAAGGATTGCAAACATATCTGAATGGAGGTGATGTGGCTTTCTCACAAGCTTCTCTAAACTCTCTTCATCATCGCCTCAGCACATAAGAGTTTCTACTTTTATTATAATGTTGCTAGAGTTTCAAGTCTTTCCCTTTGCGTTTTCTCGCCACCACTCAGTCTGAAATGTTAACTCCATGGCTCCTCCCCAGGTCCTGATTTAGGGGTCTGGCATGCTGTAGTCACTGGGCTCAAAAGAGTATTGCACTTCAGAGTTCAGTGTTTCCCAGATAGCAGTGTTTCCCAAATCACCCTCACGATTTTTGCTACTTCCAACTAAAACCCGTACTTTCATTCACTTAGAATTTTTTTTAAAAAACTAAACTGGAAAACTCATAAGCAATAATATTTGTGTTCTATTAGTTATATTTTAATATGTATTAAATGTATAACTATTAAAAAGGATTTTTAGGGGGTGCAATTTAAAATCATCTTGCCATCCTGGCCAACACGGTGAAACCCTGTCTCTACTAAAAATACAAAAAAAAAAAAAATTAGCTGGGTGTGGTGGTGTGCACCTGTAATCCCAGCTACTCGGGAGGCTGAGGCAGGAGAATCGCTTGAACCCAGGAGGCAGAGAATGCAGTGAGCCGAGATTGTGCCGCTGCACTCCAGCCTAGCAAGAGAGTGAGACTCCGTCTCAAAAAAATAAAAAACTCATCTTGTGCCCACTGTTGGTATGTGTCCAATACTCCAAGAAATATTCTACTGGGGCCAGGCACAGAGGCTCTGGGCAGTAATCCCAGCACTTTGGGAGGCCGTGGTGGGAGGATCACATGAGCCCAGGAGTTCCAGGCTACAGTGAGCTATGATTGTGCCACCACACTCCAGCCTGGGCAACAGAGCAAGACCCTGTCAAGAAAAGAAAAGAAGACAAAAGAAAAGAGAAAGAAGAAACGAAAGACTCCATCAGGCCTTTTCATTGTTCCCACTCTTTCTTCACAGGGTTCTTTCTAGAGCATCAATGACTGTTCAATTCTTCCTTCTAATTCAGTCCAAACACTTCAGCATGGCATCACGATCTTTCATGTTCTGGTTCCCAACCTAACCCTACATTCTGGGATCTCAACAGAAAGCTGGAATAAGGCCCGCCTTTTCCCACTTTTCCTTAGCTGTGCCCTCCTCTCGCCATCCTCTCACGCGTCCTTCCAGGTCCATCCCTGGATTATTAATCAATTAATAATTAATTGACAATGAATTATTCATTTGATTAATATGAATAATTCCCCTGTGAACTGCAGCGGCAAAAGCTCTGGCCTTGAATCTAGGCGCGGCATTTACCATCCGTGTGACATTACCAAGCCACTGAGGTTTATTTTCTCGTCTACAGAAGAAGAACGATTACCATGCCTGTCTCTCAGGGCTGCTGCCAGGGTTAACTGAGACAACAGACAGAAACCTCTAATGTCCCCTCTCCAGGCCTGTTCAACCCTTCGGCTCTTGCCTCAAGCCGGCCGCGCTGCTGGAGTGTGGACTGAGGACCAGACCATGTAGCCCTTGATCCCCTCACGGCGTCCCACAGACAGGTAGGCAGGAAAGGGGCCTAAACAACTCAAGTGTCAGAAATGTTTCTCGTCCAAGGTCTTAGGAAAAATACAACACGACCCCATAAGGTGGAACTTATTACCGCTTTTCTACAATGGAGGAAAGAGAGGCTCGGAGCTTACGCGACTGGCCCAAGGCTCACAGGGGGAAAAGTGGCGGGACCTCTTGACTGCGAATCCCGCGCACTCCAGACCCCGGCTCCCCACGGCCCCCAGCGCCAAGCGGACCCCGTCGCTCCCGGAGGCGCTTCCCATGGGGTCTCACCTGGCCTTTGGGACACGCGGCCTCGGCGGCTAAAGCTTGGTTCGGGGTTGCCCCGGGCAGGCGGTCCTAAGCTCGCTCTCCCTTCTCAGCTTAGCGGCGGGTGGCCTGACGTTCAGCCGCCTTCCAAAGCCCGCGCTCCCGTCACGTGACCTGCTCGCCACGCACAGCCTCTTGGGGCGCGTAGTGCAGGCTGCGTCCCCTCAGACGGCTGCTCTCATGGCAACCAGTCCCTCCAGGGAGAACAGAGTCTCTCAGCGACCCTGGCGTACCCTTCTCCACCGCTTGTCCCCACTCCACCCACACCAGGTCCCCGCAGGCCCCTGCTCCCTCTACACCCGAAATCGCAGGACTACAAGTCCCTCAATGCCACTTGCGCCGGAGGCACTTCCTTTTCCGGTTGTGCTAGGCGCCTGCTCCTGCCGACGTGTTCTTCCGGTGGCGGAGCGGCGGATTAGCCTTCGCGGGGCAAAATGGTGAGAGCGTTGAGGGGAGTTCCAGACGGAGATGCGAGGACCCCTCGGGGTCTGACCCACACCGCGCTTATCTCCTCAGACGCCGGAGATCCAGAGGGCTAGACGCTCCTGGAACCTCCGGCTTGGGCTGAAGGGTGGGGAAGGGGGAAGCCCCTTGCCATGAACTCCTTAGGTTTCTCAGCTCGCGATTTCTAAGGGCGAGAGGCGTGGGGCGAATTTTGAATACCTTCCAGTTTGTATATCTCTGTTATCGGTGGTGTGTTATCTTTATTTGGAAAGTTCTTCTGCCGAACCCGTGCCCATCCTACAATGCCCTGGGCAAATGTTTATTGGTGAAGCACTTCCAACTCTCAGGCACTTGGCCAGACTTTCCTAGGAGCGCCCACAGCCTCTGTACAGATCTCTGGCCACGTTCCATGGACTTCTTTGTTT
Source organism: Homo sapiens (assembly GCF_000001405.40). Taxonomy (NCBI): domain Eukaryota; kingdom Metazoa; phylum Chordata; class Mammalia; order Primates; family Hominidae; genus Homo; species Homo sapiens. The sequence continues at coordinate 61,792,123 of NC_000011.10, read as the reverse complement.
TCGGCCACGCCTCCTAGTGACCACCGTCTGACGCGCATCTAGCTCTGGGATGATGTCTATTCATCTTTGTATTCTCAGTGCCAAACAGAGGGCCCGTAATTGGAAGCTCAATAAATGGCAGTGATTGTCTTTATCATTTTGGGGGAAGGGGGCCGTGATTGTTTACTGAATTGAATTCCAGTGTCTCAGAACAATGGGGGCAGTTTACTTCTCTAGAGTTGTTATGTTCTGGATTTTAGAAGCATTGGCTGACCGGTGACAATGAAGTTAACATTTGTACAGATCTTTACGTTTACAGCCCTCTTTCATAAAAGACATTATCTCATCATCTTCCCTACAGCCTTAGGAAGGAAGCAAATACCTGTTGAGCAAAATACTCCCTGCTAGGCACTAGATGCTTTGATTCATCATCTTTCTTATTTTTCAGTTCTGTGAAATAGATATTACAGTCGCTTTACTCAGACTCAGATTACTCAGAACCAGAACTTGAATGTCTTGACCATAGCTCACAAGATTCCATAATAGCATAGGTAGTGAGGAAAATACTGAATTAGAAATTGAGGGCCAGGCGCGGTGGTTCACTCCTGTAATCCCAGCACTTTGGGAGGCTGAGGCGAGCGGATCAGGAGGTCAGAAGTTCAAGACCAGCCTGGCCAGCAAGGTGAAACCCTGTCTCTCCTAAAAATACAAAAAATTAGCCGGGCATGGTGGTTCACGCCTGTAATCCCAGCTGCTCGGGAGGCTGAGGCAGGATAATCACTTGAACCCAGAAGGCGGAGCTTGCAGTGAGCCGAGTTGGCACCACTGCACTCCAGGCACTCCAGCCTGGGCGATAGAGCAAGACTGTCTGGAAAAAAAAAAAAATTGAGCCTGGGCGCGGCAACTCACACCTGTAATCTCAGTACTTTGGGAGGCCGAGGCAGGCAGATCACCTGAGGTCAGGAATTCAAGACCATCCTGGCCAGCATGGCAAAACCCCATCTCTACTAAAAATACAAAAATTAGATGTGGTGGTGCGCACCTGTAATCCTATAGTCCCAGCTACTCGAGAGGCTGAGGTATGAGAATCTCTAGAACCCGGGAGGCAGAGGTTGCAGTGAGCCGAGATCGTGCCACTGCCCTCCAGCCCGGGCGACAGAGTGAGACGCCGTCCAAAAAATGAGACTCCGTCAAAAAAAAAAGATATTGAGATCTGGGTACCACCAGTCAGTGACTTATAGCGGGGGTTCTCAGCTTGGTGTCTATAGACACTGGTCCACAAAGCTCCGGAAATTGTAGGCAAACTTTTTCTTGTATGTGGTTTTTCTCAGGCAGAGAGTTCGTACCTTTAGTCACGTTTTCATAGTGGTCAGATTATTGGCCTCAGAAAATGCTAATAAGGGCCATTGATCTGCAGCTACATTTCCGGGCTAAAATCAGCCTCTGTTTCACGGCAGCACCAGGCTCCTTGATAACCGCATGTTCTCTCCAGGCTGAAATCGTGGGATTCTTTGATAGCTCTGATCTCTTTCCCTCCTCTAGGAGCTCGAGGCCATGAGCAGATATACCAGCCCAGTGAACCCAGCTGTCTTCCCCCATCTGACCGTGGTGCTTTTGGCCATTGGCATGTTCTTCACCGCCTGGTTCTTCGTGTATCCTTTCACTGAGCAGCCAGAGGACCAGCATTAGTGATGTGGGAAGCTCAGGGAGAAACCACGCTAGGTACATGGACCCCGCCGGTTTTGTACATTGGATTGGGGCTGAGAGAAGGTAAGGAGGAGAGGAGGGCTAGTGATGCCCAGGGGCAGGTTATAGCCTTATTTCCCAAGTTCAGGTGAGCTCAGTTTGTTCTTTGGATTTCCAGGACAGTGAGCAGGGGACCTGGCTGGAGTGGAGGTGGGGAATAGGGGTGCTACAGTTGGAAAGGTGGTATAAGGAAGGGTGCACTCAGGTGTCAGGAGGTCTGAGGGCTAGTCCCAGCTCCGGCCCTCATGAGCTGTGTGACCTGGGGCAAGTGACCTAACTCCTCTGGGTCTCATTTTCTTCATGGCAGTGGAGCACCAGAGTCCAAGGCATCTCTTAGGCCCCTCTGCCTGGCTGCTCTGAGCCAGATAGGCCTCCCAGAAGGCATTGAGCCAATGCTTTTCTCCTCAGATTGCCGTGGGCTGGGCTCTCTGCACTCCACAGTCCACCCCTTCGCTTTGCCTTAACTGCTGTGCCCAGTTACGAGGTCACCTCTACCAAGTACACTCGTGATATCTATAAAGAGCTCCTCATCTCCTTAGTGGCCTCACTCTTCATGGGCTTTGGAGTCCTCTTCCTGCTGCTCTGGGTTGGCATCTACGTGTGAGCACCCAAGGGTAAGAGCTGCAATGGGATGGATGCGTGAGCCTCCAAGGCACAGCCCAGGGAAGCCTCCCCAGAGTCAGGTCAGCAGGGTCCTTAAAGCTCTTACCAGCATGACCCCTTGGTTGATGGAGACAGACTCAGTGGAATGGGTAGGGACACTAGACATTTGTGCCTCTTTCCCTGCCCCTCATACGGATTTGAGCCAAATGTGACTCTCAGTTCTGAGCTCACATGGCCCAAGGCCTCGATCTGCCTTTGGGATGTACCACCTAGAAGTGTGGACGCAGGCATCCCATGGCTGTACATTTACATTCTTAGAAGTCAGACCCCAGTGACTTGGAGAGGCTGCTGGGAAGTCAGCTGGCTGAAAGGGGGTCAAGATCCAGGGCTTAAAACTTGCTGCAGACAATCCACCAAACAGGCCACTAGGAATCAGCTCTGGTGGCTCATCCTCAGAGGTGTGTGCTCAATAGCCCTTGCCCCAGGAGCACAGGGGTGCAGGGAGAGAAGGAGGAAAGAAGGGCCATTGGTCTTATTTTGATACCCCTCTCCTCTTTTAGGTAACAACCAGATGGCTTCACTGAAACCTGCTTTTGTAAATTACTTTTTTTTACTGTTGCTGGAAGTGTCCCACCTGCTGCTCATAATAAATGCAGATGTATAGCAGTCCTGTCTGGGGCCCATTCTGCAGGGGTGGTGGGTGCTGGGACCTACATTGCTTCCCCAATCTCTTCCCTTTCCCATTTCTCATCTGCCTTTCACAGTTCCTGCTGCTGATCTACTTAAGGGGGATGAGATTTGTGTAGCACCGGTGTTTTGTCATTGGAATTTAAGGCTTACCTGTGGATAGGGTCTGGGCCTACCCTTTTCTATTGTTTCTAGGACAAACTTCTCTGGGAACCCACATCGGTCCATTCTGCCCTAGGCCAGTCCCTGCCATAAACATAGCCACCATTCTCTGTGCTGGGGCATCCTCACCAGGCTCAGCTTCTCCCCCTAAGAAGGCTTTTCTCCTCAGTGGCTACTTTTAATGCAGGTGGGCAGCAGCGGGTGCGCAGGAGGGGAAGGTGTGGCCATGGGAGAGGCTGATGAGTCCACTCCTAGCCCCAATATGAAGCTAAGAGGATAAGGGGTATGAAGCATCCATTTGGCCCTCTGGTTCAGGCGCTCAGAGATTCCAGGCTTCTCAGGAAGAACTTTGAATTCCAATTGGCCCTAGCCTTATAGGTGACTCCTCTCCCACCAGACCAATCCCAAGAAGAGACAAGGAGGCAAGCTCAGATACAAAGCAGTATTTATACATTTATTTATATATGTATATTTACTTCAGAAGAAACGAACATTTCGGGGACAGGAAGCAAGCAGGCCCGGGGCTGCTTCCCTCACTGCCCACCTCAGAGTCAGAGTTGGCACATGACAAATACCAAGCTCAGGGAGAAGAACTGGGAGTTAACTGGGAAGTAGGGGGCGCTCTATGCACACGCAGGCTTCTAAGGGTGCACGGTATGGGCAGGAGGATTTGCACTGGGAGGCCCTATGTACAGCTTGAAGCTAGGGGGAGATTAGCCCAGTGACTACAGGAACAAACGCCAAAGGAGAGAGAAGAAGGGAGGGATGACCTGCTGGACCCCAGGGCAGGGACAGGGCCAAGACACTCACACCATTGCCAGCCGGGCAGCTGGCAGCTTCCAGCAGGTGGCCCACTTACCTTCCCTGAAGCCCTTTTACCACAGGCTTAAGGCAACTTTGGTCCAAGGTTGACCCCCTCAAGCAGCTTGGATCCCCAGCCTGTCCCCAACTCCTGCACTGAGGAACCCCTCCCCAGGCTTGGAAACAGAGCCAGCTGCTAACGGTTTTGGGGCTGTGCTGTGTCCAGATGGGCTCCATGGGGCAGTGGACGGTCACTTTCCAGTTAAGGACTGAGGGCCCGCAGTCCAAGAACATGAACCCCCATTGAGGAAGCCCAGGAATCCTATTACATGGAGTGGGGCTCGGCAGTTTTAAGGCATAGGGAGGATTCCCCCAGTGGGAGGGAGAACAAAGTCATCATAAGGAAGGCTCAGCCCCTGCATGGTTTGGGAATCGTAAAATTCCTATGTCAACGGAACCAAATTGGGGAGGGGGCTGGGAGCAAGCTATCCCTGCTATTCCTGCATCCCCCTGCTCTTCCCTATCCTGAGGACAAGTGCTTTGAGATCAATGGCAAAAGGGGGCCTGCAGTTCATAGGCTTCAAGGAAAGGCCTCCACTATAGAAAGGCCTCCCATTCAAAGCTGAGAATGAGTGGTGGGACAGGGGCAAGGCCTGCTTCCCAAAGAGGTGGCAGCATACCACAGGGCAAGGACAGCAATTCCCTTTCCCATTTCTGGACCCATGGCAGACATGGCTAAATGAATACTACACTCCTTCCATGAGCCTGGATGTAGCCTCGGAATGCACCAGGCACCACTAAGAAACTTGAAGGTGGCACTTAAGATACAACTTCTTCCCTAACCCAGGGTCTTGGTGGTTGGGAGTGGGATGGGTGTCGGAGGCTCCCTGGGAGGGATCAGAGTCAGAGCCCTGTCTTTGCAAGTGTCACACCCCTGCTCTGGCCCACTCTGAGCTTTCTAGCTCCATCCTTCCATTCCTTCCTGCCCTGGTTTAAGTGCATTTAGTAATTACTTCATTAATAACAGCAAAAGCTATTTGCATCTGCCCACCAGCCAAGACCAGGCTGCTGCTTGAGGGATTCCTGCTCCTCTGCTCAGAGAGAATGATGTGGTCACTGATCACTGTGAGCTCCAGACGCTCCCAGGAACGCAGGCAGTGAAGCTGCAATACCATCTGGGGGCTCAAAGGGAATTTCCTCTTCCTGGATATTCCTGGTTCAAGGCTCTAGGGCTTACCTGGCCCACTGGCCCCTACTGGTTCAGGCCTGTGAAGGGCTGAGGGTGGCTTCACCAGGCACTGAGTAGACTTAAGGCACAAAGTCAGTTTCTCCAACCCAGGCAGGGCTGGCCTCGGCTGCCCTGGGACTTCTTGGGAGCCAAGCCCTCCCAGGGAGAAGAAACCTCCTGGGCCACACTTAAAGCTTAGAAGTCCGAGTCTGGCGTAACAGGCAAACCCCAGAAAGTCCACTACCAAGCCATCCCCCAGGGAACAGCTTTAAGGGGGAGAGCCGTCTGCCCTCCATTGACTCATGGGGGTCCACCCAAGTCTCTTAGGGCTGGATCCGAGCCCCCTGCTGATCTCAAAGGTGGGCAGGTCCTCTCTCCAAAAGGGTTGGCTCCAGTCTCAAAAGGGGAGGCAAGGGAGAATGGGCTCTGAACAAATCAGGGCCACAGGCTTCCCCTTCCCTCCAGGGCACCTGAACCAGCCCTCCAACCACCATATCTGGAAAGAGGTAAACTGGTCCTGTCCTGGCCCCTAGGGGGTGGCAGGCAGGAAGGCCCAAGAAGTCTCTGGCTCTCAGGTTCCCTCTGTGCCGTGAGGGGCGACCAGCTGGAACAGCAACTCCAGTGTGAAGACTTCCAGTTTCACCAGTCTCGGGTAGGGCCAGTGAACAGCAGAGCTGGCCTGCAGCGGGCTCCAGTGTAACACCATTGCATCCAGTGTTGGGGGGTGCCTGGGCACCCCTGGTCCCTGGTGTGGTGCTGCCTCAGGAGGGCAGCTCAGTCACACAGGCGGTAGAAGTGGAAGTGGTAGTCTGTGGCTGGCTGGGCGAGAGCCTCTGAACTGCAGTTGGCCTGACCCTGGGTGGAAGGGCAGTGGGAAGGTGAGGTGGCTCTGGGGGTGCGGGGCAGATGGCACTCCCTGCTGACATTGCTTGACACTGTGCCCCCAGCCCTACCACATACTGTGCAAACCCCCCATTCCTCAAGCCCCACGTCGCAGACAGGGGTGCCCAGACCTCCAGGGTAGGTGGGATGCCCCTGCTCACCAGCAGTGCCACCCGGAAGTGGTAGGTGAATTCACGGAAGGACAGGATGGTTATTGGCCACCGGTGAGAGGTGCCCTGGAGAGAAGGGAGAGAGGGGTCAGGACAGACTGCTGCCCTTATCCCAACCAGCATCTCTCACCACGGCCGTCGCAGTCCTGGGGTCTGTGGGGAGTTTTATGAAGGAAAAAAGCAGAGAACTTTGAAGAGATAGGAAGGAGCATGTTCTGCTTTGGCAGAAGGAGCAATGGCAGCTACTCCATGCAGACCGTGCCCGGGACTGGCAGGTCCACAGCCACCTCCACCTGGCCCCTGCCTCCTTCCCAGTCCTGTTGTGCTGGGTTCCCTCACCCACTATGCTCTGGGCACATCAAAGTATTTCATTAGCCCCATCCTCAGTACAATCCAGTGACACAGTGCTGCTACTAGCCCCATCTTCTGGATGAGGAAACTGAGCCACTTCCTAAAAATCACACAGTGTGGCAAAATCACACAGCTGGGATTCAAACCCAGGTCTGTCTGGCTGTCTCCCTCACAGGGTGGCATGCAGCCTGGCTGCAGGCAGCTTGCCCATCTACCTGAGGCTTTGGCTGTGCGTCTGTGATGTGGTTTCAGGCCCGAGCACCATGTCTGCTGTGTGTCTAGCTGGGCTCTCCCTCTGTCTTGGACCCTGTCTCTTCTGCAGGGCGACAGGGCTCGGGCCTCCCTCAGAAGCACCCCCACCTCTGTTGCAGGTGCTTTCTGCACGTCTTTTCTCCCTCACTATAGAGTACGTTCTTGGAAGTCAAAACCTGTGTCTACTCCACCTCTCTCCCCTGCAGCTAGGCCCACCCAGCACAGGGCCTGGGACAGATGGGGCCCCAATCAATATTTTCTGAGTAAACACATGAATGGGCAAGAAAAAATAATCACTACTTCCCTTCATTTGTCCTGAGCGTCTTCTCCCATGGCCTCTTAGGCTCAAGAAGAAACTGGGGGTCCATCAGCCCCAGGGACAGTCATAACTTCCGGTTACCTGGCCAGGGAGGAGCTCACCATCCAGTTCTCCCAGAAGAGGTGGCCAAACATGGAACCTGAGGGGCCCTCTGATGCTGTACATCTAGCTGTGCCACTTCCCCAACCTGAGCATGAGGTCGGCTCCTTCCTGCTTCTGCAGACACCTCCAGTGAGCCACAGCCCTCCCCGCCATGGGCTCCCAGACACCTGCCTGTTTCCATCATTGCACTCATCCACATTAGCACCTGTGATCTGCTGTCTTCCCCACGTCTCCAGCACGGCAGGGCTGGGAGATGCTCAGCAGAGTGCAATGAACAAACACGGGCACGCGTGCCCCTCCCTGGGACACAGAGGCCCAGGCCCCAGAGTGTCCCTTGTGGAGAAGGCTTTACTCTATAACTCCCAGCTTCTGCTCCTTGCCCATTTTGGGGCCCAGTTGTGCCAGGAGAGAAGCAGCTCGGGCCTGGCCGGCCCGCAGCTTCCCAGTCCCACCTACCTGGGTGTCCTGGTGGGTGTGGAGACTCTGTGGAAGGCTCCCCTCCTCACATGGTTCCTCCTTTGACCTCAGGCTGCACAGCACCACAGACACGGGGGAGGAGGAGCTGTAGACAGGCCCAGTTAGCAGAGAAATGAGGTTCTAGAGTCCCTCAACCCCAGCCCCCTCCCAGCCAGCCTGCCACACGCCTCTGAATCTCCACCCAGCCTGAAACACCGCATAATAACCAGGGCCCTCGAACAAAACCTTTCCCATCGACCATCCCATGTGGTCCTCAGCCCATGAGGCCAGGTCATTTAGCCAGTTAACCACGAAGTAGGCAATGAAGTCAGCACTTATCCCACCATGCAGGAAATACCAGAGACTCTCCGGCTGTCCTCAGACTCGGCTGTTCTGAGGCTCTGCGGGAGATTCTCCCTGGCTCCCCTCCTGCCTCCCACTTCCCCACACCGGCACTCACTTCATCTGCAGAGTCAGGCTGAGGTGCAGTGGGGTGCCACTACTGACAGGGATGTGGTAGGTGAAGTTCCCAGGCCTGCAGGGGCAAAACTGGCACCTTAGCCTGAGGGTACCCTGCCACCCCCCACCCCCACCAGGGACTCCTCAGCCCCCAATCTGTACTGGAGCCCTCCAGAAGAGACAGTGTCCAAGGGTAGCCTGGAAAGGGGCTACCCTTCCTTATGGGGGAGGCTCCTCCCTGAAAGGGCAAGTTCCGGGTGATCTGTACCACCTGGGCTCATGTCACCTGAGGACCTCCCTGGGTGAGGGGAGGGAGCCCAGCCCACCTGCAGGCATCCCCTGGAGCACAGTACTGGGAGGTGATGGACATCGAATTCTCCAGCACCTGGATGGAGGTCAGGGAGGGCACTGGCTCTGCAAGGAGAGAGGCTGTTGGGGCAGGAGTAAGGTGACAAGGCAGGACACAAATGAGAAGCTGGCAAGTCTTTCCTTGCCAGACTTGAAGCAGTCACTCACACCTTAGTATGAATAAGTTCCAGGTTATTTTTTTCCAGACCTCCACAATGGCCAGCATCACACTACACCCTTTCCTCAGCAGCCCTAGGACTACCCAGTTCCCATGAGCCTGACGTCTGCCTCCTCAAAAGAACTGGAACACCCAGAAGTAGGGATGGGTCTTCACATCCCCTGCCAGGTGTGCAGGAGCCCGCTCGAGGCCTGTGTTCCTGACTGCGGGCATCTCTCCCAGTTCTGGGTTCAGAAACATCAGTTACACTGGTAGCTTGAAATCAGCAGTGTTGACAGCATCACACAAATCAGGCTCCCCTCTGCCCCGAGGCCGATGATTACACCGCTACCAGCACGCTGCTCCTCGCAGCCTCCCTGAACAAACCGACTGCAGGCTGGCTGGCTGGGTAGGGGTGGGACTGAAGTGTGACAAGTCAGATGGGGGAGACAGGACTTCTTGCTCATCTAGTTCACATACAGTCTTGCTGCTGCCTGACTATCCACCCAGGAAGGGGGAAGCTGGGGCCGCTGAACATTTGCTGGACCTGGTACGTTTTCAGCTCTGAGGCATGACCCAGGGACCCAAGGACCCCAACAGGATCCAGGACACCCTGTGTGGTCAGGACAGGTATCAGATACAGACGAGATGGAAGGTGCCCTTCCCACATCCCTTCTGGGCAAATTCCAAAGGTCCTTTAAAGAGTCAGCTCAAATGTCACCAACTCCAGAGAAGTTTTCCCTGATCCTCCCCACCTTCGTCCGGATTAAGTGTCCTCCCCAGTCCCAAAGCTACCTGCATGTCCCCTCAGAGCCTCATCACACTGCTGTGTTTTCATCTCTGTGAGGTCTTTGGGGACAGGGGCGTGTCCATCTTCATCACCCCCAGTCCCCTGTACAGAGCCAGCCACAGAGTGGCAGGCAGCTCAGTAAACAGGTGCCTGGCAAACATCTCCCCCATGGGGTTCCCCCATCACATTGAATTTCCATCTCTGTAAGCCACATTTTCCAGGCTTTCTTTTTCTTGAAGCCACAAAATCCATCAGATGAAAGTTGGTGAGAGCAGAGCTGCCTGGTTGAAGCCAGGAAGCCTCCCAGCCTCCCCTTCAACCCCCAGGGCAGCCCCCAGCGCAGCCCCCAGGGTACCTCAGAGGAACCCAGTTTGAAAACTACAATAAAAGGTTCTGTAGCTTTGTTAAAACCAAAGATCCAAGGTTTGGGAAATAGTAGGGGAGACCCAGTATAGCACCCTCCTGGTGCTGGCATGGCGAAGGAGGAGCCAGGCTCGGGATCAAATACAAGCCCTGCCTCGGAGGGGCTGTATAACCCTGGGCAGGTCACTTCACCTTAGTCTCCATCCCATTTCTTCAGCTGAACAATAGGAACAACAATTCCTTTCTTGCAGGAGTGCTGTGAGGACTAAATGGGATGATCTATGTAAGGCTGCAGGCCTGATTCCTGATCCTTATTCTGTGCTCAGCAAACGTCTATTGACTGACAAGTCTGAACCCAGACAGTCACATGACTGGGCTGAGGTGGGCCCTGGCCAGTGAGCCTTGCCAGGCTGGGCTGGGTAGTGTCAGGGGTGCAGCAAGTACCTGACTGGCCCTGGGCCCAGGTGGGCTCAGCAGGGCCCACGCTGGACTGGAGGGCCCCTCGGCGGGCCCGGCCATGGAAACCAAGGCTGGGACTGTTCTTGGCTTTGCCCTGCCCCCCAGGGAAGGGGACTGCAGGGCTGGCCAGAGGCTCCAGACTCTTGTGATGCTTGGAGTGGCCAATGCCATTGACTGAAAGACCCCAGGACTTGGCTCTGATGTTGGTGACTGGCAGAAGGGCCATCTGGCTGGGGCCTGTGGATAGAACCAGGCACAGGCTAAGAAGCTGGAAGCTGGCTGCTTCCTGTCCAGCTGTCTCTAGGGCCCCACAAGACTGAGTGAACCCCATGTGTCTCTTGGTCCTCTCAGGGGAACTTCCCAGTCATTGTCCAGAGCCTCGTTCTAGGCTCCAGGAGACCCTCCCACCAATGAGTATTTGGGCCTTTCTCTCTACGCAGGTAGCCCCCGCCCCAAGCCCCAGCCCACAGAAAGCCTTACCTGAGCGGTTGGTGCTGGGGCTGGGACTTGGGCTGAGAACATGGCCAGGGTTAAAGCTGGGGCCAAGACTAGGACCAGTGGTAGGGTTGGTAGTGGGTGAGGAACAGCAGATGACAGGGCAGGGGTGGCTGGAACACATGTCCAAGGTGCGGACAGCAGAACCTGGGGCCGAGCTGGTGAGGCTGGTGGTCACTGAGGAGGCCAGAGGCTGTATGAGCCAGAGAAGCCCCAAAGACAGAACATAGCAACCTCCCTGTCCTACCCAGACCTGCCCAGACACGCACCCAGCAGCAAAGAGGGCTGTATGCCTGGTAGCCCCGTGGTCAAGGGGGACTGTCGGAGCTGCGTGGTCCCAAAGCTCTGGCTGGACCTGCTGGGGAAGGATGGGCTGAGCTCAGAGGGGCTGGGAGAGCTTGAGGGGAGAGGGCCTGACAGTCCTGGAGAGGCAGGAGGGCAGGAAGAGGCAGAGAGGGAGGGGAGGGAGGCAGGAAGAGGGGCAGCAGGAGCCAGAGGAGAGGGGCGCTGGTCAGCACGTACCATGGGCACAAGGCCTCACTCCCCCCAGGGGGCTGGGGCCGGAGCAGGGCCAGGAGACAGGAAGTGGACACGGCAAAAGAGCTAAGGGGCAGCAAAAAGGCAAAGGGTGAGACAGGCAAAGGGGAAGAGAAGAGAAGACACAGTCAGAGGTGGCCCCAGGAGCTGGGGGTGACAGTGGGCTCACAGAGCCCAAGGCCCTGCCCTGGCCCTCCTTCCTCCTACCCCATGTTCCAACCCCAGCCCCTCAGACAGCCCTGACTCGCAGGCCCAGCTACCTGGAGGGGCACTAAACAGGCCAGACAGAAACATCAGCGTCAGCAGGGACTGGGAAAGGCTGCCCACCCTCCAAGGAGGCCCTCCCTGGATCCCCACAGCACCCCAGCAGGCTAAGAGGCTAAGGATGAACTCCTTTAGAGAAGACAGTCTCATGGCTCTCTGACCTGGGACTGCCCACCAAAGCCCCACCTGGCCTGGCAGCTTGGCTTGGCCTCCAGGAACCTACCCATCAGTGTCTACCAGGTCCTCCTCTGTGCGCAGGCTCAGCACGTACAGTGTGGACATGGACACCACGCTGGAGCCACAGAAAAGGGTGACCGTTAGAGCTGGAGCCACCATCCAGTGCCCTCTCTCTAGGACAAGGCTGTGGTCCTTGCTCCTGAGGCTGGGCTCCCAGGTGATGCCTACAAAATGGGTCACCCCAGAGGGGAAGAGGCAGAAAGGCCCACCTCACCGAGACCTCAGCTGCCTGATCTCCCAAGCTACATCCTCCTCTTCCCCCAGGCCTGAGCCCATGGGCAGCTGACTCCACTGGGCAGCTCCACTCCCCTAGTCAGCCACCATGAGAGCCCAGGGGACAAGTCACCTGAAGGCCATGACCACCACCAGGGCAATGATGGTTCCCTGCAGGAAGCGCTGGCTGATGCAGGCCTGGTCCGGAACCACGGACGATGACTGAGGACCAAGAGGAAAAGTGCAAATGCAAAGAGGGCCAGGCTGAGGCTGTCCCCAGTGGGCTCTGCTGGAGGTCGGAGGAGCGGTTAAGGGGGTGCCCCATTTCCCCGGGGGCAAAGGGAGAAGAAAGAGAAACGGGGCTGGGAGGGCTACAGAGTCACAAGGAGAGGGAAGCACCAGAGGCAGTGAGGCTGGAGAACTGCAAGCCAGAAAGGGAGGCCACAAGGGAGGCCCCCTTTCCAACCCGCCTGCCATCCCTGCTCACCCCTACCTTGCTGGCCACCTTGGGGGGCCTCTTCTTGTGGGGGACGCTGCCCGCCCGACTGAACTGGCTCCCTGCATGGCTGCAGCAAGAGGGCCAGGATCAGGGGTGTCCCTGGGAAGAAGGGTCTCACCTTCCCCCACCCCGCACCCCTACCTGAAGGCGCCCGAGCTGCCGGTGGACTTGAGGCTGTCGAGCCGCCGCAGCTTGGCCAGCTTGTGGCTCCAGCGCTCCAGCTCATCAATGCGCGTCTCCAGGTTGTCTGTCAGCTTGCACAGCTCCTTCACGGCCCCTACGTTCTCCATGAAGATGCGCTCCTGCCATGGGCCATGGGCCATGGGCCATGGGCCAACACAGAGGGCCCAGTCAGCCCCGGGAGCCCCAGGCTGCCAGACATCAGGGGGCAGGAGGGGCGGCCACTGTCCTTGGCCACTGGGAGGCCCTCAAAGTCTCCCTACCTGGGCGGGCCCCTCCAATCCAGCCTCGGCTCCCACAGCTCCTGTGCCTGTCTCCGAGCAACACCTCCACCTCTGCACCTTCACCTGGGCTGTCCCACCTGCCTGAATGGCCCTCCCCACTCCCTGCCAGAGCTCTCCTCTCCTAAGCCTGAAGGCTGCAGCCCCGGGATCTGCCCCTCGGATGACTGGTGTCTCAGATGTCAGCACTTCACTATTCAGCTGGGGTGGAGACCTATTACATGCCTCCTTGGCGCCCAGACTCAGGACAGGTAAGTGACAAACGTCGTCCTCACAATAAACCACGTATTTCAGCCTGGAGGTAACCATACGAGGATGTCTGTGCAGTTCTATTACCGCCCTCATTTTACCGGGGGTGGAAGGCCATGGCCCTCCACAGGGTTTCTCTTGCCCTTGATCACACAGGCTCCAGGGGCCAAATCCCTACCCACTCATCTCCTTGAACACTCACCCCTTCCCTGTGGGGTGCAGAGGGCGCTCTGGAGGCAGCATGAGAGCCGAGGGTGCTCCTGCCTCTGCTTTGCAGTGCCCCCAGTATCTATGGAGGTGATGAGTGTTCCCCAGCTGGCTCCCCACTTGCCTCTGGGCTCCCTCCCATTCCCCCACCCACAGACCTTGTTCACCACCAGGAAGTTCTCTATGGTTTTCCCATTGGCAAAGACCATGTCTCCGGTGTCTTTCACAGCCTCAGGCAAGATCTCCTTCACCTCCTGAGCGATGACACCTGGGGGCAGGGGACAAGCCAAAGATGGGTGGGGGGGTGGTAAAGGGCTACTCACAGCTTTGTAATGTACAGTGGGAGCAAGACTGGAGAGGGTGAAGTTCTGGAACCCAGAGATTTGGATTCCAAGGAGCCCTGGAGCAGGGAGATCCCACGAACCAGTGTTCACAGGATTGCAATTCCAGGGCTCAGGTGTGAGGTTCCTGGGCTGGGGTGGGGCGGATTCCTGGGGGTAAGGATCCCAGGGCAAGTGGGTAGTATTCTGGCAGGTTAAAGGTAGGATTCATCTAGCGCGAAGGGCGAGGGTCCCTGGGCCGTGATTCTCAGATTTCCACTGACAATGGGGCGAGGTTCCGGGGACCTGGAGAGGTGCGATTTTCCAAGGTCCGAGGGGCGGGACTTCTAGAAGGCATGATTCCCAGGGGCGCAGTTCCGGGAGTCAAGAGGAGTAGGATTTCCAGGTGACAGGGGGCAAGGTCACTGAGGCCCGAGGTTTCTGGGTTTCCGGACCCCAGTCCGCACCAGCCCGGTCCCTACCTGTCTCTGGCGCGGTGGCCTCGATGCCCGCGCTGGCGGCGAACTCGGGCTTGTATCTGTAGTGCACCAGCCGCATGCGCGAGATCCTCTTCAATTGCTCGGTGGTGTCCACCTGCGGGGAGCCAGGCCCGGGAATGAACCCCTCCTGCGGCCGTCCCGGAGCAGGCCCCGGAGCCCAGGAGGGCGGCAGCCTGGAGGCTGCAGTGTGGAGAGGAGACCCCACCACTGGAGTGGTTAGATCGGGATTCGAGGCCAGCCTCCCTCCCTTCCTTCCCCCGCAGCTCCGCCTTTCCGCGTAGTCACGCCCCCTCCCCAGGAGCCCCGCCCCCGCGGCCCGCTCCAGCGTCTGGACCCGCCCGGCCCCCACAGCCCTGTCCCCACCTCCTGCACGTGTTCCTTGGCGCGCAGGTCGGAGGGGTGCATAAGCGAGCCCATGACCTTGACATTCCCGTGCACAACCAGCGCCTCATCCGGCCGGTCTGTGTTGATGCCCACGCGGCCGTGGTGGAAGACGGTGTCGGGCACCTGTGCCCGCTGCCACAACACATCGCTGTCGCTCTCGAACTGGCCTGGGTTGGAGGCCTACCGCGAGTTGGGGCTGGATCAGTCCTGGGGGATAGGGAGGGGACCTGCAGGGCCCTGGGAGCAGGGGGAAACTCCACAGCAGCCCCTCCCCTTCCAGCCAGGGTTTCTCACTGCACCAAGCCCAACTTGAACTGTCCCTCCCACTGTGACAACTTTTTGTCACTTGTGGGATCCCAGAAGCTACCAGGCTTCGTCCACCTCCCTGCTTTACTGTGGAGACCCTGCAGCCCAGAGAGGGTGGGAGCTTTGCCCAAGGCCACACAGCCAGTGCCTAGCAGGATGAGCATGCCCACTCCTGACTCTCAGTACCCGGGTACTTCTGCTTGCTGTTTCTCCCAGTCCTGGGGAGGGCTGTCTACGCCCTGGGAGGAGGTGGCCCTCACCCGCACAATGATGCGCTCTGAGATCTGGGCGGCCAGCGTGTAGTTCTGGTTCTGTGCATGAGCCTGGAGGGCCACCACCAGCATGAAGTACCTGGGACACACAGGGGTCTCAGAAGTACTCATGGCCTGCCCCCGCCCCCAGGGCCACCCTTTCCCTGGCCAGATGCATGTTCATCTCACCCCCTCCTACAGAGGAGGAACCCGAGCCTCCACCAGGGGGCAGAAATTCCCCAGGGCCCACAGCAAGAAGCCAGGGCTGTTTCTCAACCCAGAAGCCAGGCTTCTGCTCTTCCCATCCTTAAGTCAATGAAGGGCTCTAAATCTCAGGTCTCTCATCTGTGAAATGGCTCAGCCTGTAGGACTCTGTGCCTGGTGTGCCACCCAGGGCAGTGTCTTCCTGCCTCAGAAATGGAGGGGCTCCGGGGCAGGGCCCCCACCTGCTCACCTCTGGTCCGGGTTGGGCTTGCCCTTCTTACGCATGTTGTTAGCGGTGGTCTCGCTGAAGTGCAGCCGCCCCACAGTCACCTTCGTGACCTGCTCAGGGGGCAGATTGACCCTGCAGAGGAGAGGCAGGGTGCTCAGGGGGCAGGGAGGGAGGCTGCAAGAGCCACGCCACTGAGGGGCACCCAGGCCAGCAACGTACATGAGGCGGACACCCTGGGTACCTCCCTGGCCCCTCCATTCCCAAGCCAGCTTTAGTTGTGGACCCTTCTAGGTACCACCCCCAACAGGGTCAGACACTCACGTGACCGGGTTGAAGGGCCGCTTGCTCCGGTCTGACTGGGACTGCTCGATGTTAATGGACTGGTTCAGGGCCTCCAGCTGTGGGGAGTGAAGCCAGTGGCACCTCAGGATGGGGCTACCCGGCTGGTCCTGCCCTCCTGCCCCCTCTCAGCCAGGCCTGGCCCAACTAGAGCTCACCAGGAAACAGGGCAGCACCCAGCCCTCAGCCGCGATTCCCACAAGCTCAGATGCCTTCTGCATGGTCACACCCCCCCACACCCTACTTCACACCCACACCCTCCTCACCCCTCACAGCATACCACTCCCCCAACTTCTGCACAGCTACGCATGCAGTCACTCCCCAAACACCCACACCCCCATTCCACACCCACACGCTCCCCCCACCTCTGCATGTATGCACTCACACACAGACACACACACACACTCACAGCCCCACCCTCCCTCATGTCCATACCCACACACCTCACAGCAGCCTCCAAGCCCATCCACTTGCACCTAGGCCCACTCACTCCCCAGATCCTCTCCATACCCACGTCTCCTCTACTCCTCCACGTGCACTGGCAGAGCCATGCCAAGGTACCATGCCTGGCTCACTCATCACACCGAAGCCGACAGACCCAGCCATGCCCACAGGGAGCTCATAGACTCAAAATCAGCCACTACTGGGGTTGTGCTGTGGTGCCTCCCAATGGGTCTTAGGGGAGGGGCCCCTGGGGAGGGGACCAGCATGGAGTCTGCCTGGAGAGGAGGGATGGGTGTTGGGAAGGGCATCCAAGGCAAAGGGAGCCACAGGGTGGAGGGCGGGGGCTGCGATGGTACCACAAGTGGCAGAGCTGGAGCGGAGGGCAGGGCCCCCAAGGCCCCCGTGGTGCAGCTTGGAAGCCGGGGCTTTGCTGGGAGGACACTGGGGGCCTTGGAAGGATAGGGAGTGCTGTGGCCCCCTGAGTCTCAAGTGGGGCAGGAGTTGGGGGTCCCAGCTGCTGTGGACATTCCGACAAGGAAGGGAGGTAACCCAGACCAGGGGATGGACAGGAAAGAGGCGAGGACCGGACCAGGTAGAGGGATCTTCCAGGGCAATAGCAAGGCCAGATGCATGATGAGGTTGGGGAAAGAGGGCCCTGACCCAGATTTGCGGCTCAGGTAACCAAGGCCCTGCGCCCCATTCCCTGAGAGGGGAGCCCAGGGTGGGAGGCAAGTGTGCAGGGAGTTTAGTTTGGGACCTGGAGCTGAGGCACCTGGTAGAGGGCCCAGGAGATGGGTCTTGACTGGGGTTGCAGACTTGGGAATCACAGGCTGGAGCAGGAAACGGGGCGAGAGGGAGGCAGGGAGGCAAGGAGGCACAGAGTCAGGGTAAGGTGCCCAACGAGAGGGAAGCAGGCTGAGGAGTCTAACGTTTAAGGGGCAGGCACAGGGCGAAAGGGAGGCAGGGAGGCAGGTTGATGAGCCCAACAAGAGGGAGGCAGGCGCAGGGCGAGGGGGAGGCAGGCTGAGGGGCAGGCACAGGGATAAAAGGCGGGAGGGCGGGGTGGCAGTAGCAGTGGGGGAGTTTACACACACATACACACACACACGCACACAGATGCTTGCTTTTTTTTTTTTCTTTTTTTTTTTTGAGATGAAGTCCCGCTCTGTTGCCAGGCTGGAGTGCAGTGGCGTGATCTCAGCCCCCTACAACCTCCGCCTCCCGGGTTCAAAGGATTTTCCTGCCTGCCTCAGCTTCCCAAGTAGCTGAGATTACAGGCCCGTACTACCACGCCTGGCTAATTTTTGTATTTTTAGTATAGATAGGGTTTCACCATGTTGGCCAGGCTGGTCTTGAACTCCTGACCTCAAGTGATCTGCCTGACTCCCAAAGTGCTGGGATTACAGGCGTGAGCCACAGCATCCAGCCAACGCTTGCTTTTTCTGGGGTCTTTCAGTGCCCCCAAAGGGCCCTCCTGCCCTCCCTTCCTTGCTGAGCCCCAAACTTGCCTTCACTCCGTGCAGCTTCAGATAGAAGCAGTCGAGGGGCTTGAGGCCCTCGGGCGTCTTGACGTACTTGGGCTCGCCCAGCATGCCGATGTACACTGTCACCTGGAAGTGGTTCTTCTTCTGGCACACAAAGGCGTCGTCGCCCACCGAAAAGTTGAAGCCCTTGTCCGCATCCACGCGGTAGGTGAGCATGGGCCTGGGGGGGCGGGTGAGGGCACTCCCCTGAGGCCCCAGAGCCGGGCCTGGAACATCGGTTCCTCCTACCTGCTGGGTTCCAAAACCATTTCCCACACCACACCCCTGCATCCTCAAACCACCAATGCGGCTGCCCCCACTCCTGAGAAATGGAAACTGAGTCCCGGAGAGGATTCTAGTACAGGGCTGCAAACTCCTCAGACAACATTCTCTCCTATACCCCATGCCTTAGGCCACCGCCCCGCCCTGGTGATGGGGGAAGCAGGGCCAGACCCTGAGGCCCACCAGACTGGAGGGAACTCCTGAGTGGGGGAGGGCTTGACTGCCCTCCCCACACTCGGCTCCTTCCCAGAAGGCTGCCTGAAGCCCCCTCACTCACCCGAGAGGGACTGTGTCTGCAGAGCCTCACAGCGCCTGACAGCTAGTTGCCCTGGAAACGGTGGAACCAGGCGCCTGCTCTGCTGCAGACCCAGCCCCTGCCCACCGGCTTGCTCAAGCCCCCAGATGCCCTCATTCCCACTCCCTCCTCATTCCTACTCCCTCCGTCTGCCCGGGGAGGGAAGGGGCACTCCTGGACTCTCCCTCAGACTCAGCCTCAGTTTGCCCATCTGTTGCTGGGTTTAGTGTCCCATGTTTGGCCCCTTTGAGACACCTCTAGTTGACAGTAAAAAGAGCAACTGGGCCAGGTGCGGTGGCTCACGCCTGTAATCCCAGCACTTTGGGAGGCCAAGGCAGGCAGATCATGAGGTCAAGAGTTTGAGACCAGCCTGGCCAACATGGTGAAACCCCGCCTCTACTAAAAATACAAAAATCAGCCGCCTGTAGTCCCAGCTACTTGGGAGGCTGAGGCAGGAGAATTGCTTGAACCCAGGAGGCGGAGGTTGCAGTGAGCAGAGATCATGCCATTGCACTCCAGCCTGGGCAACAGAGCAAGACCCTGTCTCAAAAAAAAAAAAAAAAAAAGAGCAACTGTTGGCCTGTGGCTTAGCGCACCCTCACTCAGGTCCCCAGGCACAAGAGTGGTCACAGGAGTGCCCAGTGCTGGCCTGGCGGAAGCTGGGCAGGGAGAATGCTTCCAAACTTGTGGGAAGAGGCCTCTGGGCCTGGCCAGTGTTGCCAAAGGCCTGGGCTCACCACCTCTTCCCTCCTGGAGCTCCACCCACCTGCCTGACCTAGCAAAGCACCCAGGAAGTGCCTGGGCCACTTCCGGGGCTGCAGCTGCCAAGCTTCCTGGCCTTGGGGCCTGGGGTGGCAAGGGTGGCCCAAAGAGTATGGCAGTAAGAGTAAGGGGTTTCCTCCCCATGCCAGAGAGGCTGGAGTGCCATACGACTGCACCCCCACCTGGCAGGACTTCATGGGACCCTTCAGCCACCCCAGCAGCCAGATGCCCCCAGGCCTGGGACTGCTGGCTAAGAATTCCCCCAAAGCCTGGAGCACCCAACTCCATGCAGCTGGTCTAATCCACTGGCCCAGGCCTGGCAATATCCACAGTTACCCTGTCACCTGCCCACTGGCCTTCTGGGTGAGCCAGGGGAGTGGTCCCCACAGGGCTCCCGGCCTGCGGCCTGGAAAGATGGAGCCATCTGGGTGTTGAGGGGGTGCTAGGAATGCTCAGGCAGCCTCTGACCGGATCCTCCCCAGCCCCTCCTCCCTCCCTCTAGGGAGGGGGCTGCCGGGAGGGCCCAGCTTGGGCTCAGCTTCCGGCTACCTTCCTGGAATGCAGAGGGAGGAGGTGGGGAAGGAGGAACCGGGGGAAAAAACACCCATCTGCCCACTTCTCCCTGACTTGGTTCCCAGCTGCCCCTCCCTGGCAGTCATCACCTTCTCAGGGAGGCCTGGGGCTGGCCTAGGAGTCAGGAGCCCTGACTGCCAGTCCTGGCTCTTCCCTGAGCCTGTTTGCTCTTCTGTGAAATGAGTGCTCCCAGGCCCTGCTCCAGGACCTTGATGGGGTCCTGGGCTGGGGCGTCCCAAGGTGGGGGGGCCTGGAGGAGTGGGGAGTGTTGTAGGGCACTCACAGCTCCTTGTAGTTAGCATCGTACAGGGTCGCCCACTTGTTCTGCTGATGAGGCTGCCACTTGATGGACTGGTAGTTGGGGTCCAGGTAGGAGCCACTGAGGCTGTCACTGTCCTGCAGGAGGCCTGGAGGGAGGGAACGCCCATGTGGGCCCTGCACCTTGGGTCCCACACCCCACCTTGAAGAGTTGGCCAGCCATGTACCTGGGGAGGGGGCACCTGGCGGGTGCCAAGGCGGTGTCTGGACACGGGCAATGCTGAGAGGCAAGGAACCAGGGCCCGGGGAGAGCGGACCCTGGGGAGGCCAGGGTGGCGATGGGGCTCGAGTGGGGTGCAGAGGCAGGGCTGTCACGGTCCCAGGCTCCTGTTTGATCATTCCATTCAGCATCTGGGCATTGAGGGTGCTGGGGGGGGATTCAGAGTGCTTCCTCTTCTTGGAGGGGTGTGTAGGGAGCCTGGGGAAACAGAAGTGTGCGCCGTGGGGGCTGGCTCTCCCCGAGCCCCTCCCACTGGGTAGTATCCACCTCTCTCCCCTCTCTAGCCTGTTTGGGCCAGGATGTGCCCCGCCCAGAGGACACCTCCTTCAGGAAGCCCTCAGGCTTTGCCTCCTCCTACTCCCCATTGCTCTGTGCTGTCATTTTCTGCTTCTGTCACTCTTCGCTTCCCCCAGACTGTGGACAGGAGCCACACCTGACTTGGTGTCTCCATCATGCCCAGCAACAGGGCTGGCTTACAGAATCACAGCAATCGCTTGAGGAATGAATGAGTTTGTCCCTGCCTGCAGTGTCACACTCAAGGTCACCCTTTATAGTGGGGGCTCTATGGAGAGCAGGCCCTGTGATCAGAAACAAGCCACAGAGGGCCTGGGCCACAAAAACCAGGGAAGGGGAGCTTCCGCACGGCACTCCTTCCCCTTCTGGTTTACAAAATGTTTTGACAGCAGAACCTTCCTTTGAACTAAACCTTTCATGGAATCTCCACATGTAAAACAGATGAAAAGACAATCGTGCAGGTTGAGTCAGAGTCGGGGGCTTGGGTCTAGGAAGAAGACTCCTCAGAAACCTGAGGGTTCCATGAGACAGCTGCAAAATCACTGGGGTCTGGGTAAGAGCACAGCCCCGGGCCCAGTCCTGGCTCTGCCCCTGGCTCATGATCTGGACGGGACATTTCCCCCATCAGAGCCTCAGTTTACCTACCTGTGCCCACCAGATAAGGTAGTTGTGAGCAATTAGCCATGGCTGTAAACCCCTCAAGGTATTGCTGGGTAAACATGTATAAATATGTTACCCCCATCTGCCCTGCAGAGCCTTCTGCCCTCCCTGGGTGCATCCCGGTCCCTACCTCCCTCTCTGGCCTGCCCGCCGCCCTGCCCACCCTGGTCCCTGTACCCCACCTTCCCACCCCATGGAGCCAGCCACCCACGTCTTACTCAGCTCCGTGCTGCTGCAGGAGCTGGTGCAGCATCTGGGACTGCTGGGTGTGGTGAAGATCAGTGGGCACCAGCCCCTGCCCCATGGCAGCGTAGTGGGGGATCGGGGGCTCGGCCTTCATGTACAGATCCCGCTGCAGGACAGGGTAGTGAGGTGGGGGTGGTGGGGGTGGCGGGGGGCCTGGCAAGTGGGCTGGAGGTGGGGGCGGATGCTCCAGGCGGGAGGGCACTCCCACGTGGCACAGTGTCTCAGGGGTTATCGTGCGCAGGAGGTGGGGCTCTGCAGGAGAGATGGGGGAGCGGGCATCTGAGACCAACCTCACTCAGGCTCCTGGGCACTGTCCTCCCCAAGGCAGAGTCTCCTGCTTCCACCCCGTCCTGAGCCAAGCCCGGGGGCTGCCCCCCACCTACCCTAGGTGGGAGGGCCGTTGGTCAGCCACCTACTAGAGGCCTGGGCAGGGAGGCACAAACCTGCCCAAGGAGGGGCAGCCTTTCACCTCATCCTAGCCACCTCCTGCCCCCAGGCTGGACCAGGAGAATCCAACCCAAATCTAAAGGTCCCCCTCCGTCCCCATCTCCTCTGAGGCCTGCTCCTCCTCTGGGCCTCAGGAAGGCGTCTCCGGAGACCCCCAGCCCAGGCCTGCCCAGTGTTCCCCTCTCCGGCAGGCAGTCCCTCTTCTGGGCTCTCAGGGGCCAGCCCCCCAGCCTGAGCGGGGAGGCCCCAGCTCCCTTTGTTCCCCAGGAGGCATTCCAGGGATGTTTTTGGTAAGATAAACAGAACTCTTGACCCCAATCCGGACTGCGGGGAGCCTGCTCCCGCGGTGGTTCTGCTCTTGGCCACCTGGGGGCCAGGGCACCCCTGAGCACCCTCTAAGGTGAGGTGGGCCCGGCCTGGGAAGCCTGCACCCAGGCTGCACCCACGGCCTTCCCCAGCCACCCACTTACCGCCGAAGGGTGCGTCCATGATGGCGCAGGCGGGCAGGCGGGTGGCATCACCGCGGGGATACTTGCTCAGAGGCAGGGCCAGGCTCCCCACCCGCCCGTGGGGAAACAATAGCCAAGCGCCAGGGAGTATTTGACCAGCGATAATCTCAGCCCGTTGGGCAGCCGCTGGCCCCCTCCCTCCTCCCCTACCTCCCTGATAAGGCCGCCCCAACTACTTGCCCAAACCCTGGAGCAGGAGGGCGGTGCCCGCTGGACTCACCATTCACCTGCTGGGGGGAGTAGGCCTCGGAGCCCGAGTCTGGGGGAGAGTCCGGCAGTGTGCTGCGAGAGCCAGGGGAAGGGGCCGGGGGGTGAGCAGCTGAGCTTCTGCCTTCCAGCTGGGCAGCTTCTCTGCGTGGTAGGGTCCCACAGCCCCCCAGAAGCTGGCGACACTGAGGTTTCGTCACATCCACCCTTAGGGGCATTTCTCCGCACCACCCACATTGGGGTGCCTGGCAGGGCCTGGGGCCGAATTGTGGGTAGGGGACCGCCCAGGATCCCCTCAGACCTACAGGGCACTTGGGGGGCAGTTACTAGTGTCCTTGATGATGGCACAGGGACTCAAAGACTCCCGCCCCAGACCGAAGGCCAGGACTTCTTCTCTCTTCCTGCACCCACTGAAGCCCCACAGCTTCCTGGAAACACAGGGCCCTAGGGGGCTGGGCCTCAGGGCATTCAGCAGGTCATGGGGGGCTGCCCCACCAGAGGCAGGTGTGGACTGGGAAGGGAGCCAGCACCACCGGGCCTGGGTTTATTTTTTTCTTGCAGGTTTCACTTTTATCAGTGTTCAGGAAAAAGAACAAACTCAACCCAAGAGGTCAACACGTCCTGCGTGAACCCTGTGCTCACCCAGCAAGTGGAAGGCTGTGGCCATATGGGATCCAGCTCTTTGGCCATCCCTGGTCCCCACATCTGGAGCAACTCCCCATTCCCATGCCCAGGGAACTGCCAGAGAGGCCATGGCCCTGTTGTGGACACAGCCCTGGGGCTGGCTCCAGAGTCCCCCTGCATCCCTGTGCCAGCCACCCACCCACCTTCGGGGCCTCATGTAGAAACCTATACAACGATTCAAGAACACAGACCCTGCAGGTTTTGTGTGAATGATACAAAAACGTGTATGGGGACTCAAACCCATACTCCTCGCCACAGCCTCAGGCCCCCTGGGCTGCCACTCCGTCCTGTACTTCCCTGACAATGGCCAGGCCTTCTGTAATGTGTTAAGGTCTTTCACACCCTGCAGTCCCTGCAGTCCCATGCCCCAAGTCCACAGCACCTTGTGTTCTCTCCTCTTAAGTTCCTCTGGCACCTGATTATTCCTCTACTTGGAGATGTACTGGTGAATACCTCTCCCCAGTTAGGCTTCAGGAGCCACTGCAGAGCCGTGTGTCTGTTTTTTTTCTTTTCTTTCTTTTTTTTTTTTTTTTGAGACAGAGTCTCGCTCTGTCACCCAGGCTGGAGTCCAGTGGCACAATCACCACTCACTGTAACCTCCACCTCCCAGGTTCAAACGATTCTTGTGCCTCAGCCTCCCAAGTAGCTGGGATTACAGGCATGCGCCACCACACCCAACTAATTTTTGTATTTTTAGTACAGACAGGGTTTCACCATATTGCCCAGGCCGGTCTCAAACTCCAGGCCTCAAGTGATCTGCCCACTTCAGCCTGCCAAAGTGCTGGGATTACAGGCATGAGCCACCGCACCTGGCCTTTTTTTTTTTTTTTTTTTTTTGAGACAGGGTCTTACTCTGTCCCTAGCAGTGGCATGATCACAGCTCACTGTAGCCTCGACCTCCCTGGCTCAAACTATTCTCTCACCTCAGCCTCTCGAGTAGCTGGGACTATAGGCACACGCCACCACACCCAGCTAATTTTTGTATTTTTTGTAGAGATGGGGTTTCATCATGTTGCAGACTGGTCTTGAACTCCTGGGCTCAAGCAATATGCCTACCTTGGCCTTCCAAAGTGCTGGGATTACAGGTGTGTGCCACCACACCCAGCCTCATGTCTGTCTTGTTTATCACCTAGACTCAGGTCTGGCCCTGGGTCCCTTCCTGGAGTGGCCCTGCCCACAGAGTCCCTGTGTGGCTCTGGACAAGCCCCTTTCCCTCTCTGAGCCTCAGTGTGCCATTAAAATCCTGACGGTAGCAGTGGCCAGGGCTCCTTGTGGGGTCTCCCAGGAGCTGGATACCCAGGAAGGCTGATGAGCTCACGCAATCATAGGCACATGATACAGCAGTGGGCACCAGCAGGCGCTTACCAAATGTTAGTTCTCCTCCCTCTGCCCCCAGGGGCCTGTAGTTTAGGAACAGCCTCACAGCCTCAAGCAAACAGTTTGCCTTCTGCAGCAAAGGTTCACCCCTGGCACCCCAAGCCTGGCCTCCACTCCCTTCTCCCCAAAAGCCAGGGAGCTCAGGAAGCACGGCCGGCCATGTGTCCATGGCCACCATGCACCCAGGGCATCCTCTGTGCCCTTGTTGCTTCCCACGATAATCTTGAGGGGTAAGCATTTGAGGGCTCACTTCACAGAAGAAACTGAGGCCATGGGTTACCGAGGCAGACGGCTGATAAATGGGGAAGCTGAAGTTGGAGCCAGGCTGTCTGAACACAGAGTTCATGCACCTAGTGTTTTAATGCTCTTCCACCCAGAGACAGGGGCCCCTACATTTGCCCTGAGCTCCCCTGCAGACCCATGCTCCCAGCCTCCCGCTGTGAGCATGTGCCCCGGGAGCTGCCCTGGAGTCTGGCTGGCCGGGTGGCTGCCTGGAACCTTTGGTCAAAGCCAGGCCTAAGGTTCAGCCCTGGGTCAGGCCCTTGGTGTGGACTCCTCAGAAAGATGGGGGGAAGGGCCTGGGTTCTGGGCCCCATGAGGCTTGCTTGGGTAGGGGGGAACTGAGGTGCCACATCTGAGCCATGGGCCAGCTCCTGTGGCCACAGTACACGTCAGCTGGATGCGTAAGTGGGTGGGCTTGGCGCGCGTGCACGGGTATGCAGGTGTTCCCATGAAGGTAAACAGTCACAGCCTCCAGTCCCGCCGCTTCCTGTCCACTCTCCACACAGCATCGAGATTTTTCTAGCACTTACGTCAGCCCTCATCACTCCCATGCTTAGAAGCTTTGTGGCTGCCCACTGCCTCAGAACAAAGCCCAGGAGTCCCCCCTTGACCTGGACTCATCCTCCCTTCCCTCACCTGCCCACGCACAGCCAGTCACCCAGCCCATCCCATGCCAGGCCAGTGTCTAGCACCTCCCAGGTCACGGCCACAGCCCTGCTCCCTGCCTGCCCCTATGCCGCTGTATCCCCCTACTCCCTGCCCTTACTCACCCTGGGGCATAGGGAGCCTTGGGCTCAGCCTTGATGGGGGGCCCGGTGCCCCCCGGGAAGGGCTTGGGGGCAGCGCCCATGCCGTTGTTGTTGTTGCAGTTCAGCGGGGTGCCGTAGCCCGGGGGTGGGAGGGGACCATGGCGCCCCGGGGAGGGTCCACCCCCAGGGGGGCTCAGGTGGTGGACCCCGCTGGAGCCAGGCATCGCAGGCTGCCCGTGGGAGTAGGAGGCCGAGCTGGCTGGAGCAGAGATGTCAGGGAAGCAGCTGCGGGGAAGGGGGGCGGCTCAGCTCCAGCCAGGACCCCAGCCCCAGCAGGGAAGTAGCCGCCCCCTCCCTGCAGGGAACTATGGAGATTTCGGAGGAGTCAGTGGCTGGGAAGGGACGAGGAGCAGCTTTCAGAGGTGGGACCACAGCAGACCCCAGGTCCGGCCCTCAGACCTCCCTGGTGACAGAAGGGAGGCGAAGGGCTGGGGCTGGGCGGGTGCAGGCCGGGCGAGGGGGCCACTCACAGGTCGGAGGCATCCTCCTTGCTGATGTACTCCTCCAGGATGCTGGTGTCTATGTTGGAGGGCTCCAGGGCACCGTTGATGTCGTGGCCTGCAGGGCAGGAGAGATGGGCTAGGGAAGAGGCCCAGCTCCCTGCAGACCCTGGGCTTCAGGGCCCAGCCCTCCATCCCTGCCCAGGCTGGCCCTCCAAAACAGATGCCCCTGCTCCTTCCCACCCAGGTATCCATGTGGGGGCCGGCTCTCACCCTCCACTGCCTGGCACCCCTCCAGGAAGCACTGATAATGCCCCCCCGCCCCACCACAAGGCCACCTTGAGTCTCAGAGGAGGAGAGGGGCCCAGGGCATGGATCTGGGTACAGAGAGGCCGATCCTGCCATGCCTCTTTCTAGCTGTGTGACAGGGAACAAGTCCTTTCCACTAATCTGTCAAATGGGGTCACTGTGCCTCTGTCTTATGGGGTGCTGTGAGGCACAAATGAGGTGCTTACTGAGTCGAGAGCCCCGTGGGTGCCCACTGCCCTCGATGGGATGGCTCGGACCCAACAGGCACTGTCCTGCCGTGTCCTCCAGGGGTCAGTCCAGATGGCCCAGCTCCAGGAACGCAGGAGCACGAGGCCTGGCTGAGTGGGACCATATATCCTGGGGGCCCACAGGGCTGTGGGAGTCTCCTGCACCCAGGCCCTGGCCGCAGGCGGGAGTGGGGATCAGAATCAGGAGAGCTCCCTGCACCCTCATTGGATATGCCCATCACCCTGTTGGGCACAGGCGGGGGAACTTAGCCCCCTTTTTCCAGAGGAGGCAGAAGCCTAGAGAAGGAAGGGCTTGCCCCGGCCTCCCAGCAGGGAATGATGGCCGCCAGAGCTCCACTCCTCTGCCTGCCGCCCTCTCCTGGGCCCTCTGCGCTGGCCCCGGCCCCACCAAGGGGAGGGGCCCCTAGAGGAAAGGCAGCCAGGGCTCTTGGGCATCATGAGGGAGGACGGGGGAGGTGCCGGCCTTTCCCCTCCCAGGGTCACCTTGCAGGGGGAGCCAGAGGGCGGGGTGATAAGGGGGCTGACGTGGGAGATGCGTCAACCCCGATAATGGAGGACAGCCCCACCCACACGGCTGACCCGGGCTGGCCAGCCCCACTGAGGCAGGAGGGCCCCTCCCACAGGCCTCTGGAGCCTGAGTCTGGGGTCTGCCCTCTCCTGTTGAGCTCAGACAGGTCCAGGAACAAATCCTGGCTCAGCCACTCCCTGCTGAGTGACCTTGGGCAGGTCACATGCACTCTCTGCGCCTCAGTCTCCTCATTCGTGCAATGGGGACATGTACAGCTATGGCTTCAAGGGGCTGTTTTGAGTATGAAACGAGATGAGGTGTGTGAAGTGCCAGCCACTTTAGTGGGTGCTCATCGGTCGGAACAGCCGTCCTCACTTCCCAGCCCCAGAGCCCTGGGGTCCCCGGGAGCCCCCCGCCCAGGCCCCTCCCTGGCCTCAGCCGGCATTTCAAGAATGCTGAGCCCCGCTTAGGTGATTAATGAGCGGCTAAGCCCTCCTAGGAGTCACGCGCTGCCTGCGACAGGCCAGGGCCCTCCTGCTGACCCCCACCCCCAGCTCGCCCAGCTAGGAACAAGGGACACCCACCACGCACCACCAATGGCCGTCCAGGGCGGTGTGGCCGGGGCAAGAGCAGCTTCTCGAGCTGGGCGTGGCCAGTCTGTGTGCCTGGGTTCCAGGACCCTGCCTCTGCTCAAGCCCCACCCTGCTGTAACCACGGGTCCCATTTACTGAGTGCCTACTGTGTGCCAGGCATTTTGTGAATCAAATACATTAATAATCACAGGAGTTTCTTTACTTTATTTCTTTTTTTTTTGAGACTGAGTCTTGCTCGGTCTCCCAGGCTGGAGTGCAGTGGTGCAATCTTGGTTCACTGCAACCTCCACCTCCCAGGTTCCAGCGATTCTCCCACCTCAGCCTCCCGAGTAGCTGAGATTACAGGCGCCCGCCACCACACACGGCTAATTTTTTGTATTTTTAGTAGAGACAGAGTTTCACCATGTTGGCCAGGCTGGTCTTGAACTCCTGACCTCAGGTGATCTGCCCGCCTCAGCCTCCCAAAGTGCTGGGATTACAGGCGTGAGCCACCACGCCCAGCCTAATCACAGAAGTTTCTTATGCGCAAGGCATCCTGCAGGCTCTTCACCTGCGGTGTGTTACTCAATCCTCCCAGCCCAGAATGCTGACCATGACAGAGACAGTGACTTGACAGTGGCTCATAGTGAGTATCTCCCAGTGCTTCTCAACTCATCATGGCGATGATGACAAAGACAGTGGTGGTGACAGTGACTGCAGCTCACACTGACTGCCTACCAGGCCAGGGACGATTCTAAGTGCTTTATGCATTTTCCCTCTCTAAACAGTGGGGATGTTCAGATAGGTAACATAATCACCATCCCCTGTTCAGAGAGGTCAAGTCTCTTACCCAAGGCAACATGGCAAGGAGGATTCCAACCAGGTGCAGGGGTCTGACTCCACGAGGGAGAGTGTGACTGGCGGTTGCTGTGCCTTCCCCACCCCACCTGGAGCGTCG
Source organism: Homo sapiens (assembly GCF_000001405.40). Lineage (NCBI taxonomy): Eukaryota > Metazoa > Chordata > Mammalia > Primates > Hominidae > Homo > Homo sapiens. Next base: position 61,763,147 of record NC_000011.10, on the reverse strand, counting down.
CCCCCACCCTGGCCGCTGAAGCTGCAAGTTTTTGAGCCTGAACTTGGAATCTACGGTGAATGATGGGCTGATGCAGTCATGGTGTTGCTATTTATAACAGACCCAGCCCCCTCCTCTCCTGGCCAGGAGCACTCCTAATCGCCCCTAATCCTCCTGCCCACCTCCCTCGGGATAGGGGGCCTCAGGCAGAGGCATCCTGGGAGACCCTAACGAGAACCAGATGTGCTTTGGGGGAGGAGGGACCCTCCCGTGCCAGGGTCCGGGCGGACGGAGGATGGAGGAAGGAGGCGGGAGGAGGGAACTGATGGGGCAGCGTTGCGGGGAGGCCAGTGGGTGGGGAAGAAGTTTGAGGGTTGGGGGCTCGGAGGGCCTCCTGAGGAACGCTGACCCCACACCTTCTCCTGGAAGCCCTGGAGGCCGCGTCGTCTCTTTCCCACGCCGCTCGGCCCCCAGCCCGCCCGTGAACCACACTGGAGATTTCTAACAGACTTTCCAGGTGGACAAGACAAGGGTGGGGGCTTGCCGAAGCTGGGATAGAGCCCCCAAGAACCCAGGACAGGGGCAGGGTCCCATGGGCACACTCTCGGGAGCGCCCCTCCCCACTGCTCCCAAAAGAGCCCCAGAACATCACTGGAGCCCAAGCAGGGGTACCTGCCAGGCAGGAAGCGGAACATGGGCCATATGGCTCGTTCTGATCCTCAAGACCTCTCTGAGAGAAGGGAAGCCGGGCCCGCCAGAGGCTGCCCGAGGCTGCCCAGGGCCCAATAACCCGAAAACAGCACCATGAGCTCACAAACCAGCATCTCTGTCCTTCCCTTCTCAAACCCTTCAACAACTTCCCACTGCTGGGGAGACACCCGGAGCCCTCTGGCAGTCCAAGGCCTGACATGGTCCCCTGCCTGCCCCCGACAGCCTTTTCTCCTTCCCCAGGTCCCCTGCCTCCCCTCCTCTCCGTGGTCAGCCCTTGCCTCCTTTCCATCCTCCATCCCACATCAAGGCCTTCACACATGCCATTCCATGCTGTTCCCTAAGCCTGAGAAAGCCAGGTCCTATTCAGGCTTTAGGTTTTGTCTTAAATGTAAATTCCCCCAAGAGGCCATCTCTGACTCTCCCATTCTGTTTAGCAAGGGATGGGCAGGGGCGTTGTAATTCCTCATCAGTTCTTTACCTTCCCGCCTACACACACCCCGCTGGGCAGGATGAGTGTCTGTCCACCACCCGCCCACCACCCACAGCTCACTCGCCCAGTGGCCACTCTGTGCCCAGCCCTGTGCCATGCACTTTACATGGCTCATATTGAATTCTCATCCCAACCTACAAGGTAGGTGATTTTCTTTTTCTTCATTTTATAGATGAGGAAACTGAGGCTCAGAAAGGATGGGCATGTGCCCATAGCTTACAGGGGCAGGCACTGGGCTATGAGCGCTGCCCTGTTCTGTCTCTCTGGGATATAGTATCCCAGCACACAGCAGGCACCCAGGAAATGTTCACGGAGTGGATGAGCCAAGTGGCCAGTGAGGGACCTCGGCCAGGCCATGCTGTGGCCAGGGCCGGGGCTACCTGGGGCCCCTCCAGGTCCTGCCCCTGCCCTGCTGAGCTGTGTGCCTCAGCTGCTCCTCATTAATTAGGCCCTTTATTACCTGCCTGGAACAGGAACCAGACACTGCCCCTTCCCAGGCAGGCTGCGATCCAGACTATGGGAAGGCAGCCCCCTCCCCTCCGCTCCGCTCTTCTCTCCTCGTCTCCTTAAGGCCACCCCAGCTGGCCAGGAAAGGAACGGAGGGCACCCAAGCCAGGTGCAGGATGAGAGCAGGCAGGGGCCCAGGTGGTCCCTCCACCCAGGACCCCTCCCTTCCGCCCCTCCTTGTGCTTATGTGCCCCCCCCCCCACCAGCTGTGGCCGTTGGCTGAGTCTCGGCCATTGTCCCGGGGAACGGGGGAGGGTGGGGACACGGCACAGTGGGAGGCTTGTGCCCTGCCCACCCCCTCCCCTGCCCCGTCAATGAGGCACTTGTCAATTCATGCCCCAAACATGGCGGAAATCCCGTCAGCCACGTGGCTGTGGGTAGGGTGGGCCGGGGCCCGAGGATGCTGGCCAGGCTTGGTGGATCTGAACCTGGGGTGCAGAGGACACCAGGGCCCAGGCCTATTTCCGACAACCCCAGTTGCTCTGAGTGTCCTCTCAGAGCATCTGAACCTGAAGGATGCCCTAGCTTCAGGCAGCAGCTGAGGGCCAGGGTGGTAGCAGTCAAGGGACAGCCCACCTGGGCATAACCACGATGCCCAGAGAGACCTCCAGAGTCAAAGAGGCCTGGTTTCTAATGTGGACTTCCCACTTGATGGCTATGACCCTCAGCAAGTGACCTGAGCCCTGGCTTCCTTCTCCATCAGATGGAGCACGAATCCCTGCCATGGAGTGAACCTTAAACGAGGTGACCCCCAGGAGGCCATTCCGCAGTCAGGGTGAACCGCCCTGTTTCCATCTCTCTTAGGACTCCCATCTCCTTTCCTGCCTGCACACCTCCGCCCAGGCTGTCCCCTCTCCCCCAGGCCCCTCCGCCTTGCTGCACACGTGCTCCAGAGCCTCCGAGGGACATCCTCACCTTCTCCTAAGTCCCTCTGAGGCATGGTCAGCACTCTGCTGCTATTCTTACACATGCACAGCACAGTCCAGCCTCCGGGCCTCGGCCCCAGCCATCCCTTCCAGTGGGTCAGCCTTCTGCGACTGCCTCCCTGCCTGCCCTGGCAGCCCCTCCCCATCGCCCCAGTCACAGAGGGCCCCCAGTGCTGTGGCTCATCTCCCAACCAGTTTACATGGGGGCAAGGCACAGTGGCCTCACCTCCTTTGGTTTGGGCTTTCTCTCTTTATTAATATGATCTATGGCCAGGCGCGGTGGCTCACACCTGTAATCCCAGCACTTTGGGAGGCCGAGGTGGGCAGATCACAAGGTCAGGAGTTCGAGACCAGCTTGATCAACATGGTGAAACGCTGTCTCTCCTAAAAATACAAAAATTAGCCAGGCATGGTGGCACGTGCCTGTAATCCCAGCTACTCAGGAGGCTGAGGCAGGAGAATCACTTGAAACCGGGAGGCGGAGGTTGCAGTGAGCCGAGATCGTGCCACCACACTCCAGCCTGGGCGACAGAGTGAGACTCTGTCTCAAAAAAAAAAAATCTATAACTGCTAGCTGCCCTGCTTCAGGCTTCAACTTGTGACCAGAGCCGTCTTAGTCAAAATGCCTTCAGGTCAGATGTTTGCTTGTGCAAGCAACCCTTTGCCTCTCCGCATCAAATCTCAGTTAGCTTGGGCCCAGCAGCCACACCTGACAAAGATGGGGCTCTTGAGCCGTTTTTCTATCAGGTTCTTCGATCTGAGTCACAGTAGTCTTTGTTCTCTCCCAGCTTCTTACCAAAAATGCAGAAGAGCCCCCACAGGCTGCCTACAGAGACCCCTCTCTTTTTTTTTTACCTTTCTTTTTGAGACAAAGTTTCACTCTGTTGCCCAGGCTGGAGTGCAGTGGCACAATCTTGGCTCACTGCAACTTCCGCCTCCTGAGTTCAAGTGATTCTCCCACCTCAGCCTCCCAAGGAGCTGGGACTACAGGCGCCTGCCACCACGCCTGGCTAATTGTTGTATTTTTTGTAGAGACGGGATTTCACTATGTTGGCCAGGCTGGTCTCGAACTCCTGACCTCAGGTGATCCACCTGCCTCGGCCTCCCAAAGTGCTGGGATTACAGGCATGAGCCACTGGCCCAGCCGGAGAACCCTCTCTTCTAGGAGACCCAGAATCTTTAGCCACCCTTGGGCTATGGCTACATCCACTCCAAGTCCCCATGAAGCTGCCGCCCTGTCCTCAGGTCAACATAAGGCTGAACTCACAGCCCCAAGATGCTCCAAAGCCAGGTCCAACAGCACCGAGGCCAGCAGCTGCGACCTGTTCCTACTCTCTCCCACAGGGACCAGGGCAGGCAGGCCACCAGGTGCCAGGTAGAGACCCTGCAGCTTGGGGTGGACACAGGTCTCCACCAGGGTCACCTGTGCCCATCTGTGCCTACACACCGGCGTGGCCCCACGCAGGCACACTGCCAACACACACACATATATGTAAGGGCACACCCTGCAGTCAGGTATCCACTGACATGCGCATGATCACGTACCACCTGCCCCCTACTCACACATACACAGTACTGACACACAGTGGCATGCCCCACACATATACCCACACACATGCGCACACCAGCGTTCATCCGTGTGCCTTCATTCATTCAGCAGTTATTTACTGAGCACCTGTTATGTGCCAGGCAAGCATAGTGCCCAGCTTTGGGGCTACAGCAGTGAGCAAAAGGGACAAAAGCCTTGCCCACATGGAGCTGACATTCTAGGGAGCAGAGTCAGATGACGAGAGCAGCAAAATGCCTAGCATTCTAGAAGGTTCCAGATGGCGGGGACAGCCGGTGCAAAAGCCCTGAGGTACGAGCATGCCTGTGCATGTTCACACCTCAGCACACTTCACAGGTGTATATGCCAGGACACGCATGTACACAAACACTCACTGACCCGACGACAGGCCCAGGCCCACAGGCACAGCGTCACATGCATGGGTTAGGTTAGTGGCCACCCAGGAAGAGCTCCCACCTCCTCTTCTTCCCTCCAAGCCCCCTCCCCGCCTGCTGTCAGACCCTCCCTAAGCAGCTCCGGCTGGAGCCAGGCCCCACTGAGTGAACTCAGTGTCACAGGCACAACTTCCCTCCTCCAAGCTAGCAGGGCAGGGGATGGGGATCCCCTTGCCCCAGCCATAGAGGGAGAAGAGAGGGGAGTGAGGGAGGCCGGAGGGAGATAGGATCCTCAAACTCCACAAAGGAGAGACAGAGGCTGTGGTTGTGCACTCCGGTGGCTGCACGGACCCCGGTCAGCTGGAGGGAGAACTTCCCTCACTGATGCGACCTGGGGCACAGGGAGGACAGAATGTCCGGGAGCCCCCTCCATACTCTAGGCCGGCAGGGGGCTCCGGACCCAACTGTACTCCCCACCCAGGGGCTTTGCCCCTCCCCCCCTCACTCCAGGCCTTGGCACTCGTGGGATCTAACTGCTAACATCACCCAACCTTGACCATGTGAGTGAGGGCTCTGAGGTCTAGAGAGGTCAAGGAGGCTGCACGGACATCACCTGGCGTGGCCACCCGTGCTGGAGCCACCCCTCAGCATGTCAGGAGGAGAGGCCCCTTCCCTGCCCATCCCAGGCTGGCACAGAGCTGGGACCCAGGCTCCAGTCCCAGCTCTGTTGTGGCCACCTTGAGGGAGCCTGACACATCATCGCCTTCCTGTCCTGCCTCACAGTCCCCCTCAGAAATGGGAGGCCGTCACCCACGCTTCCACTGCACCCCAGGACTCCAGGAAGACAACGTGCAAAGAGCCTGGGTGCAGCAGATGAAGTCACAATACAGCCAAGCCCCTCCTCCTTGCTGGCAGCAAGAACAGAACCCAAATCTCAGAGGGGGAGGTGGGGCGGGCCCCACTGGATGTGCCAGGGACCAGGACCAGGCCACGCTGGGCCAGAGCTGTCATGGTTCAGGCCTTGCACACAGAACCACAGAACATGCTCAACAAGCCCCCTAAGCTTAGGGGCACTGACCTACCCTGGGGACCAGTAATCTTCAAGGTAGGGCGCAGAACACCTGCCATGGACCAATGGAGTGTTCACCAGGCCAGGCACAATCTTACCTAATCACCCCAGAAACCCTGGGACGGAGGCCCTGCCATTACAACTGCACTCCCGTTTTACAGATGAGAAAGCGGAGGCACAGCGGTGCCCTGATACGGCCAAGAGAAGCACTGTGGGTAAGCAGGAGAGCTAGGAACAGACCCCAGCTGCCCTCGCTGGCGAATGCACAGAACCATTACATCATCCTACCCCGAGACCCAACCAAGAGGTACCCACACCCCGTGGCAGCCGGGGCTGAAGGCCTGGAGATAGGAGAGGAGGCCCCACATACTCCAGCACCCAAGGCAATGAGAGAAACTGAGGCCCAGGAAGGTGCTAGGTCCGTGAAGAGGAAGGTGGGAAGGTAAGGCAGGCTGCCTGGGTAGGGCGGGGCCACCCAGTTAATGATTCAGTTAATAATTTCTGCTCCCAGTTCCTTATCAGGGAGGGCAAAGTCCAAGGGTGGCAGCCAATGAGCAGCTCTGCTGGGCTGTTACCCAGCAGCCTCTGCTGCCAGGGCCCTCCAGTCTGTAACCCCTTGGGAGTTGGTAATTGGGGAGTCAGGCCCCCAGGGAAAAGGCCATTCTGCCCTCAAATGCCCTCCTTGGCTCTACTTAAGACCCCAAGGAGCACTCTGTCCAGCCTTCCAGTCTCAGGAGAGTCCCTGAGGCCAAAGGGTTGGTAACTGCCTGTTTCTCACCCCTGCACTGACCCCAGGCCCTCCAGAGAGGTGCTTTCTGGGGTGCGTCCCCCACCCCCGCCGCCTCTGTTCACATACCCATTGTTGTCACCATTGACCCGGAGAGCACTTCCTGCCCACCCCCCACCCCTGCCCTGCACTGGGTGCTGGGGACATGGGGATGAGTCAGACCCCCTACTACCATTTCCTCCCCTGCCTGGGCTCAGGAAACCCTGTGCCTGGCCACCCCTCCCATCTACTTACTCCCTGGGTGCACCAGGGACAGACAGAGACAGGCTGACACGGGCCACAGTGCCACCCCCATCACGAAGCCCAGCTCAGCCCCCGGATTCCTGTCCAGGTGGGAGTCCTCTCTTCCAAATCATCAGGTAGTCTCTACCTGGGACCTCCTCCTGCCCTCTGGAGGCAGAGATGTTGGTCCCTGACAGGTAGCCCCCTCAACCCCAAGGTACTGGTGGCAGAGTAGGGAGCTGGGGGCTAGGTGTCCACTCTGGCTAACTCTGGCCAACTCCCTTCTCTCTGAGCCTCAGCCAGCGCCATTCCCCTCCCCTTACCCATCCCACAGCCGGGAAGGGTGGCTTTCAAACCAGTATCCTGGTGCTTCAGGGGCTGTGAGGAGCCCAGCCCCCATTATCCACTGTATCTGTCCTATCAGGAGACTATGAGTTTGTTTGATGGTTAAAAAATCACATTGGAAGCCCCTGCTCTGGTCCAACCCACTTACTTACCCTGGGAGGGGAATGAGGCCAGAGAAGGAAGTCACCAGTCCAGCCACCCATCAGCTTCAGAAGGGGCGAAATCCCAGGCCTCCCTCCTCCAGCCCTGGTGGGGCTCCAGAGGCCGGGCAGAGGCCCACTAAACTCCAAGTGGTCTTTCCAGCACCTGCTGGAAGGCGACTTCCCTCCATCCTCCAAGGCTCCCTGCACACCCACCTGCTTTCTGGGGGACACTGGTTGCTCACTCGAGCCTCATGTGCCCCTAGAATCTAGGGCCAGCAGGCACCCCTTCCAGGCTCGGCCATTCATACTCTAACATGTCTCTCCTTCCCAGGGCTGGGCAGTGAGCTTCTTCAGAGCTGAGGTTCTTCTCTGCCACCCCCTCCTGTCTTGCAGGTGAGGAAAAAGGACTTAAAGAGGGCAAGAGCTCTTTGGGGGTTCCCTGCCAGGCACAGACGGTCACCCCACTCTCAGTGGTCCAGCCTGCACCAGAACTCTGAGGTCCTGGCAGGATTCTCAGACACTGCCCTGTCCCGTGCCTGCCCTGGCTCTGGAGTCCAAAGCCCCCTTATACCATGGCCCGGTTACCTGCTGGAAGCCAGTGCATCCTGCCCGGTGGGTCCCCTCTCTGCAGGCCCTGTGCCCGCCGATCTGGGCTGCCTTGCCTCTCTCTAGGGGATTAGCCGGGCGGTCACGGGGGCCCGGCTGTACCAGCCTCGAGGGGGCCGCTCTGTCCCGGCCTCCCACCTGAGGTCCAAAGCGCCTTAGCCCCCAGCCCACCACCGGCACAGGGCAGGACCCAGCACCTATGCTTGGTGTGTGCCCAGGGAGGGGGACCACGTCAGGTGAGGGGGCGCGCTGTGCTGCAGCCCCTTCGGTAAAACCCTTTCCCAGTCTCCCAGCCCAGAGCCGAGAGCACAGGGACTGCTACCCACTGTCCAGAGGGATGACCAAGGCCAAGTGGGGACCAGGATGAGAGCTCAGGTGTCCCCAGCCCCAGCCCCGAGTGTGACAGCACTCAAGAGTGACGCAGCCACGGCTCAAAAGCACAACTTCCCGCTCCCTCGCACTTCACACACTCACAAGCACACCAGGCCCTGCCACTCCCAGGCCTTCTCTCACACCTACAGTGGGTCCCCCACATGGGCCTTCCCCTCCCAAGTGGCCTGGAGACCCTAGGCCTCAGGGGCCACCCACACCTTCCCCCATCGCAGGGGCTGGGAGCTGTTTCCAGCCCAGCCCTCCTAGACGGGCAGCCTCACACCCCTCCCCTGCTCCCCACAGACATTCTTGAGTCTCCTCTTATCTCTCTGGAGGGAGTAGCGCAGCCTCCCCCCGCCAGGCCGCTGCATGGCTAAGCCGTGGCGTCAGCCCCCACCCCCCAACCCATGGTCAGGAGGGAGCCAGGGAGTCCAGGCCAGCCAGGCCCACCCCTCTGCTCTCTGTCAGGGCCCAGCGTCCTGGGGCAGGCAGTGTGGAGGTCAAGGGAGCCTGGCCTGCGGGTCCTCTGGGTACCTAGCAGGCTCAAGGCACTCCAGACAGTAACCCAAGCAAGCACGAATGTCTGGTCCCCTCTTCCCTGAAGGTCTCAAACCGCGTCAGGCCCCTCGAGAGCTCCTATGGATCAACAGTGTCTGGGGAGAGCCAGAGCCCCGGGACAGATGCAGGGCTGCCTAAGACCCTCAGATGGCCCACCTGATGCAGAGTCAACCATTCAATCTAGTCCAAGCCTGAACTCTTGGGTTCTGGGTCTGTGGGGTGTCCAGAATCCTGGAGTGGGATGACTGAGGCTTAGGGGTGCCCCTGCCTGGGCTGCTCAGCCAGCAGGTGTGAACAAGGGTTCCTGCCTCCCAAGTCACAGAGGGAGAGAAACTGAGGCACCGGAAGACCTGCTTCTCTCCTCCACAGGACTCCACAGGAATCTGGGGCTTGAAACTTGGGCCTTGGTTCCCTGCCCTGTAGCCCTGATAGGTTCACACATGAAGGGAAGGTTCTCAATGCACCAAGGAGCAGGATGTGGCCTTAGGGACTAGAGGGAGCTCGGGGCAGGGGCTGGGCTCGCTGCATTGGTAGACAGGGGCACAAAAGGGGGCCAGAGGGTCTGGCTAGATGTTCCAGGGAGGTTCTGAGAAGCGGAGTGGGCTGGGAGGCAGTCAGCCAGAACTTCCCCTCCCCCTCCCACTGCGGTCCCATCCCTCCAGAACCCAGCACCAGGAGGAGTGGTGGCCCTGCAGGAGGGGCAGGGGTCGTCCAGGAAAAGACAGGGAGTTGGTTAGATGGAGGAGCAGACCTCCAAAACCAATGTAGGGGTGGGGGCAGAAGAAGATATTATGGGGTGTATGTCAATTCCACCCCAGAGGGCTCCTTTCGGTCAAGTGGGGGTGAGGTCACTCTTTGAGGGGGCGAGGTCAGAGAGGCACAGCTCCAGGGTTGGGGGGACATAGTGCTGAGGAGCCTCAGAGGGCTGGTGGGATGCAGTTCACAGCACTAGAAGGGTCTCAGAGAGCAGAGGTGACCGGTGGCAGGGATGTCAGCTTCAAGAAGGTTCCAGCCCCAGGAGAGCATGCTAGGGAGGGGGGTCCCAGCCCCAAACAGGAGAGCAGTCACTAGGCAGCATTGTGGAAAGCAGGTGGCAGTCTCCAAGGGGATCCAGGCTCGAAAGTGGTCCTACCCTCATGGAAGCACAGTGGGGAGGTCCCAGCTCCTAGAAGTCATGGGGGATGGCGCCAACCAGAAGGGCACACAGGGGGTCTTGGTCTCTAGGCGGGGGTCACAGATTCTGGGAAGCAGGCTGGGGTCCAGCCTCAAGAGGTACGGAAGGTCCTAGAAGGCACACCGGGGGTCTGGGCCTTGAATGGGGTTGTATCCCGCTTGGGGTTCTGGGGAAGCAAAGTAGAGGGTCCCCAGACTCGGGAAGTTTGCTGGGGGCGAGAGTGTCACAATTTAGGGAAAGTTCCGGGTCCTGGAAGGCTCAAAGGAGTCCGGACCTGGAAGGGGACACAGTCCCAAGGAAGCTGCGAGTTGAGGAGCGGGGAGGGGGAGCCCAACTTCAGCGGCGGTGGGTGGTAACCGCTGGGGGACTCCCAGCCCCGGGAGCCTGTCTTGGCGGGCTGGTGCCAGCCTGAAGGAGGGTCCCAGCCAGAGGAGGCGGAAACACAGCGAGGAGCCCCAGTTCCCGGGGAGATCAGCCGGGGGTTCCCAGCGCCAGAGGGTCGCCGCCGCCAGCCCGCGGTCTCTCACCTTCGAAGAAGCGCTGCAGCGCCTCCGTCTCGTCCACCACCTCCATGTCCCGCCTGCCCGGCGCACACTCCAGCCGCGGCCCCGCTACAGCCCGGCCCGGGGGCGCGGCATCGCCGGCGCGGCCCGCGCGACAGTCCCGGCTGGGCTCCGGCTACGGTCCCGCCCGGTCCGCCGCCGCGCTTGCCCCCCGCGCGTCCCTGGCCCGGCCCCTGCCCGCCCCACGCGCCCCGCCCGCCGCGCCCAGCGCCCCCTGCCGGCCCGCGCCGCGCCCAGCCCGGCCGCGGGCACCACGCTCCCGACTCCTGCAGGCGGCGCTCAGCGCTGGGCAGTCCTAGGCTTGCGGGGCGCGGGGCCGTCCCGGGTCGGGGGACGCGAGACCGTCCCAGGCTTGAGGGGCGCGGGGCCTTCCCGGGTCGGGGTGGGGGCGAAGGGCCGCTTGGCCTCTGTGGGGTCGGGACTGGAAGGGTGTGCCCTCGCCGTCCTCGCCTTCGTCTTGCACGGGACAAGATGTCACGATTCCGAATCCAAACCTCAGAGACAGCCCCCATCCCTCTCGTTAGCCACCCACACACCCCGCTCAGCAACAATAACAACCTGCATTTAGGGAACGTGTGTTATGTGCCAGGCCACACAGGCATTATCTCATGTACTCCTCACAGGCACCTTATCAAGGAGATGCTGTTGTTACCTGCATTTTACAGATGGGGAAACTGAGGCTCAATGCATTAAGGACTGCCAGGAAGCCCTGTCCTGTGGCTGTGATGATGGAAATGTTCCCTGTGTTGTTCAGTATGGTAGTCACTGGCCACAAGTGAGCACTGGAAATGTGCCTATTGAGACTGAGGAACTGATTTTTTCATTTTGTTTAATTGTAATTAAACAGTTACGTGTGGCTGTGGTATTGGACAATGCAGGTCTAAAAGCTCCTTTTTTTTTTGAGATGGAGTTCGGCTCTGTCGCCCAGGCTGGAGTGCAATGGCGCGATCTCAGCTCACTGCAACATCTGCCTCCTCGGTTCAAGCGATTCTCCTGCCTCAGCCTCCCCAGTAACTGGGATTACAGGCGCCACCACGCTGGGCTAACTTGTATTTTTAGTAGAGACGGGGTTTCCTCATGTTGGCCAGGCTGGTCTCGAACTCCTGACCTTAGGTGATCAGCCCACGTTGGCCTCCCAAACTGCTGGGATTACAGGCATGAGCCACCGCTCCCCGCCCTGCCTAAGAGTTTCAAGGTCATTAAAGTTCAGAGCCAAATCCTGGCTGCCCCGGGAATCCGAACTCTCCTTTGCCGTGGCCCTGTCTGGTATAATGAAACCTGGAGGTTCTAACTCGATATAAGTCCAGGATAAAGCGGTTGTCCTTGTGCCCCTGCCTTCACCCTTATGACTGACTGCCTCCACATCTCTGTCCTGCCCAACTTGCACAGCCTCTCGTCTCACTGATATCCCCTTCAGTTCTCCCAAATCACCCTTTCTGAAACATACATCCGATCATGTCATTCCTTTGCAAAACTAAGTTTCCCTTTGCACTCAAAACAATATCTGAATGTCTTGCTCTGGTTTCTCAGGCCCCGCCTCTACCACTGGCCTCAGCTCTTCCCCTCTCTCCATTGCTCACTGAATAACAGCCACCAAGACCTCCTTGCCATTGCTCAAACATGCAAGGCCTACACCTGCCACAGGGCCTTGGCACATGCTATTCCATCTGTTTACAATGCTTGTCTCCACATGGCTACTTCTTTGTAGCAGTTGGTCTCAGCTCAAATGTCATGTCCCCAACCAGCCTACCTAAAGCAGTTCTCCCTACCTAGGCCTTTCTTGCTCACCATGTAAAAGATTCCTATTTAGTTTCTGTTATTATCCTTCTTGCTCTAGAATGGAAGCCCTACGAGGGCAAGATATTTTTCTGTATCGGTCACTGCTATAGCTTCAACACCAAGAACATGACCTGGCACACAGTAGGTGCTCAATAAATGTGTTGAATGAATGTATGGTGGCATCTTCAAACTACCGAATCCAGTCAGGCTCCAGTGGCTCACACCTGTAATCCCAGCACTTTGGGAGGTTGAGGCAGGAGGATTGCTTGAGGCCAGGAGTTCGAGACCAGCCTGGGCAACATGGCAAGACCCTGTCTCTACAAAAAATTAAAAAATTAACTAGGCACGGTGGCACATGCCTGTGATCCCAGCTACTGGGGAGGCTGAGGAAGGAGAATCGCTTGAGCCCAGGAGGTTGAGGCTGCAGTGAGGCTGCAGTGAGCCATGTTTGCACCACTGCACTCCAGCCTGGGCGACAGAGCAAAACCCTGTCTCCAAACACAAACAAACAAACAAACAAAAATCTACAGAATCCTGGACCTCTGAAACCTTGGGAGCGGATAATTCTGGAATCCCAGACCTAGAGAATCATCCCGCTTCAGAGTGGCTCAACTTGAAGCCTCTCGGGACCCTTCAAGGCAGCACGTAAAAGCTGGAAAAACCTACCCCACCCAACCACTGTTTGACAAGCCACTAAACAGAGGCCAGAGGTGTGGGGGACTGCTGGCAGATCAAGATGCCAACGTAGCCAGCTTCGGACTCTCACCTCTGCCTTGCAGCATCCCCAGGGAGGGTGGGGCACAAGCCAGGCCACCCCGTGGGGATGGGGTGAGAGGCCTGGAAGCCGCTCCCACCCCAGCCTCCCTGTCAGTTCTCAGTGGCCAGCCGTGGGGGAGGGGCAGCCAATGCCTGAGCCCCAGATGTGGCCCAGTCAGCAGGCCCATGGTGGCCCGCCGAAAAGGGTCAATGCCACGACAGTTCTGGGGTTGGGGGAGGGGGTGCTGAGGCCGGCGGGTGCCTCACAATGAGGTTTTGTCCCTCTGGGGGCCGCTCTCAGAGCTGTTGCTCTTAGATATATAGAATGGGATTTTGCTGGAGGCCCCAGCTGTGTGTGCTGACCGCAGCTCCCTCACCGCCCCCGCAGGGGCTGGGCTGAGAGGGGGGAGAGGGGCCACACTGAGACTCCTATTCTTTTCCAGCTGATACACCCCAGAGGTTTTTCTCCCTCCGCAGACTCCCTTAAGACAATTGTTATTCTCCACCCTGCCCCTCCTCCACCCGGGGTCAGGCCTGCCTGCGGACAAAGTAGACACCCGCCTACACCACGCGATTCTGAGAAACGGATTTACATTACGAGTCGCCTGGGACCAGCCACAGAACCAGCTTCTCTACAAGCCTCCACATACCCACGGATCTTTCCTCCGTATCCCACATACTGCATAACTGACCATCATCTAAGTTCTCACCACCATCCGTTGAGCTACACATTGTCCCTGTCCTGGTCAGCAAGGGCTGGAGGTAGAAGGGAAGACTCGTACTTTGTCCCTAACGCCCCAACTCCATTGCATTATAATCAATTAAGAGTATAGATTATTCAATCTCTAGGGTAGCCTTGAAGTTGGAAGGGGTGGAATGGAGCCTCCTGTTAACCCTGTAGCAGCTGACCTGGCTAAGGGAGCTCAGGCCCTGCCATCTCCCCTGTTACACTAGGTCACTGAGCAAAGGAGCAACTGTCCCCAGGGATTTTCATCTCTGGACTGGAGGAAAGAGGTGGCTGAAATGTCCCAGACTCAAGGGCTCAGCCAAGAGTTGAGGCTGCCATCTGCCAACTCCATAATGAAGTTGGGTCCCAAGCAGCGCTGGGGCAGAGGCTGGGGCAGGAAGGTGGCTGGGCCGGTGAAAGTAGCCCAGGGGACTTGCATACAAGGACCTAGGGGGGCCCATCAATGGAGATGAGTCCTCATCTGTGCCCCTGGCTTCTCTACCGAGCCACAGTGAGTGAGGGGCTGAGATTTCAGCCCTAGCCCAGCAGACATGGCTGTCCCCTGTAGCCAGCTCCACCTAGTCCCCAAGGCCTGCCCTCTGTCCTCAGAGGCCTCATCTATAAAGCACACTCAGTATCCCTGCCTTACAGTGGAGGTAAAGTGCCAGGTCAGTGATCAGTAAATGGTGCCCTCTCCAGTTCCAATCAGCTCTCAGCACCCATCACTGTCCCTTGAGTGGGAGCAGGGCCAGGAGGAGGTGGTAGACCGAAGGCAGCACTGGGGAGAGGGATGCTGGCACCTGAGGGTTAATGGGTAATGGGCGTAGAGGCCAGCCCAGGAGAAGGTACAGCCCTGTCCTCCCCACCGTGGGACTCTCCTGGCCTCCTGTGGACCCACACAGCACTGGCATCAGGCCATTTCGCAGAGGAAGAGGAGGGCTCAAAGTGGGGTGAGTGTCAATCCAGCAAGCCAGTGAGGCTGGTGGTCCAGCTTCCCCGGACTAGGGCCCAAGGGCACACCTGAGTGTGGGGTCCTGCAGGGTAGACCCCTTCCTGACTGCAGGGGCACCGGGACAGGAGGGGGCTGCTGCAGGTATTGAGTGGAGCGTGAGGCAGAGTGCCTCTCTAGCCCTTCCCAGCACTGCCCTCTCAAGACCCTCCCCAATGCCACACCCTGGCTGCAGCCCCGGGCAAGCCACAGAGCCTCCCTGGCCTTCAGTTTCTTCTGCCTGTGCTGTGCTCACTGGACAGGATAATTTGCAGACCATTGAGACCACTGAGGGCAAAGAACCTCTGAAAGCCATCAGGTGTGGTGGAGGCCAGAGTCCTAGGCTGAGAGGCCCTGATTCTGGTCCCCAGTCTGTCCCCACCTCCCATGCGACCTTGGGCAGGTCTTCACCCTTGTTTGGCCCGTTTCTGCTTCTGTTCAGTGGCTGTGGGTGAAGACAGGCTCTAAGGCTGGGGGCATTCTTCTATCACTCTCCCCAGCCCCTCACCAAATAGAGCCACTGGACACTGGGGGCCGAGATGGGGGCAGGGTCAGGGGAAGGGAAAGGTCCGGTCAGCTTGGCTGGGTCAGTGCCGAGGCCAGACTCTGCGGCCAAGGCGGGACTGACTGGCTGAACAGCGCCACCTGCTGTGTAGAGGGGGCAGGCCCCACCACCTGGGCCTTCCAGCCACTCCCTAGGCCTCACTGCCCGGAAGCTATGCTGGCCTGGGGTTCCTGGGCTGCACTGGGTCTGGCCAGGTATTTTGCGCCCTCTCAGGAAAGCCCTCAGCAAAGACTTCTAGTGGCCCCTGCATTTCAGTGCTGTCCCACTGGGATCTTCCACCCCTGCCTGCCCTAGCTGTCTGCATTGTTGGGGAGGGAGGTGGGCATGGTCAGACTAGCCTGGTCCCCCAGTCGCCAGCTTGGCAGTCTTGGGCAGCTAATCCTCTCAGACCCCTCAGGGAGGAAGGGGAGGCCAGCAAGCTGTATCTTTCCAGGCTGTAGTATGAACGTGCACCCGCTGGTACATCTCTCACACAGGCAGGACTCCGCAAGTGGCTGCCCTCATTCACAGGGGGCTTCAAGGGTCTTCTACTCCCTCCCTGCAACTCAAAGTGTGGCCCCGGGCCAGGGCACTAGCCGAGCAGGAGCAGGTAAGAAATCTATACCTGGGCCCCACCCCGGACCACTAAACCCGCACCTGCATTTAGCAAGCGCCCCAGTGAGTCATGAGCACCGTGAACTTTGAGAAACGAAGTTCTAACCCAATACAGACAAAGGGCTGGACCTGAACCACCCAAACACACCCTGCGTCTTGTGGGTGAAACGGGCTCTGGTCCCAAGGAATCTGTTTCCCCCTTAGGCTTTCTGTTCCATCCAGGGAACAGTGGCAGAGGCCCCCCCGGCCCCCGGCCCCATGCCAACCCCCTGCTCTGCTGCAACCTCGACATCAAATTTCTACCCAGTCCCCACCTGATGCAAAGACATTCGAGGCAGCCAGCGTGCTTCTACATCCAGTTTATACACAGCTCTATACAATATACAGAAACCTTTATATACAGATATATTTATAGAATAAGCTATATTAATTTGTCTCTCCTTTTTACAGCAATATTAGTTTGGATCTTTCATACATTAAGTACAAAAAAAGTCTGGGGAGAATGGCACGTAAGAGAGTGCATGAGGGTCTGTGGGGCCCGGCTGCTCGCTACTGATTGCATATGGAGTCGCCCAGGCCCCTGGGAGGACAGGCCCGCGCACTTGTGCTGCAGGTCTGGGGATGGAGTGGGGGTCGGTCTGAGCCGAACGGGGCTGAGGGGGGTGGCTCAGACCCCCCAGTGTGGTATGGGGTGGAGGAGGGAGACGTGCAGCAGGCCCATCCTTCAAGGGCGAGGTGGGTAGGAGCCAGGTTAGGGGTGGGCTGCCCCTGGGTGCCCAGGATTGAGCCCAAGCCTGCCCCAGCCCCAAGCCTGAAACATGGTGTGGCTGCAGCCTTGGGGGTGGGGGGTCTGTCCCTGATGGCTCGTCCTGGGGTGGACGACATGCCCACATTAGAGGTCCCAGGACCCACCCTGGCAGAGGAGGAATTAAAAGGCCAGACATCAAGTCTCTCCCTGTGACTGGCCACGGTGCTTGTCAGATCTTTCATCTGAGAGTCTGTCTTGTTTTCTAAACTCTAAGAGCCACTGATTTTGTCTTGCTTCTGTGCTGGGCTGAAGCTCTGTATGCCTCAGCAGGGCCAGGGTGTCCTTGAGTCTGGTGAAGGCGGGAGTTACAGAGGATGAGGGGAGGCCCAGCTCCCTCTGTCAGGGTGGGCAGGGGCTCCCAGGACAGCCATCCAGGCCAGTCCCAGCTGTGTGGGGAGCCGGGGGCCAGAATTCAGGCCCCCAGGTACCAGTGATCATGAGAGGGAGGTCTCTTGGTCGGGGGAGCCTAGGCCACCCAGGGAGGCTGCAGGTGGAGCCAGAATGGGAGGGACCATGCCGCTGCAGAATGAAGGCACGAGCAGGCGGTCAGCCGTGCAGTCAGCGCCTCGGTACACACCAGTTTTCCAAAACGGGTCACAGCAGCAGGCGCGATGGGAACAGATGGTGCCTAAAGCTGAGCTTGTCCCTGCGACCCTGCCTCAAAGGCCCCATCATGCTCCCCTACCGTTTTCTTGGCAGGCTGGGAGGGGCAGCAGGCAGGCAGGGCAGGTAGGGTGGGCAGCCCCAGAGGCCCCTTCCTTAGGAACGGTGCACACTCATGCACATGCATACGCGCCAACACTAGCATGCACACCCTCCCACCCCGCTTCTGGGGAAACTCCGGGTCGCTATCTCCCTAACTGCTTCCCAAACCCAGCAGGGGAGGAAGCCCTATGGGGACCTCAGGCTAAACCGGGACTGCTCCCAGCCCCAGGCCCCTCCCTGGGCAGTGGACAGAGGTCTCCAGCCAAGGCCCACCATACCCCACTCTTGGCCCCACCTCCTACCAACAGGACATTGGGGGTGGGAGGGAGGAAGGCCTGCTCCCAGGAGGGTGCCCAGGCCAGCGAGGAGGGAAAGCTGAGGGGAACAGGGGTGTGTTGGTTCCAGATCCCAGGGCCCAGAGCTGCCTAGGCGTGGTGGGGGTGACACCAAGGGGTGAGGTGGGGCCCTCAGAGGAAGGGGGCTCTCAGTGCCTTCCTTCCACCCAGGGCACTGACTCTGCAGCTGGGGTGGTCACAGCAGTGCCCACCACCCTTTGGGTGGTGAGGATCCTTGGGGGTAGAAGGTAAGCCAGGAAGTAGCCAGCAGGCAGGGCAGGCCTGGGTGCCCAGGACCCATGGGCAGAGGAGGCAGCATGAGAGGCACAAGGCAGAGAAGGGGCGGCCCTGACCCCACCCTCCTCTGGCCCCTCCAGGCCCCTGGCTGCCTTGGGCCCTGCTCAGAGGACGGCTACTGAACACATGATTGGGCGGGGGGCTTGCAAGCCCAGAACACATCCTGAGCCAAGCCCAGCAGCTTCTGTAAACATGTACAGCACTGCAGGCCACCTCGGCAGGGGCACCCCAGGGGGCCGGCCAGCAGGCACCAGATCTGGGGGGTGGCCAGGACGATGCCGGCCTGGACCACAGATGAGAATACATGTGTCGGGGGGCACTGCTCTCCACCTGGCCCCTGGGAGAGCAGCCAGCAGGCAGTGATGGGAGGCAGCTTGCCCATGGCCTGTCCTGGAGCAGGGGGTGCCAGAATGCCCCCATGGAGGGCAGTCAGGCTGAGTGTGGCCCACCCAGCAGGCTGCCCAGGCTCCTCCCCACTCCACACCCTTCCCCATCTTTCCCCATCTGTGGGGCCAGATCCCAGCCACCTTGGCTCTGGGGGTCCTAAGCTGAGGTAGGGATGCGGACCCCCAGCTCAGCAGCGATGCCTGTGCCTGAGGCTAAACTGCCCCTGGGGGTCTGTCCTTAAAGCTGCCCGGCAGGGGGCAGGCACCAGGTGCCCACAGGGCCACCTGCTCCTGCCTGGGCCCGGCTGGCCACGCAACTGGGGTGCTAGCGTGCTGAGATGACCAGCTCATCTTGCTTGGCGGGGCTGGCTCCGTGGCCAGTGGGGGTAGAAGTCCGGATCTTGTCAGCCGCCAGGCATTCCTGGCTACTGAGGCCCGTGGGCGTCAGGTCCATGAGCTCACCCGAGGAGCTGAGCGGGAAGGAGGGCGAGAGTGAGATGCCCGAGGAGGGGTCGGCTGAGCCGGCAAAGAGCCGTGGGGGCTTGGGCACCAGGTTGGGCTCGAACTGGGCACGGAGCAGGATCTCTTGCTGGCTGGGGGACTTGGGGCCCTCAGCGTAGTCACTGGTGGGGCTCTCGGGCACCACCATGCAGTAGAGGTCTTGGAAGGAGCTGCTCTTGCTGTCCAGGTTGAAGAGGCTGTCGATGAACTCGGCGAATTCCAGCACCTGAGGACTGGGCGAGTCCCCCAGGCGCCCATTGTGCAGCGCCAGCTCCCCGCGGGAGGCCGGCCCGCCACCCCCACCGCCAACCTCTTCCTCCTCGTCATTGGCCGCAGCACTGGGGGGCCGCTCAGGAGTGACGCCGCCACTGCCCAGGGCCGCCTCCAGGGGCTGCGTGTCCTGTGAGTGCTTGGACAGGCTGTCGGCCGCCAGCAGCTCAGTGCGCGAGCTCAGGGATGGGTTTTCCTCGGGGATGGCAGGGTCAATGTAGAAGAGGTGGCCTTCATCACGCTCCAGCACAGCGTGGAGGCTGGGGGAGCCCCGGATGCTGCGGAAGCCTGAGGAGCGGCGCGAGTCGAAGCTGTACAGGGACTCAGTGTCCGAGAGGCTCTCCATGGTGGCCAGTGGTGCCCGCCGGGCCTGCAGCTCCGCCGCCAGCCGCTCCTGGGTAGACAGCAGCAGCAGCTCCACCGGGTCCTGGCGGGCCGCCGCCGCAACCACTGGCGACAGCAGCCGCCCCTCCGAGAAGCCCTCCAGGCTCATCTCAGACTGGGACTTGCTCCTGCAGAGGGAGAGGAGAGCAGGGGGTATAAGACTCAGAAGGGAGAGGGGACTGAACCCCAGCTCCCTGGCTAAAAGGAACTTGCAGGGAATAAAGGGTACAGTTCATTTAGCAGTTGTTGATGATGTGCAGCAGGGAATGCTTATTTTCTTTTTTTTTTTTTTTTTTTGAGACAGAGTCTCGCTCTGTCGCCCAGGCTGGAGTGCAGTGGCACGATCTTGGCTCACTGCAAGCTCCGCCCTGGGTTCACGCCATTCTCCTGCCTCAGCCTCCCGAGTAGCTGGGACTACAGGTGCCCGCCACCATGCCTGGCTAATTTTTTGTATTTTTTAGTAGAGATGGGGTTTCACCATGTTAGCCAGGATGGTCTCAATCTGCTGACCTGGTGATCCGCCTGCCTCGGCCTCCCAAAGTGCTGAGATTACAGGCGTGAGCCACCGCGCCCAGCCAGGAATGATTATTTTTTAAAAACAACTCACAAGAACCCAAGATAGAAGACAAAAGAGTTGATGCTGGGTTGAGCCGCGGGGTCCCTGAGGGGCTAAGGCCCTGCTGGCAGCACTAGGACTTCAGGAGTGCTGCTGGGGTTCTCTGCACCAGAACCCCTGTCATTGTACCAATGTGAGAATGAGGCTCTGATAGACTGGCTGCCCCAGATCACTCATGAGCCTGCCCCAGGTCACTCATGAGGCCACAGTGGAATGAGAGAGACAGAGGGAGGGAAGGAGGGAGGGAGGGAAGGAGGAAGGGAGGGAGGGAGGGAGGGACAGAGGGCAGCAGGGAGACAGGGAAGGGAGAGAGCCCTGCACATAGCTGCCCAACTGGTTCCACCCCAATCTCAGAGCCAGCAACCCTGGGTGCCACTCCCAGGGATCTCATCACTTCCTTCCTCATCCGGGTCTCCTCCTGTCTCCCATGGGCCGCAGCCCTCTGCTGGGTGGGGAGCCTAGTGCCCCTGGCTCCGCAGACCAGCCTGCAGGGAATGAGTGACAGGGCAGGGAGTGGGTGGCTTGCAGCAGTCACCGCAGCCGGAAATGGACACTGGCTTCTTCATCGGGTTGTGCAGCTGCCACAGGAAATGCACAAATGGCAGGGAGAGACGTCCAGTTGTCCCTACCAAGGGCCAGGAAGCAGCCTCTTGACCAGATCTGTGACCAAGCACACAGGGCCTGTGTGGGAAGGTCCTAGAAAGGCAGGACAATCCTCCCCTGGAAGGACTACCACTTAAGAGCCTCGCACCCCTCAAAGAGTGTGTGAATAGCAAGGGCGCTGTGGCCCCCATGTGCGTGCCCCTGTGAGCATGTGTGCACGCCTCTGTTCATGTGTATGAGTGTGTAGACCAGACGTCTGTGTATGTCAGCTGGCTTGTGTGTCTGGGTCTGTGCACAGGTGTATTCATGCATTTCCATGAGCACCTGCCTGTCCACATGTGTCCTTGTATATGTGTCTCCACCTTTGTCTTGGTGTGTGTCTTGTACATGTGCATGTCTGTAGGGGGTGACCTGTGTACTTATAACTAATAATTGTGTGCACATGTATGTGTGTAAGCTTCAATACAAATATGTAAGTAAATGGGTGTCCATCTGTTTGCGTCTAAGTGTGTAAGAGTGAATCTGTGCAGGCCGGCCATGGTGGTTCACCCCTATAATCCCAGCACTTTGGGAGGCTGAGGCGGGCAGATCACCTGAGGTCAGGAGTTCAAGACCAGCCTGGCCAACATGGTGAAATCCCATCTCTACTAAAAATACAAAAATTAGCTGGGCACGGTGGCAGGCGCCTGTAATCCCAGCTACTTGGGAGGCTGAGGCAGGATAATCGCTTGAACCTGGGAGGTGGAGGTTGCAGTGAGCCAAGGTCGCGCCATTGCACTCCGGCCTGGGGGAAAAGAGCGAGACTTCGTCTCAAAAAAAAAAAAAAAAAAAAAGAGTGAATCTGTGCTTTTGTGGCCCAGGGTTTGTGGGTCTGTGTGCCTCCCCTGGCTCATGTAGGATTCAGGGACAGCAGGCTGTGGGACAGCTGGAGCACAGCAAGAGAGCCCTAGAGCACAGAGGGTGAGTTTGACCCCTCCTGTGCACGTGTGCAGAGCTGAGCCCAGTGCATGCACAAAATGCATGTGCACACAAGTCTATGTGCTCTGAACCACACTCACCCTGGGGTGGGGCTGGGAGTGGCCAAGGCTCACCTGACGCTGCTGTTGCGGTGGTCTGCAGTCGGCAGCTCCAGGGCAAGGCCAGTGGGCATGGGCGGCCCCGTGGGGAGTGGCTGCTGCTGGAAGATGAGCTCAGGAGTCAGGTCCACCTCGGTAGGGCTCACCATGACCTTGGCTGCAGAGAGCAGAGCGGTCTTCCCCTTGTTGTAGTTCTCCAGCACCTGAGGACAGGACAGAGGAGGCTGGGGGTGGTGGAGGGACATCAGGCCCCATCGTGGGGCCGATGTGGAGCCAGGGCCCAGGCCTCTCAGGCCAAGCAAAGCCTCATGGAGTCACTTGGGTCCCACTCTCCTCCTCCTGAGGTCACCACTCCCCAAGGCCTGAGACTTGCCCATCTGGTCACGACTCGCCCCACAGCCCGGCGAGTGCTCCTGCCCTACCTGCCTTCAGCCTTTCCGCAGCCAGGGGATGGCTGTGGCTGTCGCTGCTTGCCCATTCATCTGTTAAGGGCCAGGTGGCCTTCCGGGCCTCTGAGCTGAGCCTGCCTCAGGGACAGGCCCCTGGGAGTCTCCTTATCTCCTCCCCACCATGGGGCAACGTGGTGATGTGGACAGAGCCAGGGGTGTGAGGTTGAAGTATTTGAGTGGGGCTTTCTGGCCCAGCTACCTACTTCTCTGAGCCCCAGCACCCTTGTCTGTAAAATCGGGCAGTGATCTGATGGTGCTTACGGGGTTCTGATGGGGTGACAGTGCCTTATTCCCTGGTGGTACCCTGCCGGGAGCTGCCTCACCTTGTTGAGCCCCTCCATGACCACATAGGGCAGGTGCTCATGCAGCATGGCTGGCGAGATGATCACCTCATTGAAGGCCTTGTTGTCGCCCCAGATGGCAAAGTATGTGGGCTCCTCCTGCTCACAGCAGCTGAGAGGGACATGGACAGAGGGGAGTTAAGGGTGGGGTGGTGGCCTGGCCCTCGGTGCCAGGGCCTCCTGGCTCTGTTCTCTGCCCTGCTCAGCAGAGCTGGCATGGTTTGGAGGCCCCTGGCCTGCCTGGCAGCAGGGCTCTGTTCCCTGGCCTGGCTCCTGCCCTGCCCTCAGCCTGGGAAAGGCTGACCTCGAGCCTCAGCCATGGTCCCTCCACAGCCTTCGACCTGCTTTTGGCCTGGGCCACACCTGCTCCACCTGCTGCACGGCCCAGCTCACCAGCTGTGTCAGGGGAGGAAGCCGACCCTGGAGGGAGGAGCCAGGGCCCAGCCGTCTGAAGGAGCACAGTGGGAAAGGTCTACCCACTTGCCTGCTCCTATTCTCTCTCCTGGCGCAGCCCCCACCTTGCTCACAGCTGTCTTCGAGGAATTCCCTTGGT
The DNA here is from genome assembly GCF_000001405.40 of Homo sapiens. Lineage (NCBI taxonomy): Eukaryota > Metazoa > Chordata > Mammalia > Primates > Hominidae > Homo > Homo sapiens. Next base: position 61,740,021 of record NC_000011.10, on the reverse strand, counting down.
GAAACCAAGTGACAACTGAGGTGTGAGCTGGCCAGGGCCTGAGGGGTGAGCCCTCCAGGGCACCTACTTTTAAATGGACCACCAGTGGGGAGAGCTGCCCTGGGGCACACCAGGGAAGGGCTGACACTGGAGGCAAAGCCAGACTATGGAGAGAGACGCCTGGAGTCCTGCTCAGGGCTGGCCTTTTGTTCCATTTCCAGAGCCCGATGCTGGGGAAACCCCTCCATGGAGGCCCTGGGCCATCTTCTCCCAGCCTCCACCCCCAGCCCCGAGCGGTGATTGAGCCAAGGCCGGCCCTGCTCTCCACTGCCCCTGCCCTGGCCACTACCCCCTGCAGCAGCAGACCCTGGCAGAACCTACCAGCACTGCTCTGCAGGGTGGTTGTGGACCACGTGGATGATGCGGCCGGGCGGGTAGAGTGGAGTGCTGGCTGAGAGGGCTATAGTTAGGTCGCTGGGGTGGGTCCAGAGCCGCGTGCTGGCCAGGGTGGTCACCTCTACCTCCTCAGGCAGCTCCGACTTGGGGATGCATTTGGTGGCCCCCACGATGATCCGCCACTGCGCGGGGTGGAGTGGGAGAGATGGGGACAGAGCTAAGTAGCACTGGCTGGGGGGCAGGGGCAGGGGGACCGAGAAGGGGGGCTCAGCAGGTGAGAGGTGGGCAGTAAGATGGCAAAGGGGCAGGGGAAGGGCAGTGGCCAGAGCATTAAAGGTCGGTGCCCACCTGAAGAGGCAGTGGCTGAGGTGCACGGTGGCCAGACGGCCAATAAGGTGCCAAGGACAGATGACATGGAATTGTTGAATTTCAGGGCTGGCAAGGGGCTGGAAGCCCAGCCAACCCCTCATCTAGTAGATGGGGAGACAGGCCTAGTGAGGGGAAGGGACTTATTCTGGATCACTCCACAAGTCCGAGGCCAAACACACCCTGGAGTTGAGTCCAGCTGGACCTGCCAGGCCTGGCCTGACAAAAGCCCAGGACTAATCTGGTGGGAGCAGTTCCACCTCCCCAGAACCAGGCTCCTCCAGGCAGGCAAAGTCCCACAAAGCTTTGCTGCCCTGCTCACTGCCTGGCACCTGGTACCTGGCCCAGGGCCCTGCCTGCCACAGGGTCTAGGGCACCAAAGCTGGGAACGGTCCAGACGGGGCTGAGATGGTGAATGGGCTGAGGGCTCGCCCGGGGCAGGGGGCGGGGGGCAGGGGGTGAGGAGGGGTGACCACACAGAGGACCCTCTCCTCCTGCGCTGGCCTGCCTCAGTGTGCCTGGCCACCATGTCCCCACCCCCACCTGGCCACCCCGTCTGCCAGTGTCCTCCAGAGACCTGATGCGGATTAGGAAGGGCTGACCCTCTCCTCTTGGTCACAGCAGAAAATCAGAACAAACTGTACCCAAATCCTCTCCACAGGTCATTCCCAGCCCTCCCTGAGCCTAGGGAATCTCAGAGGCTTCGGCAGAGGCCTTTCCTCACCGCTCAAAGCCTCCAGATCGCTTTCTCCTGACTGTGGGCAGCTCCCAGCTCTGTGTGATGGGAGCCTCTCGGTTCCTGTCCTGATTCTGTTCTAACTTTTTATGTGAGCAAATGCAAGTCCCTCCCACTCTGGGTCTCAGTTTCCCCATCTGCACAATGACAGGGGATGGATGGGTTGAGCTTGGGGATGCTGAGGGTCTGACTTCCTGAAGTTCCCACAACACCAGCCACACCCTGCCCTGGCCTTCCATGGCAGGGCCTCTTGTGCTTTGTCCCAAGAAACCGGTGGGGGTCAAGGGCAGGGACAGATGAGGCTGCACAGAGGCAGGGTGCCCAGGTGGGGGCTCACTTTGGGCTTGGTGCTTCGCTGCAGGACATCCAGGAGCTGTCTGCGGAAGCCTTCCAGCTGAGAGAGGCCAATCCTGGGGAGGGAACGAGACAGGGCCGTCAGCCAGGCCTGGTCAGCGGCTATGAGAGGTATGGGGCCAGGGGCGGAGGGGCAGGCACACGCCTAGCCCCTGGAACAAGAAGACACGTCAGCCAGGGTCACGGGGTGGAGAGGTGTCCACAGAGCAGCTCCCCAGAGCAGAGCTGAGGAGTGAGAGGACAGGCAGGGCGGGCGCCAGCACGTGCGTTCACCTGGGCTTCTCACCACTGGGCAACTAAGGGTGGGGAGGGGCGTGGGGTCCCTTGAGAGACAGGAATCGGACTGAGAGAGATGCGGGGGCTGGGGGTGGGGAGAGGCCTGGAGGAGGGAGGAACAGCCTGGCAAGGGACCATGGAGCGGGGCCAAGGACTCACCTGGGGACGAGGTCTTTGCCCAGAACCACAGCAGTCACGAACTCCTTGGAATACTCCATCGCATCCTCACTGCAAGGGAAGCCGAAGCAGAAGCTAAGGCCAAGGGGGCGGGGTGGTGGTGTTCCGGAATCGGGGGGCCCAGCCACAAGCAAGCCCTGCTCCTGCACTCCTGGGATGGCTCCCGGGGAGCTGGCTGGTGGCAGGCTGGGTTGCCTGCTCCCTGCTCTGTCTTTCCCACTGGTAAGGCTTTGCTAGGTAGATCCTGGGGGGCGCATGGCATTTCAGAGCCCCCACCCTCCACCCTCCAGGCCACTCCCAGACCTCCATGTGACCAGAAGTCAGACTCCCAGTCCAGCCCCTAGCACCAGCCAACCCTCAGCCTCCACTGGTCCCAACTGCCCCAGCCAACTCTGAAGCCCCAGATGGCTCACCTCAGCAGGCCCCCTGGCGGGGAGTAGGCAAAGCACTTGAGGGTCGGATACTGTGGGCGCAGAAGGAAGGAGAGGATGGCAGCAGTGCCCGCGCCCAGGGAGTGGCCCACCACAATCAGGCCGTAGTGTTTGGTTCCGCGGCCCTGGAGACCGAGAGAAGCCTGAGAGCCCTGCCCCAATGCCCGCCAAGCGACTGTCTTAGCCAACCCAAGGGAGGCAGAGGGTCTTCCCATCTTCCCAGAGTCCTGGGATCTTGTCTGTGCTGTGTGAATGCTAGGGCACAGAGAACCAAGATAGGGCCCCACAGAGCGACTGCTTAGGCAGACTGTTCTAATAAACTCTTATTTACGCTTCCAAACCTTGCTCAGAGGTTATGTCCTTGGGGAAGCCCTTCTGATTTTCCAGGAGTGGCTCACTCCCTCTAGTCATTGCATCTGTACCTGGGATGGAGCTTTTTATCACTATAAACATGTGGTTACCTGACCCCATCTCTCTACCCTCACTACTAGACTGAAGTCTCCTGAGGCCAGAGCCTGCTTTGCTTTGGAAAGGGCAGCTGGTGGCACCTCAGGAGCTACCTGCACAGACCGTGGCCAGTGGGCAGGACTCAGTTCCCCCCTAGGTAGAGCAGCACCCCTTCTCTCTGCTCTGTATTTTGAGCCTCTCCATGTTTCCTTCTGACAAACGGTTCTGCAGCTATGAGGCTTAAAAGCCGTCTGCCCTGAATCATCTTTGTGCCTCTAGTGTCTGGCATGAATCAGGTGCCCAATGACTGTAGGTGGGGCGGAGCAGGATGCCCACAGGACCTGGCACAAAAGAGGAGGGGTTGGGAGCCAGGCTGGAAGGGATTGCAGGAGCCTGGCTTGTGTGGGAGTTGTGAGGCTCCATCACCCATCCATCCTCTCCTCTCTGTGCTGCGTTGGAGGAGGGGGACCCAGGTGTGAAAAGGCTTGGTGCCATGGAAAATTCCTCACCAGGTCTCGCCCAAAGGCCTGGGACAGGACCATCTCCTGCTCCAGTTTCTTCTTGATGTACTCAGCTGAGAGGACCATACCCTGGGTGGGCAGGAACAGAAGCAGGTGTTGGTGGGAGGCCTCCCAGTGACCAGCAAACCCACAGTGACCTGCAGCTCAGGAACCCTGCCCCATCCATTTTTCCCTTTGGGCCTCGTGACAACCCAGCTGTGGGGGCTGGCAGACACGCTGATCCTGTCACTTCCATTTCACAGGTGGGAACTGAGGCTCAGAGGGGCAGTGTGGCTAATGAAGCTGGTATGATCTCTCCGCAGCTGCCTCTCAGGTTCTTCCATGGTCAGGCTCTGGGCTGTGCAGGGCAGTGGGGTCGCAGCAGTGGGCCGCAACGGGCCTTCCAGACTAATTCATGCCTCTCTGACCAATCTCTTCCAGTGAGCCCAGCGAGCAGGGAGGAACCCCCAACCATACACGCCTCTGCACACTGGCAGGGCAGGAAAGAAGCCCAGGGGCCCTGGGGTCCATGACGTGGGTTACCTTGTGGCCCAGCCAGGTGCCGTGGTGCCCCTCCACGGGGAGGCGCTCAGCATCACCCGTCAGGTCAGTCAGGGCATCCTTGGGGAGAGAGGAGACAGGTGAGGGGGCGGCTAAAGAGGACAGGAAGAGGGAGGCAGGCACCCCCGGGGGCTGGGAGCCATGGGCAGCGTACCTTGGGGGACAGGGTCCCCCGGATACTGATCACCACTTTCTTCTTGTCATGGTCCACCGCCACGTAGAAGGGCGTTTCATAGACCTAGGAGGCGGGCAGCTCGTGAGCCTGAGCGGCCCTGGTGGGGCCACACTCAGGGAAAGTGACCTAGGCAGGTCTCCTTCCTGGCCAGGAACTCTGGCTCCACCAGCCACGGAGCCTCTGCCGCCAGAAAGGCTGACGGGCTCCCAGGGTCACTGGGGATCTCCTCCCGATCCCAGCCACAGGCCTGCCCTGCCCTCCCCGCTCCTTGCTGGCTCTGGCAGCCCTGAGTGCCACCACTTGCCCCTGAGTCCAGGTGATGGCTGCCCCTCCCTGCTTCTGCCCTCAATTCCTTTCCCTAAAGGGCTAGGGCTCGGCAACCCAAACACTGGGTGTGGGGTTGATGTCTGCTTTCCCAGCCCCAGAGGTGGTACAGGCAAGCCAGGGTCTGGGGAAGAGAAGGGGGCCACCTCTGGTCTGCCCAGCTAGGGATGCCTGGAAGCTGCAGCCAGCCAGCACCAGCCAAGCAAGGGCTCCTGCCGGCCTGGAAGGATAGCCTCAGCACCCTAGGCCCTCAGCTGCCTGCTCCTGACACCAGGCCCCAGCCCTGCCCGGCCTCACCGCATCATGGCAGGAGGTATAGACGATGTCCACCGCAGTCATGTTCTCGTCCAGGAAGTGGCGCCGGATGGCAATGGCATTACAGCCACAGCAGTTGTCTTCCTCGATGGTGACTCCAGGGGCGAACCGCGGCCTCGCAGGACACAGGCAACACCTAGGGTGGGGTGACAAGAGAGTTCAGGGCCAGGGAGTCCCCGAGGGAACAAATGTCTCCTGCCACTGTCCCTGGAACCAGTTCCAGTTGGGCATTCAGCCCCACTGCCTCTACCAAATTGCCCTTGCTAAGTCCTAGTGACCCCCACGTCACCAAATCCACTGGCCACTCTTAGCCTTCCTCTTAACTGAGCTCTTGGCGGCACCTGACCCTGTGGGCCCTTCCCTCTCCCCACCTGGCTGGGGCCCCCTCCTCTCTGGGATCTCCCCTCCGGGCAGGGCCTACTCAGCGATGCACCCAACACTGAAGCCCTGGGGTCCCTCTGGGGGCACTGGCTCCTCCATGCACTCATGCAGTCTTGTGTTTTAGACACCATCTGCATGCTCAGGAATCCACCCCAGGCCTGCCCCAACACCCAGATGCTTCCATCCAATGGCCTAGCCAGCACCTCTCTCGGACACCTGACACCCTGCCAGCTCTCAAACCCCTTCCCTGCTTGTGTACCCCAACCCTCCTGAGGTCTTCCCAAGGCCCCTCGGTGGCTTGGCCTCTGGCTTGCAACTGTCTGTGGCTCCTCAGCCCTCACCCCCACGGCCATGCCACTCGGTCAGTACACGTACTCGGCTTCCCTTCAGACTCAGAGCTGGACTCCAGGCACTCCCTCACCTCCCCTACCCCTGCCCTGGCAGCTCTGCCTGGGACTGTCATGGTGGCCTCGACTGGCCTCCTTGCACTTGCCCCTACGCTCTCAGCTCAGCAACAGAGTGGCCCTTTTAAGATAAGTTGAGCCACATCATTTTCTTTTTAAGACCCTACAGCAACGCCCTGTCTACCCCACCTGGCTCTGGTCTCTCTGACCTGCTGCCAGCGTGTTCAGCAGCACCTGAGACAGCGTGGCCTGGCCCTTGCTCCTCTGGGCCTCTGTTCAAACGTCCTGTCACAGTGAGGTCTCTCTTGCCACCTCATCTAACAGCCAGGGCTCCCCAGGCCCCCAGCACTCCCCATCCCAGGCACCTGGCTTTATGTGGGTCCAAAGTGCCCATCCGCTCCACCATGTGCCCTATTTGCCTTGTCTATGCGCTGTCCGCCTCCTCGCTGGGCAGTGAGCACCACAGAGAGGTCCACAGCTGTATCCCCAGCACCCAAACAGGGCCAGGTACACAGTAGCCTCCCCACAGAAATGAATGAGGCAGCCTGGGAGCTGGGCACCCAGCTAGGTGCAGCGGCACCTCAGGCCACCAGAGGGAGCCAGCATCCAACTGCTAAGGCACCAGACGCTGGAGCCCACGTGACTGGGCCTGCCAGCTGTCACGGGATGACAGCTGAGATTTTATTAAGAAGCTTGGATTCTGGTGATGCTAGGAGGTTTGTCTTCACTCAGAGCATCACCTGAGTGACTATTACACACTTTCCAATGGGGAGAGACTTTGCTGAGAAAGCCACAGTGCTTGCTGGGGGGACAAAGCCGATGTACAATGGGAGAGCATGGTCCCCCACACTGCAGGTCAAGTGGTGATGGGCCAGGGTCTAGGGGCTGAGCTCCTGTGCTCGGCAGCTGTTCCCTCTCCAACCTCAGCTGAGCATGAGGCTGTAACAGTGTGGCCTTTGGAGACTGGAGGCTTGAGTTTGAACCCTTGCTGTATCACTTCCTGACCGCAAGGGCCTGGAGGTCACTCAGCCATTCTAAGCCTCAGTTTCCTCTTCTGTAAGAGCAGGTGGTGACAGCTACTTCACAAGGCTGGTGTGAGATCAAGGGTCCAAGATGCAGAAATGGTCTGGCCTATAATAGGTTCTTAATAACGAGTGGCTCCTCGCTTCTCCGGTGACAGGGCTGCCTCTGAGTCAGTGATGTGTGGGCCAGGAGGACCAGTCAGGGGAGCAGGGCCAGCACCCCGGATGGGAGGGCCCTGGGGCTCATCCAGGGCAGGGCTAGGGCCAAGCCAGAAGCAGGCCTGGCTCGCTGTGCTCTGCATGGGCTGAGAACTGCTGCCAGGGGAGAGGCCTGGGCCCGAGGCAGATGGGCAGCCCTTCTCCCTCTGGCCAGGCTGTTATGGACAGGCTGGGGCACTGGACTCTGGCCTCCTCCCAACACCCTGGGCTGCAGGCCTGCCTCTCTCTGCCCCACAGGCACCTGGTTCTTCCAGGCAGGGGCCTGGCTGGGCCCTCATGAGGTCTAGGGACTCTGCTCTCTCTGCAACACTAAGGCACCTAATACAAATGCCAGCACCCCTCCTGTCTGCAGAGCACCAGAGAGCCCTGCCTGCCAGTGATACCCTGGGTTCTGAAACACCCTATGGGCAGGCAGGACAGATACCACCTGTTACAGTTTAGGAAACAAAGGCTCTAAGAGCTGTCCCCACACCACCAGTGAGTAATGGAGCCTGGTGCTCATTTTGAAGAGTTCTCTGCCACAGCTGGGACTCCCAGGGATGCAGGCAAGAATGCCAGGCACATGCAGCTGACAAAGATGGGAAGGGGGCATGAGGTGCTCTAGTCCTCTCTGATCAGTCGCTGGAGGGATGGTGAGAATAAGGCCCCGAGAGCCACCCAGCTTTCTGAGGACAGGGAGGGCGCTGCAGAGTGGGTGTGGCTGCTGTGGGTCCCAAGGGCAGGGGTGTCAAGGAAAGAAGCTGCTGCCCAGCATGCCAGCCTTTCCAGAACGGGAGCCCAGGGAACTGTCCTCCTTCTGCCTGGCATGAGCTGAGGGCGGAGACACCCAGGACAGGGAGGGGTTCCTCCTGGAGCAGGCGCCCTTCTCTGGCCCACTTAGGAATGCAGAGTCCACCCAGCCCCCAAGCGGTGGGCTGAGCGCAGAGCTAGGCTGCAGGCCAGGTCTGGGGCTAAGGCCTTTCCTAGATCCTATGAAGAAGGTTGGAGCCTTAACTAACAGGCCTTCTTGGTGCCTTTTCAAAGACCTCTATGGATTGGGCCTCTCTACTAGGAAAGTCCTTTCTTCTAGAAAGGCAGAGCACATGAGGGGAGCCGAGAGAAGGGAAGATGTGGGCAGAAGGGAATGGCTGAGGGGGCAGAGAGAGAACGCCAGAAGGGGAGGGGAGGCAGCAGTGTGGGTGTTATGCAATATCTCATCTAGCCCTCTCCAAAAAATTCCACGAGGTATGTATCAACATCTCCACTTCGCAGATAAAGAAACTGAGGCTCAGAGAGGTGGACCCACTTGCCCCAGGCTGCAAGTGACAACATCTGGATTCGAACCCATAACTGTGTGACTCCGAAGCCTACAACTTCACTGCTCAGGGATAACACAGAACTAGAAAGGTTGAGGCCCAGAGAAGGTGTAGAAAAGAAGCCATTCAGGGCAAAGCAGTAGGCGCAGCCCGGTAGCCCTTCCTCACACACCACCCGGGAGGAGAGGTGCAATCGCTGGGGGATGGGACAGGGGTACTCACGAGCAGGACCGAGCCAGTTGGCAGAGGCCGCAGGCGGGCTTCCGCATCAGGTACATGGGCCACCCGTAGGCAGCCAGGGCAAAGAGCATGTAGTAGCAGACCTCTTTGTAGCGGAGCATCTCTTGCTAGAAGAGAGGAGGCAGAGGGCGGTCACCTCCTGCCCTTCCTGCCTACAGCCTCAGGGCCCAGCAGTTCCCCAGGGTGGGAGCCTGCGGACCCAACCCCTGGCAGGGAGGGGTTGCTGGTCCCCTGTTGAGGTGTGGGGCCCAGGCCTTGGAGGAAGGACACTCCTCCAGGTGATAATTGCATTTCCCTAATTATCTCCATGCAACCAGGACACGAATCCTCAGAGACCTGTCCTGTTGCTCCAGTCTCAGAATTAATGATTTGGGGACAGAAAATCACTTGGTCCATTTCCTTGCCTGTTTTCCAGAGAAGGGAAGAGTTGAGGGATGTGAGTAGTAATCCCCCCACCTCGGCAATCAGCCCTGAGAAGGGCCCTTGATGCTGGGAAAATGTAGCCCTGAGAGGCCCCAGCCCTCCAGCTGGGCGGCGTGTGTGGGCCTTGGGCAACAGGGCAGCCACGCTAGGCCAGGAGACCAATCACCAAATCTCTGGCCCTTGGGTTCTTTGACTGCAAATATTGGGAGCCTTCAACTTGACTCAGCCAGCTGCAGGCTCCCAGGGCTCCGGGCAGGGGCTGCGTTGGTGGGAGACTGGGATCTCTTGGGAGAAAGGCACCAGTTTGAAAGCCAGTGTGTCTGAGGCCCAGCAGCCACTGTTGATGCTGAGGAGGTTATTGGCTGCTGGGGTGGAGGGAGGAAGAGGCAGGGGTGCCCCAGCAAAGTGTCTGCCAGCTTCCAGTCTTTCCCGAGTGCCCCAGGCACCGGGAGAGGGAATTAGTCACCTTGTAAAAGTTAAGGAGGGTGGTTAGTCACCTTGTGAAGTGAAATAGGTGGCACCTTGATCAGGGCCCGGAGGGGTGGAAACATCCCTGGCCAGCTCAGCTGCTCTTCAGGAACGAGAGTGGAGAGGTAATTATCCTCTCCCTGTCAGAAGCTCCCTGCAGCCCTGGGGGCGGGGTGGGCCCTGGCAGCCTCTGCCAGGTGGCAGGTGTGACCCTGGCACCTCGATGGGAGTCACTTGATGGGAGTCACAGCTGCCTGCCCTCCCCGCTCCCTGTGAGGAGTGGGAGGGAGAAGGTGGTGAGAACAGCCAGGGCAGAGCCTGGCAAGCAGAAATGGGCTGGTTTGGGGCACTTACTATGGATGTGGCTATTTTTAGAGAGGATACAAATGCCTGCTTTAGTGGGGAGTAGGGACAGGCAGGGAGGACTGAGGCTTTTCTAGAGGACTGAGTGTTGGTTTTTTTTTTTTCTTCTTTTTAAGGGACAGTGCAGCTGGAGTGCAGTGGCAATCATAGCTCACTGCAGCCCTGATCTCCTGGGCTCAAGCAATCCTCCTACCTCAGCCTCCCAAGTAGCTGGGGTCACAGGCATGTGCCACCATGCTTGGCTAATTTTTTTTTTTTTTGTAGAGACAGGGTCTCACTATGTTGCCCAGGCTGGTCTCAAACTCCTGGCCTCAAGCAATCCTCCCACCTCGGCCTCCCAAAGTGCTGGGATTGCAGGCACAAGGCAGCACACGTGGCCTAAAGGACTGAGATTTCTAAGAGACGGAATCCTTTCCATCAGCATCCTGGCTGGCACCGAGGCTTCCTGGCACTGTGATGGGAATGGCTCGTGTCCTCTCAGCACAGCTCTGGTAGAAGGTGTGCCTAGTGTCATTTCACAGATTCAGGATCCAGCTCAGAGGGGATGAGGGGCCTGCTGGAGGTCGCAGCGACAGGCATCAGAGCAGATGCACGCTCCAGCCATTTGCTTCCTGAGGCAGGGCCTGTTTCTCCCGGCTGCCAGCTGTGGTTTCAGCCTGGGCTGTACTGGGCCCTGGGCTGTACTGGGCCCTGGGCTGTGTGCTGGGCCCTGGGCTGGGGTTCTCCCACCATGTTACTGGCACCACCTTTCCCTATTACACACTGGATTTCTACGAAAGGCGATTGAGAAAAGGTTCCACTACTAAAAAAGCTTGGAAACCAAGTACTACGCCCATTGCGTTTCATTAACAGCAGCAGCAGCAGCAAAAATGCTAGCAGCTCACCCTGGTAAAGTGCTCTGTCATCTCAAGAGGCCAGGACCAGACACTTCTGAACTTGGTAAAGGAATTCAGGGGATTTGTCTGTCGAACCGGTGTGAAGTGGGTGGTTCTCGTGAGGGGCATGATCTGAGCAGAGAGGCTCTCTGGAGAGCCGGGGGGAGACCGGGCAGGGGCAATGTGGCTGGCACTGCAAGGGCAGCTGGGAGGAGTTTGCTTAGGTCATTGTGGCAGAGTGGGAGGGATGGGGACGGGGTGGGGTGAGAGTTGATGTCTGACTCACTGAATTCTTGAGGTCGAGGTACTTGGTGTTTCTGGTCACCGGCATCCCAGACAGGAAGGCCAAGATGTCATTGTTTGCCTGTAAGACCGGCAGGTGAAGAAGGACAATCACTGGCCCAGGCCCGGCTGCATGGCTGGGAAAGGGGGCCCAGGCCCTGGCGTCCGCCTGCTTCCCAAAGGCCGAGAAGCCCAAACGAGCATGCAGCTTCTAGTTCTTCCAAGATTCAGCCACTTTTCCAAAATCTGAGGTTTCCCCATATTTCCAGATGCTCCCCTTCTACCCAAAACATCAAGCCCCTGAGGACATTCCTGGCCCACAGCAGGCGAAAGGTATTTTGTATGAGACACTGAGAAACCCTAACTGGGGTTGGTGTGCTGGTGGGGATGTGGGGTGGGCGGAGCGGCCACGCAGAAGACCGACTCGGGAGCTCACCACGTCCACTAAGCCTGTGGTTAGAAGTCCTTTGAGGGCCAGCCCCAGAGGCAGCCATGCACGACCCAGAAAGTCCCTAGAGTAGTAGTCACGGAAAGCCTGGCCGAAGGACAAGCTCAGGAAGGCAGGGGGAGCCAGAGGTAAAGGTGACCTCCAGGGTCCAAGAGAGTGCGTGGTCACTGGGGAGCTGCGTGGGAGCCGAGCCCTCCGCTGCAGGGGCCACAGGGAAGGGGCCTGAAAGAAGGGTGGTGTGGAGAGGTGACCTGGAGAAGGGGCTGGTGGTGCTCACCTCGTCCAGCACGGCGTTGCGCTTGGCCCGCTGCCGCTGCCGGAGCAGCACCAGGCCAGCAATGATGTCGGATGGCACAATGTCAAGGTCCCGGAAGAACTCCGCAAAGAGGTAGGCGATTTCTGAGTAGGCATCCTACGAGGTCCAGGAAGGCAGGAGGCAGTGGCAGGGGAGCAGGAGAGAGGACGAGAGGCCAGGAGTAAATCCCCCAGGGCTGGGAGGCTGCAGAAGCAGGTGTCTGCTCGGGGTCCCCTGGACAGGTTCTCCCCAGCACCTCCACAGCGCCCACTGAGCCTGACCCCATGTGGCCCTGTGACCCTGAGGGCCCTGCCCAGGGCTCCTAGACCTGGCAGTAGCCACCCAGCCCTCTCCTCTCCTTGGAATTCGCATGGTGCCCACTGTCTACCAAGAGCAGGCGCCAACTTGAGCCACTCCTTTTTGCTTTCCCAGACGCTAGAATCAAGGCCGGGTGGCTCTGGCTCATTTCTCCTCTAGCCATTCTCTCCAGCACAGAAACCAAACTAAGCTCCTGGCTGCCTCTGACCCACCAGCTGGGACCTTGGAAGTCCCTCGTAAGGCCTCTGTGGAGCCTGCCAGGTCTCAGGGCCCCTCCCCCAGCTACCCACAGGCTGCTGGCTCAGTGACCCCCACAATGTGCCCTAGAAGGGGGTGTACTCTCTGGCCCAGTGGTCCCCCATGGCTTCTCTCCAGGCCCTTGGCCTGAAGACAGTGCATGTCTGGGCCTCAGGGCAGGAGGCGAGCCCTGCTGGCTGGTGCCCTCTTAGTCTTCCCTTCCTGGCCCCAGGCTGCAGCCCAGAGCCTCTTCCCTAACCTGTTAGGAGACGCTGAGGTGGGAACAACCACATGGCAATGAAGTCTGTCTCACTGGGTCTCGCCCCTGAGTGTTTGGCACTTGTAAGTGACTAAATCAAGGGCTGCAAATTCAAATGCCGAATGGAGCCAAACGGAGCCAGATACTGCTCGGCTCCAGCTGACCGGAGGCCCTCCAGGGCCCACTTCACCAGATTCAGAAATACAGAAGTTTATGGAAATACCCCTGATTTTTAAATGCTGGCATCCAATTAAAATGTGTAAGCAACACAACACACGCTGATCAAAACATGCTTGGGACCAGACCTGCCCCCTGAGGCCATCAGTGTCTAACAGGACCTTTGCCGTGGGGCTCTGCTGTGATGTGCTATCTTTTCCCCAGACTCTGACAACAGCCCCAGCTCTGCCCGTGCACCCAGAGGGGCAGGCGTGCCCTCCACACAGCAGCCCCAGCCTCCATCCGCCAGGGGCCGGCTCTCTGCCCTCTGCATGGCCTGCCTTGCAGCCCAGACCCCTCAGACCGCCCCAGAGAGACCCAAGGGGGTGCTCCCCGCCCACCAGGGAACCTCGGGGGCTTTCTTACACTTGATTACTCACTCTACGGCTCACCAGGGGACGCTGGTGGGCAGGAGCCACTCGAGGCTTCCCGGTGGCTTCCGTGGAAGGCACTTTGCTGTCTGCCTCAGGGAGGAGTGGTCTCCTGACCTCACTGGCTCTGCTACTAACTAGCTGTGGGACGCTGAGCAAGTCACTCCACCTCTCTGGGCCTCAGCTGCCTGATCTGTAAAATGAGGGGTGGGACTAGATGATCTCTAAGGTCCCTGCCCGCTGCGGGGCACCCCTGGATGATCCCGGGGCCTGCCTCCCTTCCCTCCCCTTGGGGGCCGCCCCCAGCTGGCCCTGTCTTCCTTCTGCAGTGCCCTGGCATTAAGTCCGGCCCTCTGGTCACTCCTCTGAGCTCCCAGGTGCTGAAGGCTATGTGTCCCCATCTAGGACCGTGCTAAACGCCTATCGGCTTTGCCAGGCCTTCTTGATTAATTTGCTGCTGGTGAAACGCTACTTTTCTTTGTCTTCAGGTCACCCTGACTTTGCATATTTCTTCTCCTTAAACTAGAGTATAAGTTCCAAGGGAGTTGATGCAGTCTTCACAGCTTTCTGTTCCCTTGACAAAGCAAGTGGACGTGGTCCTGCGTGCTGGAGCGAGTGGCTCAGTGAATAACAGGCCCTGTGTGAGCAGGCCATACTTGCTCACGCTGGAAACCCAGCTCCTTCCCACCAGCCCTGCCCCATCCTGCTTTGCCAAAGGAGCCAACAGCCCCTTAATCACCTGACCACAGGATGTGAGCCAGAGGGGAGCGACCTCCCAGTACTTACTGACTGGGAGTCCTTCGTCCGCGTGCAGCAGAGGAACACTTTGAGCCGGCGCGACCAGCTGGTGGCTTGACCCTCCTCTAAGCGGTGCCTGCAAAGCAGGAGAGGCGGTATGTGTGAGGTCAGAGGGCTGGACCAGAAGAGCTGGGACCCAGACGTTATGGAAACAGGGCAGGCTGTTCCCAGGACCCTACCAAAGGGTTCCCGCAGTGGGTTCTGGGGGAGAACAGGGCCCAGGCCCTGCCAGAGCTGGTGGCCAGTGGCCTGGCTGCTGGCCAGCAGGGGCCCTCCCTGACAGACTCCTGCTAGCCTAAGATGGTGTGTGCCGTTGGCCAAGGGTGGGTGGGTGGAAGAGAGAGGTGGGGAGCAGTTGAGAGGCTCCTTGGCTTTTGGAAGACTGAACACAGGCAGGCTCTGGGGCTTCAGAGCTGGGAGCCCTAAGTGGGGGCTACCCTGCAGCTCAGGTGTCCAAAGGCTCAAACCCTGGGAGGTCAGCAGGGTGTTGGGCCTCCCTGTCGTCTCATTCTAAGGCCTGGAACAGACCTTCCAGAAAGACCTGCTTTTCCCCAGAAAGGATTTCAGACACTTACATACTTACATACTCTACTTACAGGAAATCTATGGGGCTGAGTAAGGCTCTGCATTTCCCAATTCCTTGGATCTGATACCTAGGTAGGGAGAGGGCTCTACCCCTCACCCACATGGTTGCCCTTGTCTATTCTCACCCCCCAACCCCATCCCCAGTGGGTCTGGCTGCTCAGATGGAGAATCAGGGTCTCCAGGAGTCTGTACCCAAAGGCAGAGCAATGGGCCAGTTATTCACAGAGGTTCCTCCTAGGCTGGATGTCTGCAGTCAGTGTGTTGAGCATAAAGATAACAGATCCAACATTAAAAGTGCAGACCTCCAAACCGAGCAAGAAGGGGCTAGCTTGCTTTTGTGCCATGTGCGGCCCCTTAAAAGCCTGATGCTGGGTGGTCAGGAGAGGAAGGCAAGGGTGGCCCTCATATGCATTCAAGGCACTTAACATCAATCTGTAGTGACAGGCCAGGCCCTTTTTGAGCCTCTTGGCTCCTCCGTGTGTCTAAGGACCGCTTCCCGCTCTCCAACCCTGGCTTCATAAGGCAAATGGCCACAAGGAGAAGGAGGGCAACAGGGTCTTCCAGGGCTACGGGAGGCAGGTAGGGAAGGGTGCAGGGAATTGCTACTCTGGGGACCTGCTGGCTCTTAGGGACTTGGACAGCTGTACATCCTAAACCAATGTCCCACCTTCTGGGGCATGAAGGGACAGTGTGCTGGCCAAGCAGGGTTCCCAGAGCACTGTGGGATGGGTGGTGGTGGCCAGCTGGGCTGGGAGGGAATATGGGCTTTGGGGCCTTGGCTCCCAGACCTGACATTTTGGGCTGGGACGTGGCCACAGCAGGCACGGGTGTGGCTCTGGCTGCAGTGCTGAGCTGACGTGGAAGGTCCACGGGGAGCCGAACACAGCAGTGCAGGAGGGTGGGACGGTGAGAATTCCTGCCGGGCAGCGGGGGTCCAGACAGCCTGCTCCCCAGGTGCTTGAGCCAGCTGCTCTGGGCTGCAGGTGTGGTGCCAGTTCTGCACCCCAGCAGCAAGACCCACGGCAGGTGACCTGCCCTCTCTGGGACTTGGATTCCTCATCTGTAGAATGGATCTCACAACCATGCCGGGGTTCACAAAGGGATTAAATGGATGAATTGCGTAAAGGGCTTGGCATGGGGAGCTCCTTACATAATGCACTGTAGAAGCCCCATTAACAGGAGGTACTGGGACCCACCCTGGAAGCCCCTCTCTTTTTCTTTCAACAAACAAATTATTGTGACACTACCTGGATGCCCTCCCTCATTTTGTCTGCCATGGCACACTTTCCCCCATCTTTAAAACATCATGCAAAACTCACCCCCTCTAGGAAGCTTTCCTTGACTTGCCTCTCCCAATCTCTGAATCCTAGAGGCAGCCTAGCCTAATTTAATAGCTAGTTAAGCGAGGACTCTAAGGCCAGACTGCCTGGGCTAGTTCCCAGCCTTACCATTTTCTAGCTGTGTAACCTCAGGCAAGTCCCATCATCTCTCTGTACCTCAGTTTCTCCACCCATATTATGGGGAAGTTGACAGCTGTGTGGTGGACTTGTAACTTACTACACGCAATGCTTGGCTTCACTGTTATTACCATTGTTATTATCAGCAGTGGACAATGATGACAACAACTACTATTAACCGAGCACTTACCCAGTGTGAGCACTGTGTTAGTCACTCTGCAGGTATTAGCTCAGTTAAATCTCACAACAACATGAGACAAGAATTGTTATTATTCCCACTTTATAGACAAGGAAACTGAGGCAGGGAGCAGTTAAGCCCTTTGACTAATGCCCACGGCTCACACGAGGTTGGCATGCAGTCTGGGAGGCCTGGGGTAGCCTTCTGAAGAATGGAGACCTCTGCTCACCAGACAGCAAAGCCCACCCTGGGACTGCCCACCCAGCCCGCTGACTGACCGCAGGTTGTAGGTCCGCAGGTTACGCTGCCTCCTCTTGGTGGCTCTCAGCTTGACAAAGGTGCGGCCCGTGGGGTCGAAGACGCAGAGGACAGTGATGCACACACTGAGGATGACTACCCAGTTGCAGACAACCATTCCTGCGGGCAGCAGTGGGAGGCATTAGGTAGGGGCGCTGGGGACACCTCTCTGGCTCACCCGCTCTGAAGAAAGGGACATTGGAGCCTCCCTAACCCCAAATGCTTCTGGGGACAAAAGCCAGGCTCCAAAGCCCCTGGTCCCAGTCTCTGGCCACATACGTGGCCACCCTATTGCCCACCCACAACCCCAAGGGCCACTCTTGGCTCAGAGCAGGCAGCTCTGTGGGTTTCCAAGGAGGTGCTGAGGAGCCTCGGCTTGACCTGAGCAGCTCTGTGCCTGCTGCAGCCCACCCCAGACCAGGTAGCTGGCAGGCCTCAAGGGTGAGGGAAGCAGTCTCGCCCAGCCAACCTGCTGGTGCCCCCACAGAAGGCACTGCCCTCTGGCAATGCCCAAGCTTCTTCCTCTCTAAACTGATCTCGTCCCCTGTGCCCCCGGGGCTGCTGAGGCTCCAGCAGGCCTCACCCAGACGTACCGAGGGTGACATTCTTGGCAGTGAGGTCGTTGCAGGAGGTGTAGTACTGAGTGAGCCAGACGATGCCCACGATGGCGTAGATGAACTCGATCACCAGGATGGCTGCAAGGAGAGCAGGCCTGGCTGAAGGATGGCTGCCACTTGCATGCCAGGGAAGGGCCTAGAACCCCGGCCTGGCCTTTCCTATCGCTGGGCTTTCAGCCAGCTCAGTAGCAAAGGCAGAGGCAGCGGGCCATTAGCAGACCCCCCACCCCCCGCCTCCCAGGCCCCAAGCCCGTCCTGTCACCATTTGGTCCTGTTGGCCCCTGAATGACCGCTTGCAATGTGCCCACCACCTCTCCTAGCTTCTGTGCTCTCAAGTCCCCGGGGCATCCCTGATGGAGTTTTGCTCTTGTTGTCCAGGCTGGAGTGCAATGGTGTGATCTTGACTCACTGCAACCTCTGCCTCCTGGGTTCAAGAGATTCTCCTGCTTCAGTCCCTAGGGTAGATGGGATTACACGCACCCACCACCAGGCCCAGCTAATTTTTGTATTTTTAGTAGAGACGGGGTTTCGTCATGTTGGCCAGGCTGGTCTTGAACTCCTGACCTCAAGTGGTCCACCCGCCTCGGCCTCCCAAAGTGCTGGGATTACAGGCATGAGCCACCGCGCCTGGCCCATTTCCTCATTCTATCAGGATCTCAGAATCATGTCTGAACTGTGGAATCAGACACATCTTAGGCAAGTTTCCTAATCTCTCTGAGCCTCCATTTCCTCATCTGTAAAATGGGAGTGACAACATTTATGTCATAGGACTGTGCAAAAATTAGATGAGAGCGTGTTCACTTCATGGAAACTATTTCCCAGCAAGAGGCCTCTGGAACCTGATGGAGGAGAGAGGAAGGGCCCAGCAGCTGGTCTGCATCCAGCTCAGGCCCCTCAGGGGCTGAGACTGGAGGGGAGGGGTATGGAGTGGTGGCTGAGAAGGAGATCTGCTGGCCTCATGGGGGCAGCCTGGAAAGCCCCAGCTGCACGGGCAGCAGTGTGGCAGCTCAGAGACCAGACTTTGGAGCCAGACAGCGTGGGTTCAAATCCCAGCTCCGACATTTACACGCTTACTAGTTGTGTGAGAGCTAGGCCTGGGCCCCAGTTTCCTCATCTATAAACGGAGACCAATAACACCCACTCCCTGTGAGTTAACACAGGAAAAAGGGCCTAGCCCAGTGCACAGAAGCACAAGAGCAGTGTTCACTACAAATGACCAGAAGGGGCTGCAACCTAAGCCCAAGAAGAGGACACAGGCTGGTCCTCTGGGGAGCTGGCCCAGACTCCTGAGGGGGTTCCCAGGAAGCAGAAGGCCTGTTTTGAGAAGGATCACAAGGAAGATATGCTTTGAAGAGATGCACATGGTTGAGGATGGGGTCAGCACCTTTTCCTGTAAAGGGCCAGAGAGCAAATATCTTGGACTCTGGGAGTCCTACAGTCGCTGTAGTAACTACTCAACTCGGCTGCTGTAGGGGCAAAGCAGCTGGAGACAATACCTTACTGAATGGATATGTGCCAATAAAACCTTATTTTCTTTTTTTTTGAGATGGAGACTTGCTCTGTCACCCAGGCTGGAGTGCAGTGGCGCAATCTCGGCTCACTGCAACCTCTGCCTCCTGGGTTCAAGTGATTCTCCTGCGTCAGCCTCCCAAGTAGCTGGGATTACAGGCGTGTGCCACCACACCTGGCTAATTTTTGTATTTTTAGTAGAGACGGGGTTTCCCCATGTTCGCCAGGCTGGTCTCGAACTCCTGACCTTGTGATCCACCTGCCTCGGCCTCCCAAAGTGCTGGGATTACAGGCATGAGCCACCACACCCAGCCTAAAACCTTATTTAATAACACATACAGCAGGCTGGATTTGGCCCTCAGGCTGCAGTTTGCTGGCCCCTAGTCTAGAATGTAAGCTACAGAAGGCCTTAGTTCACTGCTGTACCCCAGTGCTAAAACAGGGCCTGGCTCGCAACATGTGCGCAGTAAATACTGGCTGAGTGAATGGAGAGGTGGGAGTTGTCTGGGGCAGCACCCCAGGGTGGGTGGCCCTTACCCAGGCGCACGTAGAGCACGTACTGCATGGAGTCACGGGGCTCCGTGTAGAGGATGCCCCCGCGCATGCTCAGCCAGATGATGGCCATCTCAGCGATCATGCAGCTCAGCAGGATGCCCAGGTAGCCGCGGCCGTGGTCCACCAGGTTCAGGGAGCAGGCCTCGTGCGGGTTATAGACCAGGCCGAAGAGCACCACGGACAGGATCACAAACCTGTCACAGGAACGCCCGTGTGAGCAAGGCCAGGTGGCCCCTGTACCTCGAGATGCTACTAGCAGGCAGGCCCTTCCCCAGCCCAGATTCAGTGGAAGGAGGGCTGGCAGCAGGCACCTCCTCCATAAGACCATTGTCCACCTGGCATCGAATGCCTAGAAGGGCATGGGCGGCCAGTAAAAGACTCAGGGTCAGCCATGGGGAGACAGTAGCAGCAACTCCCCCCAGTGTTGGGGTCAGGTCCAGCAATGGTAGCAGGGGTGTCATTGCCCTAAGGGGCTAGATGTTTCAGGCACCTCCTCCGGGCAGCTGGGGGCATGACAGGGTTGGGACTTGGGCCCAAGCAGGGAGGAACAAATGGCCAGAAAGCGTCCTTCCAGACCTTTCTCTCCAAACCCAGGCCTGTGGCCCCGGGCCTGGGGACTCACCAGGTGGTATGCAGGAGAAAGAGGAAGATGGCCGGTAGGACGAGGTCATCACTGCCCACAGACCAGCGCCGCCGGAACACCACGATCCCGGGCATGGCTGGTGGCTCTGCAGAGGCTCAGTGGGCCTGGTGCTCACCTCCTGAAAGAAAGCAGAGGACCTTATAGCTGCCTGAGGAGGTGAAGGCACCCAGGGCCACTGCATTCCTTGGGCCACGGGACCAGTCCCCGGTGTGGCCAGAAGCACAGGCATTTTTGGAGCTGGCCACTGGAAGTGCTGACCCACCTCCGGGCAGGAGCCAACACAAAGGACCTTAGCAGCAGGACACAGACTTCAGCCTTCCCCCTGGAGTCTCTCCTGTCCCCCGAGACTGGTACTGGCCACTAGGGATCGGCTTCTACCTGGGGTTACCCCAGCAGTCACTGTTGAGCTCTATTAAAGACCCCGTTTCCTCCTTCATGGGATCAGTGGGACCCTCAGCCCAGCCCTCAAACCCTATAATCTTTAGACCTGGCCCAGTGCACACTGTCCTTGGAGTCAAGGGAGGGGCTTCCCAGACCAAGAACAAGCCCACCCAACAGCACAAAGCCCAGCAGGGCAGGAGGAAGGCTGAAGGCCTTGGGAAGGTGGGGGCAAGGGACCCTGTATGGTTGGCAGCTGGGACTGACAAACATGGAAGGTGAGGAGTGCCTGGCATAGAGCAGGTGCTCAGTAAGTATTTCTTGAATGAAGGCTTCAGTTTCCTGCTTTGCTGGAAGCCAAGAGCGTGCTCTATGACTTGGTTTTGAACCCATCAGACAGAAGTCCCCACCACAGCTATGCCTCCAGGGAGGGAAGAGCACGGTTGAGGTGCAGGGTCAGGAGTAGGGCTTGGGACACCTTCCACCCCACACTGCTGGAAGGATGGGGTAAGCCCTGCAGGGTCACACCCCTCCTGGCAACCATACCTCCCAAGCCCACCCTGAGCCATGCAGCTTTTCCAGCTGGATTTTCAACTCTCTGAAGTAGCTGAATTCAAATCAGCCCCAAGCAAGCTCAGGAAAGAGTGCCCAGGAACTCAGGGCCCTCACTCCTTAGCATCCCAAAGAGAAAGGAAGCAGCATGGGTGGGAGGTGACCCCACAGGGAGCTAGGTCCCCAGAGATACCCATAAAGGGCTCCAGGGTAGCTCTGCACTAAACTGCTGCAGGGGGCTGGGGACCAAGTTGGTGGGCAGCTGTCCCCCGCCGGGGGCCAGTAGAGGCTTACATGGCACCTGGTCCGGGGCAGGCGGCAGATCCTCCTCTCCCCAGTGGCGGCTCCAGGGAAAATGTGTGTCCGAGGAGCCCGGCATCATTCGGGGAGGAAGCAGCCAAGTCTCCCTTGGCCAGTGGGCATAGCCCCCAGGGTGGGCGAGAGGGCGTGGGGCCAGGTGGCCAGCCCGCATGTCCGCCCGGCCCGCCTCCCTATCCCCGGTGCAGCCACTTGGCGAGCTGTGGCCTGGCGGGCTGGCGGGCTAGCCTGCCGGGGTCGTGCCTACTCCTCCCCCCACCCTCAGGAAGTGACATCATCCCACTCTCTCTCCAAGGAGGAGTCGGAGCTCAGCTTCTGGGAGGCAGGGAGAAGGGTGGAGAGTGAGGGAGCATGGTGGTGGGGTGGCTGGGCTTTGGGGGTGGGGGGTGGTCTGTGGACTGCAGGGGTCCGGGGCGTCAGCAGTGCCTGTGACATGTGGCTGACAGCACCAGCTTCAGATTAGGGTTGGACACGATAGGACAGGAGGGGGGGCTGGGGCACCGTGGGTGGCAGTTGGGCTGGGGCAGAACAGAGCTGCCAACAGCTGGTATTGCCGCCCCCTCCCTGTCTCCAAGTAGCTCACAGAGGGTAAGGTGCAGCGCTGGGTCGGGCTCAGGGGGCTGTCGGGGCTGCCAGGAGCCCCTCACATGAATGGAACAGAATGAAATGGAATGAATCTAGAGGCTGGGGGGGCAGTACGCCCCCGCAGGTGCTGTAGAGCCGCATCCTGCTCTGATCTGGCCAGACCAGGGGAGGAGGGAGCAGTGCTGTCCCAGAGGGGCTGGCTGGAGGGCTAGGGTCTGGCCCTACCCAGCCTGCCCCCAGGCCTGCCTCTGCCAGCAGCCAAGAATATCTCCTTCTCAGGTCCACCCCATGGATGGCCCCTCTCAGTCACCCTGGGAGGTCCCTCCTCTCACTCCCACCCTTGGACCCATGGAACCCAGGATAGCTAACACTCCTCGAGATCACACACCATCCACCCAACACACACACTCACTCTGCACTCCCCTCCTCTGCCCGAACAATGCCCGCTCGCTTCAGCTCTCAGGCTGGAAGGAGTGAGCCGAACCTGGCCCTGGGCCCTGCAGAGGTGAGGTGGCTGAAGGACTGTCAAGACGCTGGAGGGATATGACCAGTGGTAACCACTGCCCCCACCTCAGGGTGACCAGCCTGAGGCCAATTGCCATGGTCAACAGCAGTACCTACCTAGAGTATGAGGCGGGGCTCCTGGGGGCCGACCCTGCTGGGTACCCAGTGACAGGCCTGCACCAGTGGCCGGCCCACCACCATAGAATCCGAGGCACAGAGGCTGGGACACAAGTGCCAGGCTGGCTGGTTTTGAACCTGGGCTCTACCACGTACCCACTGTGTGACTTATTAGTCGTGCCTCAGTTTCCTCAACTGTAAAATGTCGATTTGTAAAATGTCGATTATCCCTACCTCCTAAAGTCCTGGTGAGAATCACATGAGAGGTCTGCAGAGGCTCTAGCTGTCTTAGCTGGGGCGGGCGAGGCGGAGGGAGTGCAAGGAACCCCTTGCTGGACCAGCCACCCCTCCCGCCTGGGCTGGTGGAATCTCCGGCTGGTCACCAACAAGTCAAGGTCTGGGGTGGGGGTGGCAGGGCCTGTGCTGCATAAGGGTTGGGGGTGGGCTGCACCACTCTCCAGGCCAATTCATACATCTCTTGGGGCTATTTTTAAGGGCCTTGAATGGTGCCCTTTCTCTAGAGACCCCGGCCCATCACAATAAGGGCCTGTTCCCCTGCTGGGGATGTGATTTCATCTGGAGGAAATGTCTCAGGAGCGGGGAGGGCAGAGGCTACTTCCTGGTCTGGGGCTGCCACAAAGCACCTCTTCTGGCTCTCCTCCCCTGGGGCATAGGGTCCTCCCCTCTAACAGCCACAGTGGGGCGGGGGTAGGCGCTGCCTGCCCTTCCTATCCCACACCAGTGGGGCTTCCAGGGCAGGCACGGCATACCTTCCAGCAGGGGCCACAGGGGCACTGCTGGGGGCTCCTCCTGCCTCTGGTTGGACCCCCAGCACAGGCAAGTGTGAATGGGGTGCCAGGACCCCTCTCACATGGATGGAATGACTTAAGCAGCCCAAGGAAGCCTCCTTCTTCCCCCACCCACACAGCCCAATTTTCCTGCTGGTGATTCAGGCCCCTGGACTAAGTACTAACCATTCTGGGAGTTCCTCTTTCTAAAAATGCAAACTCTTTTTAAAAATGCATATGCTGCCCCCTACTTTAAAAACCTTCCTGGCTCCCCATGGCCTGCAGGACAAAGTCCAAGCCCCTCGGGCGGCAGCGACAGGCGGTGCAACCTCAGGCATATGCCTCGCCCTCTCTGAATCCACGCATTCCCTTATCACCTGAGCAGAAAGCGATCCTGGTGCAGACAGACTCCAGCACAGAGCCCACCCTCAGCTGACAAATCCTCTGGCTGGAGAGGCTCTCCAGCACCTTCTTACACTGCCACATCCTTCTTTCTCGACACCCCAAACATGCTGCTCCCCAGAAACACATCACTGGAAGGGTCCATGCTTTGCTTACTCCAGTTCTGATGGGTGAAATCCAACTCATCTCTCTAGGTCAGCTAAAAGTCACCTCCTCTTTGAAGCCCTCCCTGACAGCCCTCATGCAACCCACTCTCCTCCTGGGAAACAGGCTGCTCCCTTATGGGAACCCTAGACCCCTTCCCCCAGCATGGCCCTGGTCACACTGTGTTACGGTTAACCTGCTGACTCCTTGCTGCCCATCCCCACCCCAGCTCAACAGTCCCCGGGGCCAGGGTCTCACAGTACCCATCGCCACACCTCTGGGTGCCAGCTGCAGTGCCTGGCTCCAGCACCTCAGTCCCACCCCATGGCCTCCTCAGCACAGCTCCCCTCCCAGTCACAAGGGCTGAGACAGTGGCTCCTTCCCCCTCTGAGCTCACACCCTTCCCTTCTGGGGAAACGTCCCTCCCTTCCTGACTGTCAGGCTGGGTTCCCACCCCAGTGTCTTCCCTGACAGCTCAGGGAGAACCCTCTCCCCCCCCTCTGGCTAGATGAACTGTTCTGGGACCTCAGTTTCTTCTCTTGTAAAATGGGGCTAACAACATCCCTCTCAAGGCTGTGGTCAGAACAGACTGGGGTGATGTCACTACAGGACTCTGCACAGGTCCTGCACACCCCAAGGATCTGCTGATGGCTGCTGTTGCATTAGCAGACACCTGAGGGGCTTTGTGGGGACCTCCTGTGATGTGACCTGTGACTGGGTGCTGGGGTCTGGAAGGTGCTGCTGGTGCCCAGCTGGTCAGAAAGGGCTGGAGTGAGCAAACAGAAGCCCTGACCGAGGAGCCTGCCCCCACCATGAGTGCTCCGGTGCTGCTGGTAAAAGCACCCCAGGCTGGGCCTCGCCCCCTCGTCCTAAGGTACCCTGTGGGCTTGGCCCTGGGAGCAGATTTTAAGGAGCAGAGTCCCTTGGCAGCAAGACTCCCAGCAGATGGGGCTCCAAGAGCTCCCAGGGGGATGGGGGGGAAGAAGGTACTGGCTCAGCCCTCTGGAGTGTCCACAGGGAACTGGACAATGAGCTTGGGAACCCCCACGAGTGCCACCTCCAGCCCATGAGATTTCCCATCTGGCCAGAGATGGCTTTGGTCATTGGCCTGGGGATGGGATAGAGGTTGTGCCTGAAGGAGGGGATGACAGCCAGGTCCAGCCATAGGGATCCATCTGACATTAGCTGAGCACCTTCTGTGTCCCAAGTCCTGGACTAACCGGCTTCAGTCCTCACAGCAGTAACACAGGGTCGCAGTGTCGCTCTCATTCCACAGTGTGTGCAAGGGGTGGTTAAGACCCTGCACTCTAAAACAGGCTGCATCTGAGTCTTGGCTCTGCCACTTACTGGCTGTGTGACCTTGGACAAGGTACTTAACCTCTCTGTGCTTCAGTCTCCTCACTTCTAAACCAGGGATAAGAAGAGTACCTACCTCCGAATTATCAGGAGGGTTAAATCAGTCAACACTTCAAACAGCGCCTGTCATCTGGTAACTGCTCAGCAAATGCTGCCACTGCCATTACTATTACTACTGAAGAATGAGACTGAGATGCAGAGACTGCCTGACACCATCCGAGGATCAAGAGGCCAGGCAGGCAGGAGGCGCAGGTCATTCCTGCTGCCATCCAAAGCCCACACCTAACAAAGGTCAGAGTTAAAAGGAGTCTCAGAACAGTCCCACTGTCCCCTTTCATGGGCGAGGAAACTGAGGTTCAGAAAGAACACAGAGGCCCTAGCTCTTCCCGTGATATCCATCCCAGCAGCGTCACTGCCAGGTGCTGGACACACAACCCAAGCCCCCAAGCCAGCCTGCTCCCTTCTACCTCACTACATACCCCACTCAAACTCCCCAGTGACAACAGCATTAGTAGCGTGTCACCACAGGGAGCCTGGGCTGAGATCCTCTCTTTCACGATCTTGAAGATGCCTAACCCTCCTAGAAGCCAGCAACATCCACAGAAGCTCCCTCACAGGAGATAAACCTGCAGGGAGGCATCAACCATGTGCCTACTTCAGTCACCTGCGGCTGGCTCTCCTGCCTCCAGCGGTGGAGTCCCTGTTGCTCTGCAGCAGCTGTGGTGACAGAGAGGAGACTCTCAGACAGATCCAGAGAGCCACCTTCCCTGGGCCCCCATTTTACTCCTGCCTCTGGGGGCTGGTGATGGGGACCAGGTCCAGCCACATCCTAGAGCTGCCTGGTGCTGAATGAAGAGCAGTGTCCCCAGGACAGAAAGTCCCAACCCCTCTAGGCCCCAGTAAATCAAAATTGAGGGCCGGGAGGATGAGTCCATTGCACACATGTGAGACATAAGGGCCCCCACGGTTGCTATATGTAAAACTAGCACTGGACGCCACACTTCCTGGTTGCCAAAGTAAATGTGGAAACTGGCAAGTTTGTAAGGGCTCTTTTTCGCTCTGCAGGGTTTTTTGACCCTTGGTGTCCTGAAGGGAGAGCCCAGGACTCCCATTTCCATGACGAATGGGATTCCTATGTGAAAGGGCTTTGAAATTGGAAGGTGGTCCAAAATAGTGGAGAGGAACTGATGCCTACTGCCTGCTATGCTCTCGTGGTCCATCCGATTTTGAATGTGCCTTGTTGGGCACTGGAGCTTATCTGGTCTGGGGGTGGGCATCTGATCTGCGGGACTCAGCACAGTGAGGCTGGGCCCCCCAGTGGTGCCCCGCAGGACACTGGTGGCCCGCCCCCCAGCAGAGGCGTTGTGTTCAGAGGCTCCACCCCAGCTAGGGTGGGCTCACCAGCAGGTCGCTGTCTGGCCTCGCTGGGCTGGCAGACAGGTCCTGCTCTCTTTAGCACAGGCTTTGGTCGTGGTGAGATTCCAGCTGTTCACTGTGGCTGCAGGACTGTGGTAGCGAGTTAACCTCTCTGCACTGGTGAAACTGCAGGCTCCAGGATCCTGGGTAGTGACAGGGACAGAATGATCTCAGCCACCTATAAGTTGGGGACTGGGCTGCTTCGGTTCTCCTAACATTTATGAATTGCCTACAAGGTCTCGGCGCACATCTATGCCCTTTACAAACATGAACTCACCTAGTCCTCATAACAGTTCTGTGAGGTAGGTACTACCCTTCCCCTTATTTGACAGATGAGCTGAAGTGACTTGCCCACAGCCACACAGCCTAGGCCCAGAACCCAGGTCTTTACCTCTGCATGCTGTTTCTGAGAAGCAGGATTCAGCTAAATGCCTGTTTCTGAACTCAAAAGCTGGCTCTAAGCCTCTTCTTACAGACTGAGGAGCTCTCTGGGTCTTCATCTAGCTTCAGACTCACAATCATGTGGGATAGCACGGGACCCATTCTGCAGATGAGGAAAACTGAGCCCAGGGGAATTCCACGGAGCAGGCTGTGGAGTCGGGAGAGAGCAAGGCACTAGAAACACTATGTGTCATCCACCTCCAGCCTCATCAGGCCACAGGGTATTACCCCAACTTTACAGATGAAGAAACCAAGGCTCAGAGAGGCAAAATGGTTTGCACGAAGATCCCTCCACGAGGACATCGCAGAGCTGGGATTTCAAGTAGCTTCCTTGAACTACTTGCAAGAAAAAAATACCCTCTCTGCCTGTCAGTCTGACTCCTTATTGTCACAAACACAGAGACAGTAGGACCCACAGGTCCCACCCCAGGCTCCCGGGGCTACAGTACCTTCCCCTTCTTCCCAGTGGCCGAGAGGCTGGCCTCTGAAAGCACAGGAGGGGAGAGGTGACAAGGGAGACGACGGAGAGAAAGCACGTGTGGGCTGGGGGCCACGTGCGCCACCAGCCTGTACCTGGGTGTGTGCAACCCAAGTTAGGGGCCTGAAAGCTGTCGCTTTTCACACATCAGCTGCGCTAGAGCAGAAGGCAGAGCGGAGCCTGCCCAGGACTGGGGCCAGATTTCAGCATGAGATAGGTCCTCACACGCCCAGGCCTAGGGATGAAAACAGTGTGCCTTGTGCAGCCAGGGGCAGGAGTGGGAGGCCACTGACATTTGTCCCCTCCTACCCGCCGCCCAGGGTCTTAGGCTAACAAACGCCTTTCCCACTCTCCCCCAGGATGGCCTGGAAGGACCAGAGGAGGCACCTCCTCCACCCCTCACCATGTGCCAGCCACATAACCATCCTCACTACAACCCCAGGGGTGGGTCTAGCTGTTCGCATGTCATGGATCGGGAAACTGAGGCTCCAAGAATTTAAAGAAGCTAGCAAGTGAGTGTCCAAGTCAGGCTCTGAAGCCAGGTCTACCTGCTGTGTTCTCTCTGTGCCCTCCTCGTGCTTCTTGGCCAGAGACCCCTCCCCTATAAAACAGCAGTCAGGGAGCTGGGCACAGAGTTCAGGGAGGAGGACGGAAAGAGAAGCTCCAGTGACTTGGGGGCAATGCCAGCCTGGGCCGGACCCAGAAATAGTTCCAACAATTACTCGATCGTGTTTATTTAAAAACAAACTCTTATATAGCATTTACTACATGCTGGTTACTTTAACAAGCAGTTCACAAAAATTACCTCCTTTAATGTAATCCTTTTAACAACCTCTTATGCCCTGTATTATGGATGAAGAAATGGAGGCCCAGAGAGGCTAAATAAGTTGCCCAAGGCCACTCAGCTCTTCAGCGGCAGAGCCAGGCCTGAGGTTGCAGGGCCTGTGCTCCAGGCCTCTCCCCAGAAGGCTTCACCAGGGCTCCATTTATTACCAAGGCTCCAGCTACTCGTTCTCACGCTAATTATTTTCTACTCATCCACAATGAGCAGAATTTGCCATCTGCCACCAGCCCTGCTACTGACACCAGCCAACTCCCTGGGAATCAATTGAGGCCTTTCGTTTCCTGCTGGTTATTTTGGAAAGATGGCTGGCTGCTGGGGAGCGGGAAGTGAGGGCCAGGAGGGCAGCAGCACCCTTCCCTGGCGACCAGGCTGGGCCCTCCTCCTGCCCCCAGCCTTCCTCTGACCTCTCTTCCCAGGGGGATTCACATCAGAGCCCACTCAGTCCTGTGCTCCGACAATGTTTTCCAACAGTGGAAGGAGTCCCCCAGGCTCTGGCCAGACCAGGTCTGGCTTCTGGATTCTTCCTTGGAGATTATTCATTTTTCTGAAACTCAGAACAAGCCCTTGTCCCACACGTCCACATCCCCTCTGGAGAGGCCCAGACAGGCGGGTTCTGCTGGCCTCTGTGATGGGTGCGGCCGGGCAGCCTGGATCTCCAAGCCCTCACGCAAAGGCCGACACCGCCCCACACTGGGTGGCACCAGGCTGTTTTCTCCTGCCTGTCTGTGGGGAAGGGTGTCTGTGGTTTTCGTCCTTTCTACCTGCCCCGGTGGTCTTCTTGGTCAGTCCCCTCATGCCCTAACACGTCTTTACCCCACTCTCCCGGGAACGCGACTCTCTCAAAGGCATCGACTTGGAGGGGGTGGCCATCCAATGAGCTGACCGAGGCCTGCCTTCTGGCCCCAGAGCAGGGCAGCCCGAATTTGAATCTTAGTTCCATCACTTCTAGTTGTCTATGACTGTCACTTCACTGAGCGTCAGTCTCCTCATCTGTAAGATGGAATAATGAAGGTACTCACTTCATAGTGAGTGAGTCATGAGGAGTTAACGAAATAACGCACATAAAGTGCTCAGCTCTTAGAAAACAGGAGCTGCCATCATTGTGATTTAGTAACCATGTCTCCCCAGTGTGCGCAGAACCTTTACCTCACCTTGCATGGCAGGGGCAATAACTCTCCGCGATCTAAGTCAATCTTCCCAAACAGACAGGTGAGCAGGCTGACCCACACCTGCCCTCACCCTTCCAGCCTGCATAATCCTCTGACTTGCCTTCTTGGAAAGGGAGAGCTCCAACTCCTAGGAGCCCAGCACGGCCGCACTGGCACTGCCTCCTTTAATCCACAACCACCCAGGGAGAGGGGACCCAACACCCCTGGGACAGCTTGAGCCACAGAGTTCTCGCCCAAGGCCACAAGACTCTAGAACACTCCAAAGCCTGAGATCCTGCCAGGATGCCCCGCATCTATCAGCTTGCATGTTTGAGTTTCAGGGTGTCTCATTGCAGGCCCCTTCCCAGCTCAAACGCAGGATGCCCTGAGAGGTAGCGGTCCCCCCTCCCTTTAAGCCCATCTGCCCTTCCAGCTTTCCACTGGCCCCACCCTCTGCTCCTCCCCCCAGAGTCACCCCCTCTCCTAGGAGCCACTTGCTGGGACCTCACTCCCCAGATGGCCCCCCTGCCAGGCAGTTCATCAGCTCCCAGCACGAATCCCAGCGCTCTGGCTTCTCAGAACTTCCTTGAGAGGAGACTCCGTCTGGGTGCTGGCAACGCCTCAGTGAAGAATTAGTACCTTCCACTTCATTAGGGGCCCCCTAATGAAGCTGTTAATGATATGCTAAGTGGGCACACCTAGCCTGATGCCTCCCCTCTTGGGGCCCCCGCCCCCTTGCCCAGCCTACCCTGAGCCCTGGTCCTGCTGCCTCCTCTCCTCAGGCTGTGGGTTGGCCCTCGGGGTCTGGCTGGTGTGGGTGCCTGCTGCTCAAAGGTGGGGAGGCTTCGTGGGCCACCTCCCTAAGCTGCATGGCCATCTAGGGCACAGGCTGGCCAACTGGGCTATTGGGTTTCC
This sequence comes from Homo sapiens, assembly GCF_000001405.40. NCBI lineage: Eukaryota > Metazoa > Chordata > Mammalia > Primates > Hominidae > Homo > Homo sapiens. Next base: position 61,709,843 of record NC_000011.10, on the reverse strand, counting down.
CTTCGACTGTACCCCGGGCATCTCGGAAGCAAGCAGGGATCAAGTGACTTCGTAACAGGAGCTCTTTCCCCAGGGGAAGAGGTTCTGCAGAGCTCTAGTATGTGACAGGAAGGGCCAACATCCCCTGCCCCCACAGAGACTGGAGAGGGAGGTGGCACCTGCCACCACCAATGGCACACAGGCTGCAGCCCCGTCCCCTCCCTCTGTCACCCTCCTCTCCTTCTGTGCTCAATGAGGGGGATCTCAGTGCTCTTCAGTGGGTTTCCAGAAGCCCTCAGGGACCCCAGATGAGGGGAGGTGGCCATAGTGGGCAGGCTTCAGTGGGCTTGCAGGCAATGTCAACCACAGCAGCTTTCAGCTGCTCTGGATCACCTGAGGTCAGGAGTTCGAGACCAGCCTAGCCAACATGGTGAAACCCCGTCTCTACAAAAAATTAGCGGGGCGTGGTGGTGCATGCCTGTAATCCCAGCTACTTGGGAGGCTATGGCAGGATAATTGCTTGAACCGGGAGGTGGAGGTTGCAGTGAGCGAAGATTGCGACATTGCACTCCAGCCAGCCTTGGCCTCCCAAAATAGCTCTAGGTGACAGAACTAGACTCTGTCTCAAAAAACAAACAAACAAACAAACAAACAAAGTTTGAAAGCCACTAAGCAGGATATGCTCTCAGGTCCATTCTAGTCTGGACTTTTAGAGTTTTACTTGCAGAATGGCCAAGGAGAGAGCCTGGGGGCTACATACAGGTGCCTGAGCTCACACAATGATCACAGCATTTCCTCCCCTCGCCTGAGCCAGGAGGGCAAAAGGGGCCACAGAAAAAAGTCACTGACCCAGAAGCTTAGAGACCTGGGCCTACAGCTGACTATTCTGTCCTTCAGACCTCCCTATCCCCTCCCATCACCCCAGGCAGGGCAAAGCTGGACCCAAGCACAAGGCCTCCAGGAAGGGGCAGGGGCTCAGAAGGCCCCTGCTGCCGGGTGGAGGACAGGACTGGACCCGGCTTTGGTCCCAGTGCCTTGATTTACTCAAACGGCCACAGAGTTGTGACCTTCAATATACAACGCAGCCCTCTCCTCGTCTATAAAATAGGATGAGGATGATGACAGTGCCTCCCTCTTGGGGTGGCTGGGAGGACAAAGCGAGTTAAAAGTTGTAAAGTGTGAGGCTGGGCGTGGTGGCTCACGCCTGTAGTCCCAGCACTTTGGGAGGCCGAGGCGGGTGGATCACGACGTCAGGAGATCGAGACCATCCTGGCTAACACGGTGAAACCCCATCTCTACTAAAAAATACAAAAAAAATTAGCTGGGCATGATGGCGGGAGCCTGTAGTCCCAGCTACTCGAGAGGCTGAGGCAGGAGAATGGTGTGAACCCAGCAGGCAGAGCTTGCAGTGCGCCGAAATCACGCCACTGCACTCAAGCCTGGGCGACAGAGTGAGACTCCATCTCAAAAAAAAAAAAAAGTTGTAAAGTGTTGAAAGCAGGCTCTGGCTCAGAGGAGGAGATTGGTGACATAGAGCTTTAATTAAATCAACCCCCAAGTCGGGCGCGGTGGCTCACGCCTGTAATCCCAACACTTTGGGAGGCCTAAGCGGGCGGATGACTTGAGGCCAGGAGATCGAGACCAGCCTGGCCAACATGGCGAAACTCCATCTCTACTAAAAATACAAAAATTAGCCAGGCATGGTGGGGGGCACCTGTAGTCCTAGCTACTTGGGAGGCTAAAGCAGGAGAATCGCTTGAACCAGGGAGGCAGAGGTTGCAATGAGCCGAGACTGCGTCACTGCACTCCAGCCTGGGCAATAGAGCAAGACTCAGTCTCAAAACAATAAAATAAATAAATAAATAAATAAATACATAAATAAATTCCCTTCTCAAGAGCCTATTATGACTCCTAAATGCCCTTTAAATAAAATTAAAACTCCCAACCATTAGCTATAAAGCTCTCCACCAACCACACCCCTACCCCGCCCTGCCCAGCCCTGCCACCAGCACCCATACCCTCCACCTTGTCTGACTCTGTCCCTGCCGGCCGGGCACGCCCACTCCCAGCTCCTGTCTTTCCACCTGCTCAGCCACTGAGTGCACCCCATGCCCAGGCATTTCCTCCTCTCCAGATGGCCCCGCTTGCTTTGGGCACTCCGCCCCGACATGGCCTCCACAGCCTGCGAGGCCTGCTCAGTGCCTGTCCCAGCTGGCCTTCAGCCCCAGCCCTGGCAAACCAGCCCACAAATGACCAGGTAAGCCCGTGACCCACTTTCCTGCATGCTTCTGGTGTGTCTGCCTCACCTCCTCCATTACACTGTAGTTCCCAAGAAGACCCTGGCCTCCATCTGCCTCTCTCCCAGCCTGTGGGGGAATAGGCCAGGAGGCTCTGGGCAACATAGAGACTGGAAAGGAGAGGGGAGAACAGGCCTCCACGATGAGGGGAACCCCATCAGGCCCCTGACAAGTGCCAGCCTCTGCCTGCCCATGCCTGAGCAAGGCCACTGACCCACTCTGTTCTGGGTAGGTAAGTGCCCATCTGCTCGACCTCTGACCCCAGAATTTGGCATCACTTTCCTTCCCAAGAGACTCGCCCAGCCTTGTCACGCTGTCACTTCTGCGGCCTCTGCTTCCCGACCTGCTCAGGGTGTGGTGGGAGGTGGAGCTGGGGCCACATGCTCGGCACAGCCCCTCTGGCCCCAGTGGCACTTCACTCCCACTTCACGAGGACACGGCAGGGAGGGGGCGGGAGTTTGGCAGGGCTTCATCCCTGTCAACCAGGGGCTGGTGCCCTCGGCCCCCCTAACTATCCGCAGTGGGGAAAAGGCAGGCTCCCGCTAACCCCTGCTGGCCCAGGGGAGGTCAGTGAAGCTGCTGTAACTCCAGGGGATGAACCTTTCCGTGAAGGAGCTGACGGCAACGTCTGAGAGAGACCAGCAGTGCTAATGGGATGCCCAGCTGGGGCTGTCAAGCCAGACAAGGTCCTGGTGAGACCGGCAGAGGCCAAGGCTCCTGCCAGGCAGAAAGTGGCACCTCGTCTCCTCCAGGGTTTGGGGAGGCAATCTGATAATGCCTGCTTCCTCAGCAGGCCCAGTCCTAGGAAGACTCTGGGGTGGGGGTGGTGGTAAGGGAGTCAGCGAGAGCTAGGGGACCTCGGCGGGGTCAGCCTGCGTCACAGCTCATGCTGACTCCTCCACCTTCAGTGGCCGCCGGCTGCTATAAATACCACTCCTGTCTCTGGATGTTGTGGGAGGTGACCTAGAATCATGGGCTCTGAGGCCTCCTGGGTGCACCCCCCGCCTGTTTTAGACAGAGCCTGACGACCAGAAAATCCTCACAGGTTAGAGCCCACCCCCAACCACGAGCAGGGCCCTCGGCCAGCAGATAAAACCCCAACACTGAGGGAGATGGCTTCCAAACCTAGAGCTTCCTCCAACTTGCACCTCGACATGTTCATGGGTGGGGTGCAGACACCAGGTCCCTGGGAGCAGAGCCCTGGCCAGCCCAAGACCCGAAAGAGACATGGCACCCAGGGCCATTGGCTCAGCCTGAGACCTGCTGCCATTCATTCTCCTCCATGCCCACTGCCCTCTGGAGCCCAGCTCAAGGGTGAAGGCTCCAAAGCCATTTGATCCTGAGTCCCTTCCCCGCCCCCAACTTCTCAGTCCTACGGTTGTCCTCGATTCTTGATTCAGCCTGGTTTCCAAACTTGTCACCACCCTGGAAGCCTCCCTGGGGTGTACTCTACTTCGAAAGGGGCCCTGTTAGACTGTTCTGCAGTTGCTCAGATGAGTCCTTGACGATTTCATTCTTCCATTTGGTAGCACGCTTCTGAGTGAGCCCTTCCCTCCTCCAGAGATCCCAGACAGGCCCAGGCCTCAAACCCCAGGCTGGGCTGGCCCAGGAGCAAGGACAGGAGGTGGTCCTGGCCTCGGCAGGTGTGAAGACACCAACACCCACAGATGGCCAGGGCTTGGTTCCAGAGTCCCTGGTTTAGGGCAGGGGCAGGCTCTCAGAGTAGAAAAGGCTGGAAACAGCCCTGAGGGTGGGCCCTGGGTGGTGTGAACACAGGTGAAATCTGGTTAAAGTCAAGTTAGTGCATGCAGCCATTCTCCATCCATCCACAAATCACCAGAGTGCCTACTATGTGCCAGGGATTGGGTGGATGGTGACAAAAGCCGACATGGTGCCAGCCCTTATGGAGCCTGCAGACCAGAAGGAAAGAAACTTCAAGTGAACCTTCACATACAACAAAGAAAAATCCTCTGACACGTGCTCAGGCGGGGAGGCTGCCTATAGAACTAGGAGCTGGAGCTGTTTCTGAAGGACTAGCAGAGGGAAGCAACCACAGGAGAGAGCAGAGCGGAACAAGCACTGGAGGATACCCTCGGCAGCAGGGCCTGGATGTGAGGACAGTGGAGGCCTGGAGGATGGAGAAAAGGCCAGAGTCAGGCCAGCAGAGAGGAGGCCAAAGCAGGCAGGCTGGCAGGGCCAGGCCCTGGACTCTGAGCCTGGGAATGACAAGCCAAGGTGGGTGCGAGGGTGAAGAGAAGTGGGTGGCCCAGATGGAAATTCAGCAGACAAAATGGGGACAGACAGGGCAGGTATTAAGGATGTTTACTGCTCGCTGTAACACTGGCGCTGTCAAAGACGACCCCAGCTGTCTGGCCCGTGCAATTGGGCGGGCAGAGGGGGCACTGGATCCCAGAGGAACGCCTTGAGAACGGAGGCCTGGGGCTGCCCATCCCACCCTCAGAGCAACAGCTCCGGGAGTCAGCCCTGGGCTCTGTGAACACAGGTGAAGTCTGTGTCCTCCCCCTCCCCCCAGTCTCAGCTCAGCCCAGTCCCGAGCTCAGGCGAGCCCGGGCACGGCAGGTCAGGATGTCAGTCCAGGAGTCCCACTCAGGAGCAGTCAGTGGGCTCTGCTCCCACCGCTGAGGGTTCCCAATCATGTGCTTGAGGGGGTTTGAGGCATTTCTCCTGAACATTCAGCTCCCCACTCTTCCTGCCATCCGGGCCCGACCATGAATAGGACTACGCAGAGGAGCTCTCAGAGTTAATTCAACCTACTACAGGAGGGGAATGGAAAGAGGGTCTCTGTATGCCAGTCATCCACTCTCCCAACCACATGTTGGGGCTCAGAAAATGGTACCCCAAAGTGAACGCCTCACAAACAGCCTCAGAAGCAAAGCTTTTCTCTGAACATCTCCTGCCTTCCTGTCTCTATCCCTTACTCTCCCGACACAAACCACAGAAACTAGAATTCTCTTCCCCACCCCTCACTCTCCCCAGAGGCAAGCCATAGAAACTAGAATTCCTCTTTCCCAAGGCAGGTCACAGAAACCAGAACTCCTTTCCCCTAAAGCCACCCATAAAACCTAAAAGTATTAGCCTTCTCCTGCCTTTCTGCGTAAGAGCTGGCCATAAAGAAATCCTTTGGTCGGGCAGGGCACAGTGGCTCACGCCTGTAATCCCAGCACTTTGGGAGGCTGAGGCAGGCAGATCACCTGAGGTCAGGAGTTCGAGACCAGCCTGGCCAACATGGTGAAACCCCGTCTCTATCAAAAACATAAAAAATTAGCTGGGCATGGTGGCACGCGCCTGTAATCCCAGCTGCTTGGGAGGCTGAGGCAGGAGAATCTGTTGAACCCGGGAGGCAGAGGTGCCATGAGCCGAGATCGTGCCATTGCACTCCAGCCTGGGTGACAGAGTGAGACTCCATCTCAAAAAAAAAAAAAAAAGAAATTCTCTGACCTACTTTGTTTGATAGTAGATCATAAGACCCCCACTCAGAATCCTGCCCCATACCCTGAAGGAAGGAATGCAGCACAGAGAGGCCAAGAAGGATCTGAGAGCAGGCCTTGCTGGGTTTCCCCACTCAGTCTGCTCCCATGGGGTCTTACTCTTTGTGTCCAATCATAGCTCTTCATAGTTGCCCATTCCTCCTCAAACTTAAGCATAAAAATGGAGTTTCCCTGGATCTTTGGATCTTCATTCTGAAGGCTCCCATGTCACGTAAAACTTTGATTAAATACATTTGTTATGCTTTCCTCTTGTTAACCTGTCTTTTGTTACAGGAGTGTTGCCTATGACCCTCATGATGGGGAGAAAAGGGATCACCCCATAGCTGCACCTACAATCCATTCATCCATCCATCCATCCATCCATCCATCCATCCATCCATTCCTCCATCCTCCATCTACCCACTCACCATTTCCAGTCATTCTACACTGTTCATCACACTTAGAAAGCCCTCTCCCTCTTACGTTGGCCTGCCAGCCCTGTGGCCTGGCCTCTGCCTGCCCTCACCAGCCTCCCAGGCACCCTGGCCTTCTCTCTGTTCTTGCAACAGGCCAGGCGTGCCGAACGCCTTTGTCCTCACTCCTCCTCTAGCCTGGAGAGAACCCCAACCCCACCCCCACCCCCAGAGCTTTGCGTGGCTGGCTCCCTCCTGTCATTCAGCTCCTAGCTCAAACATCCCCTCCTGGGACCTGCCTGCCAAATCTTAGGTACCCCAAGCGCCCCCATCATAGGACTCAGTTTTCCTATCAGCACTTCTCACCATCTAAAGTTCTGGTGAATGTGTTTACCATCTGGCTCCCTCCACCAGGGTGTGGCTTCTCAGGGGAGGGGTCTCGCCTGTTTTCTTCCTTGCCAGGTTCCCTGCACTGAGTAAAGGTTTGGCAGGTTGGGGGAGCTCACCACGTCCCTGCTGCCTGAAAGAGAAACCATTTCGGAGCACGGCCTGAGAAGGACAGAAACAGGAGAACGTAGGAGCCACAGCAGAGCTGCACCCAGAACCCAGGGCTCCTGACTCCCAGCCCTGGCCTCTTTCCACACCATCTGCTGGCCATGCCTGGGATCCAAAGCCCTATCCTGAACTGCCCACATATGCAACTTCACTGGCTACCAACGACCACGCTGTGGGCGAGGCAGGGAGGAAATGTGGCATCTTCATTTTACTGATGAGGCAACTGTGGCAGGAAGGGGCTGTGGGTGATTTGCCTGTGGTAATGCAGTGAGTGGTCCTGCTACTGGAGGGCTCCCTAGCATTGACAAGCCTGGCTTCCCTCTACCTCCCTATGCATCTGGGGCCGTGTGACTTGCGTCCACCTCTGTACAGCATCCTGTGGGAGGGAGGGCGCACCTCCAGGAAAGAGCACAGAAAGCTACGTTCTCAGGATGCAGCCAGGAGACTGAAGCCCTCTCCCAACCGGGGGCCCAGAGGGCACCTCAGCCATGGCCTGGCTATAAGTGAGAAGGGGAAGGACCTGGGGAAATGACTTCTCTTCTAAGAGACTCAGTGTCTTCATCTGGAGGATGAGGGGGTTGACCAGATGATCTCTAATTTCCCTAGGATCCACTTTTACCCCCATCCCCCAATGCTCAGTTTATAAGGGTCTGCAGCCTCTGGCTCAGGAATATAATCCCACAGAAGACTCGGAGCCTTAAGGTGCTATCATCTTTCTCACCCACTTTCTTCTGGGCCCCAACATTGTCCTGGAGGTAGAGAGGCCAGGAATTTGCACACCATGGCCCAGTGCTTTGATGATCCCCACTTTTGAAATCTGTCAGAACTAAGTTCGAAACCTAACATGTTCAGCTTGTAATTATCAGAGTTAAAGACAGAGAGAGAGAGAAAGAGAGAGAGAACCTAACATGGGCTAGCTGTGGGGGCTCACACCTGTAATCCCAATGCTTTGGGAGGCCGAGGCTGGAGGATCACTGAGGCCAGGAGTTCGAAACTAGTAAGAACCCATTTTTACAAAAAAAATTTTTTTTAATTTAGCCAGATGTGGTGGTGCATGCTTATAGTCCCAGCTACTCAGGCAGCTGACGCAGGAGAATTACTTGAGGCCAGGAGTTTGAGAATAGTTTGGGCAACATACGGGGAACCTGTCTTTATTAAAAAAAAAAAAATTTATCTGGGCATGGTGGCACATGCCTGTAGTCCTAGCTACTCAGGAGGCTGAAGCAGGAGGATCACTTGAGCTGGGGAGTTCCAGGCTGCTGTGAGCTGTGATTGCAAAACTACATTGAAGCCTGGGTGACAGAGCAAAACCCTGTCTCTAAAAACAAAACAAGAAAACCTAACCCCCCACTGACTGCCGCTGTGTGACCTCAGCAGGCTCGGGGGTGAGACTCGGTAAAGGGCAGGTTTTCGGGGTCCTCATCCACCCCCTTCCCTGTGACACAGAACTGCCCTTTGCCAACTTCCCTCGAATGTGAGAACAAACAAGATATACTGAGGGTTCCTTAGAGGAAGGCACTAGAACAAGCCTCAGCAATACTCCTTCCCTTTAAGCAGAGCCTTGGGCCCCTGCGCGCACACATCCCCACCACATGGGGGCTCATCGAATCCCGGCTGCTTTCCTCCTCCAGGTTCGTACAATCCACGAGACCAGAGGAAGACAGCAGGTGCCTGAGACATGCCCGAGCCTCGGCAGCTTCCCTACCTAGAGCAGAGGGAGAGGCGGGCAGCAGGCATGCAGTAGGGCTGGGCCTGGCAGCGGAGAGGCTGGCTCCTAGTCCCCATGGCCCCTCAGAGCCCAGCCTCCTCTCTGCTCTTCTGGGGCCTTGGTAGGACACATGAGATCACGTCTGGGCGGTGCTCAGGGCGTCTGAGAGAGAAAAGGCCCAAGGGATGGAGGTGGGATTAATTATGTATTAGCACGCTTCTTTATTAGCACTTCTGTTTACTGCAGGGCACAGTGGAAAACACATGGGGCTTGGTGTCAGAGAATCCAGGCTGGACATGGGGCCTGGCCATTCAAGAGGTGTGGGCAAGTCACAACCTCTTTGGGCCCCGGTTCCGGGAAAAAGGGGATGAACAACATCTGAGCGATGCTGGAGAAAGCATGACACAAATCAGATTTCCTCACCTGTCAGTGGGATTGCAAGAACACCAGCCTCCCAGCATCGCTCACTGTGAGGTGGCCAAGTGCCTGGCCCGGGGCCACATGTGAGTGACATGCAGGGGGTCTCGTTGCTGGAGGAGCAGGGAGGTGCAGGGTGAAAGGCCTGAGGATCGGGCTATTGGCAGTGCCGTTCAGGCTGGCACTCTCTGGGTGTGTCCCAGGTGGGTATGCTGGGCCAGCTCTCCTTAGGCAGATACCCACAGCAGCAAGAGAAGGAAGGGGCTGTGCAGGACTGCAGGGAGGGAGGCACCCGGCTCCTTGCCTGGCTAATGCAAGCCTCTCTTTGGGGTCCCAGCTGTGGGAGAGAAAGGGCTCCCTCTTCCCTAGGATGCCAGATCCATCAGCAGCTAATTATCTAATCTGTTCCCCTTGGCCTGAGGACCACGATCACAGGCTCAAGGAGTCACTGGCCATGAGCTGAATCTGACAGAAAAGGACGCTTGCAGGCCACACCCTCAGGAGGGCAGGTGTTGGGGAGGCAGGTCCAGGGCTTCCGCCTCCAGGGCTGGCCCAGAGGCTGGAGAAGTCCAAGTTCAAGTTCCTGGGGCTGACTCATCAGAAAGAGGGTGAAGAGAAGGTCAGGGCAGGGACTGGTTGAATCAAGACAGGCTCTCCTTGCAGGAGGGCCTGCAGACAGGCTGCTGCAGAAAAGGAAGGCGCAGACGTGTCCATAAATACTCCCAGATTCAGTTATGTGCTCCTCTGCCTCCTGCCATACAAAAGTCTCACTGATGCATCCCGTCACCCCCACAACCCAGGACCAGTGCCCCAACAGGAGGGCTCTGGGGGCCTCTCCAGCTCCTTACTGACAGTCCGGCTGCTGCTGCCGCTGCCCTGGCACGCCAGGCATGCCAGGCCCAGGCACTGCCAAGTCACATGCTCTGCGCGGGCGAGGCCGGGCACTGCTGGGGCAGCCTTGGGGATGCAGGGTGGTGTGGCATTCGCAGGCAGTGTGGGTCTGCAGAAAAACGGAGTGCCCAGAGGCAGCCGGCCACCTGCCTGCCACCCTCCCCAGCCCCACCCTCCTTCCAGGGGAGAAATCCTTGGGCAAACAGTCAGCCAGGTGTGAGCAGCACAGCTAATGCAGGGCTGGGAAAAGCAAACACGGAGGGCCTCCATGCTGTGGGCCCGCTGCCCTATGGGGTGGCATTCGGGTGGCCCTGCCCACAGCTGCCATTGGTGTCCCCAGCACTCTGCCTACAGTATTTGGAGGGTCTTCCAGGATGAATGCTTTGGCCTTCCCTCCACTGTACTCCCCGGAGGGGCCTGACTGTGAGGTGACAGAAGCAGCGCAGGGAAGAACAGGCAAGGCATGAGTCTGCAAAGGGTGAGGCGGACCTAGGCCTGGAGTCTCTGCTGGGCCATGCCTTGGCTGGGTGACTTGGAGCAAGTCAAAGGACCTCAGGGCCAGGGATGCCCACCGCACATGGCCTTTGTGAAGGTTAAATGGGATGAGGCCCATGTGGGACCACTGAGAAAGGATTTGGCACAGAAGAGGGTCTGGATATGTGGGTGCTCAGCTTAGTGCCACCTGTGGGTGTGGGGTGGAGCCAGGGCAGGTCGCAGTAGGAGAGGCAGTGCCATGGAGGTCTGGCCCACACACTCTCCCAGGGCATGCTCACCTGGCTGATCTGTGACCCCCTGGCCTTAGCTCCAGGGCAGTAAGGCCAACACCAGACTTCTGGCCTGTGGCTGCAGGGCCAGCCAGGAGGGAAGGATGGTCCAGTTCTATTCTACCAGCAGGGGCTGCTGCGTCTACTGGCCCCAAACTCAGGGCAGAATTCCCCCCAACTGAGAAAGGCCTGTTCCCCCAATGGCTCCCATCCAGGGCTTCAGCTTCAGGCTGGCCCCCACCCATACGCAGCCAGAGGAGGCCCTGTCTTTCTGAGGGTGCATAGCATGTCCTGCTTTCTCTGCTCTGCTGTGCACCACAGTTGAGCGTGCTCTGCAGGCGGTCTGCATGCCTCTGTGCCCTTGCACAGTCTGTTCTCTTTGCCCAAAAGGCCTTTTCCAATCCTGCTCCCCTGGGAACTCCTCAGTGTTCCAAAGCTCAGCCTAAACACAACCTCCTCTGTGAAGCTGCCAGGGCCCGCCAACCCCCAAGGGCAGACCTAATCAGTGCCCCCTCCATTCCGGGCTCCCCACTGGGCTGGGAGCTCCAGGAGGGCAGGGCTACACTCTGCATCTCTGTGTCCTTGGCACCCAGCACCACGCCTGGTGCCTAGCAGCTGCTCAAGAAATGTCAGACAAGGCCCCCGGGCCAGCTCCCTTGCTCCTCTCAGATCATGCTGCCGGCACATTTGGCCAAAGAGACTCAGAGATGGCATGTGGGAAGCAGGGTAAGAGTGAGCTTCCCCAGGGAAGCAGGTGGGGTACGAGGTTTCCTTTCCTTTGGAAACTGTCCGTGCTACGTGCACCAAGCTTCACCCACTATCAGAAGTGGCTCTGGAGGCTTGCAGGCTGCCTCCCCATCTCCAAAAGCAGAAACCAAAGTTAGCAGGGGGGTGAGCAAAGGAAAGGGAAGTGCACCGGAACTGCAGAGAGAAAGGCAGTTGTGGCTGCCATCTGCTGTGAGCAAGATGTTTGGAGAACATGCGCTCCTCATTCTGAGGTCTCCCAGCCAACTTGCAGAGAGCTGGGCCGCCCCTCTGCAGATGGGAGCCTGCAGCTCAGCCAAGCTGCAGAGGCACCACAGGAGAGATGTCAGGGACCCTGCCTGCCTGCCCTGACCCTCTGGCTGGCCCAGTCTGACCTTCTGATTCTTGAGCAGACTGGGGGCCAGGATGCCAGCCCAGGACAAGAGTCACACTGCCTTTTCCAGGGAGCCCCCAACAGGCTCTGAGAAGGCAACTCCACAATAAGGCTGATGATAATGTAAACATAAGGGTGATAAGGGCAGTAGTACCAGCCATTGCTCACTGAGAGCCCAACTAGCTGCCAGAAGACCTGGTACTGGGAACTTCCAGTCATTATCTCACTTTGCCCCATGACTCCCAGGGGAGGAGGAAATGGAGGGTCCAAGAAAGGGCCCTGGCACTGCTCCTCACTGCAGAGACACCTGGCTACCCAGGGCCATCACAGGAGGAAATTAGCTGGGCATGGCAGGGCATGCCTGTAGTCCCAGCTGCTTGGGAGGCTGAGATGGGAGGATCACTTGAGCCCAGGAATTCGAGGCTGCAGTGAGTGCACTGAGCTATGATTGTACCACGGCACTCCAGGCTGGGTGACAGAGCAAGACCCTGTCTAAAAAATAAAAAAATAATAAAAATAAAAAAAAACAGGAGAATATCTGAGTGGGAAGGAACCTCTGAGCCACTGAGTCACAAATGCTCATTTGAGGGAGGAAGGTGAGGAAGGATGTAGACAGCTGCCCCAGGCCACATCGAGGTCAGCAGCAGGCTGGGAGCAGAACCTGGAACCCTGCCCCACAGCCCAGGCTCCTGGGGCCTTGGTGTGCTCCTGCGCAGGAATGGCTGCTGTCCTCCTGTCCTTGGCACCACCTGGGGCTCAGCCACGTGTGGCCATTCCCCCAAGCAGAGCGATGCATTTCCGAGGACTGAGGTAATGCTGGCCTTGCCTGGAGGGCCCATCTCAGTTTAGGCCAGGCCTTCCCTCGCCCTGGCCCGGCTTCTATGCTCCTGACCACAGCAGCGGGCCAAGCTCAGGAGGCTGGGTAGGGTTGGGCCTACCAACCACATTCCTTTCCAGGGCCACCTTACCCTGGGGCTACCCACAAAGGAATTTGCACAGCCAACAGCCTCATCAGAGTCACTGGAGCTGTCCATGGCACTGGGGCACAGAAACCGCTTCATTTCTCACTGGCCAGGTGAGCAGGTAGGGGGCTGAGAAGTCTGCCTGCCAAGACCGAACCATGCCAGGGTCCTGAATGTCGCCCTGTGCCCTCAGCCCTGGCAGGCCAGTCCCCAGAGGCTACCATCCCCTGCTATGCCATCCCAGGGAGGTCATGGGTGACCTCCCTCCCCTTGGCGATAGGAAGGTGAGGATCTTGGGGCAAACCACCCAGATCCACACCTCCCATCCCACCCCACGCAGCTCTGCTGCCACTGCCCCCACAGGCCAGCTCACAAGCCGCACACTCCACATTTCTGTCTGCTCAGTCCTCCCCCAGCCCCCTACACACGGTAATTGCAACACCTCCACCCCACTGACAGTGCCTGCCGCTGCCTGCTCGCTGCCAAGGAGGCTGGGATGGCCCAAAGATGTGCTTCACGCAAACCTTGCTAGGGGAAGGGACTACAGTTTTCCCCTTTTCTCCAAGGGGTCTTTGGATCCGGGTGCTGACCCCACTTCCTGCCTCTCACAGCTCCCCACCCCACCCCACCCCACCCCCAACCCCGGGTCGCCCAGTCTGTGAAATGCCTCTTACTCTGGGAGGGATGGAGGGAATCAATGGCTTCCCTATTCTCCTGCCTCTCCCACAGGGGAAGGGGAGGGGAGGCATGTGGCCCCTGGAGGGATCTTTCAGGGAGCGCCCCGGCCCCACTGCTCCTCCCCGCTGGGAAGTGGGGGTGGTGTCCTTGACGGACGGACGGCTGGGCGTCAGGTCCACTGGGAGTGGAAGGCAGGCAGCCAGGGTAGTGGGCACCTCCACCCCCACTCTCCCGCTCCCAGGACTCCATGGGAATCGCTGTCACTATCCAGACACCTTCACAGAGAACTCATGCCTAGGCTGAGGCACAGCCAGGCCGAGGGTGAGTCAGCCAGGGAAATCCCGGCACTGGCGCCCACCGCTGGTGACGGTTCCGCTGACACCTACGGAACGGGGTGCCCAGCCCCTCCCGCAGAGGGTGAGAGGAACACCCAGGCTCCCCCACTCTCATTTCCTGCTCCCTGAGAGCAAGCCTGGTGGTGGGGACAGGGAGGAGTCTCAGTGGGGGCGGAGTCCTGGAGCGAGGCCTCCGCAGGCTGCCGTCTTTGGGCCTCTGGTCCCTCACCCTTGAACATCAGCGGGGAAGGAGGTGGGAGAACGGTCACCACAGCCCCTGGGCTCTGGCCCGGAGCCTGTCATCCACACTCTGGGTATCTGGCTTTCCAGGGTCTCACCGGGGCACGCAGGGATGCACACCCTACCTCATTCCTGAAGGGCCCTGCCCCTGCCCTCCTTCCAGGCAAGGCCACTGCTCTGCCTGAGCCCAGCACCCCCACTATATGCTGTCCTGGACCCCAAAAAGGCAAGATAGAGAGCAGACTTAAGCCAGAAGTCAGTACCCTCCCTGGGATGAAAGAGAGAGAGGAGGAGCAAAGAGGAGCCAAGAAGAACAGAAAGCCAGGCACAAAGCCTCCTTACAGCAGGACATTCTGTCCCTGGAGAAGCGCCTGTGGCCAGGTCCCCACAAACTCGCCAGACCAGTTGGCTGGAGCGGGGTGGGAGGCTCAGACCAGGGCCAGAGAGTGGACCTAGGACCTGAAAGCTCCCAGACAAGAAGCTCCCACTGCTCCTCCCCGCTGGGAAGTGGGAGTGGGTTGGACTCAGCAGGCCCTTAGGCAGGAGCTTCTGGGGACATGAACTCGAGGATGCCAAGCCCTATCCTCAAGTAGCTCACAGTGCAGAATAACAAGGAAACCGGGGCGGGTCAGTGAGCACAGAGCTCCGACACTGATGCCTGGACCACTGCTCAGCCCCAGGCAGACAGAGAAAGCTTCCTAGAGGTGCCTGATGGTTGAACAGAAAGAGCGGGGAAAGCAAAGCTGGCTCCCCTCCTCTTGCCCCTCCTCCCACCCGGTTCCCCAGAGCCTGTGGGCAGATGCACCTTGTGCAGGGCCAGATTCCAGCCAGCAGGGAGGCTGGGCACCACTTTAGCTCCCAACCCTGCCTCTCAGTTGCTGGCAAAGGTAGTTTCTGCAGGCTCCCTGGGCTAGGAAAAACACGCTTGCGAGTACACAGAGAGGGCCCGTGGGGCTGCTTCCTGGAATCACCAGAACACAGGTGCTTGGTGCTCCCCAGGCAGAGCCCCTCCACTGGCGGGGAGACGTGCACATGTTTGGGTTTTGCCAGGCCCCCAGCTTTTATCTTCCAGGCTTCCCCTCTCCATGGTTCTTCCTGAAGACCAGGCCTCTCGCTCTTCCCAGGCAGGGAAGTGGGTAATGCGAGCGATCCAGAAACCCAACTATTACTTTGAAAGAAGACTGAAAACATGTGACCGCATGAATCCCATGGGTTTACTTCAATGTCTTTAAAACAAATGACTTGAATGGATTTCTCCCACCCTTCCTCCCCACGGAGCCACTCGATGGAAAACAGCAGCTCAAAGGGCCACAGATTCAGGGCTGCCGGAAATGGGGTATCAGACACAAAGCCTGGCAGGGGGCACTTGAATAAAGGCAGCTTTGGCCAGGAAAGGATGAAAGGCAGACACCTGACAACTGACAGGCAGCCGGCGCAGAGGCACAAAGGGTGCACGTGAGGCCAATGTCAGGTCCAAGCACACCCAGGCACCCCGGCCCTCTGCTATGGGTGGTGGATCGCTCTCATGTCCCAGCATTGGTCTCCCTTCCTCCTGCCACAGCATGGAAGCCTGGCTGTGGGGACAGCAGTGGCCTTGCTCAAGCCCTTGACTGGAGAGCCCTGCCCTGAGCAGCCATTTACGCGCAAACTCACTGGGTAGCTGGAACACACAGGTGAGGTCTTCTTGGGCAGCAAAAATTGCTTAGAAAAAAACAGGCAAGGAAGCAGGACTGAAGACATGTGACAGTCCCCAGAAGTTCAGAGCTGGAGAGGCCCAGGGAACTCAGATGCCACGCCTCCCTGATTCCCCGAATCCTACAGATGAGTACCCTAAGCTCATAGAGGAATGCTGACGTGCCAAGGTCACACAGCTTTGGGCCTCTGCCCCATCCTTGGCTGCCTTCCCAGCCTCATTCATGCAGCCATTACTCTCCGAGCATATCCTATGTGCCTAGACTCTGGAATTTAGATTTAGTCACCTAGGTGATGCCAAACTAAACTTGGCCTCAGAGGTTTGCAAGCTGGGGGCTTCCCACCTCTCAGCTGTCCCCTCCCCACCCTCTCCTCTTATGTAAAATGGGAGGAGTGCTGGGCATCATCAGGGAAGACTCAAAGCAGAGAGGAAGTAAGAAAGCGGGAGAAGCGGTGTGAAGCCCTGGGGATCATCAGCCATACCCTGGAGGTGAGGGAGGCGATGGTGAAAGTCACCCCAGTGGGGGAGTCTGGGCTGCCCCTGGCTGCAGGAGCCTCACCTCAGGCAGGGCAGGTGCACTGTGACCGGGGACCCCAGACCAGACACGCTGACTTATGCATAAGAAAAAGACTTATCTTTGGCCGGGCATGGTGGCTCATGCCTGTAATCCCAGCACTTTGGGAGGCCGAGGGAGGCGGACCACAAGATCAGGAGATCGAGACCAGCCTGGCCAATATGGTGAAACCCGGTCTCCACTAAAAATACAAAAATTAGCTGGGCATGGTGGTGGGCGCCTGTAGTCCCAGCTACTCTGGAGGCTGAGGCAGGAGAATCGCTTAAACCCAGGAGGCAGAGATTGCAGTAAGCCAAGATTGCACCACTGCACTCTGGCCTGGACAACAGAGTAAGACTCCATGTCAAAAAAAAAAAAGAAAGAAAAAGAAAAAGACTTATCTTTTTATTACAAAAATACAAGTTCTCTATAGAAAATAGAAACTAGCTGGGTGCAGTGGCTCATATCTGTAATCCCAGTACTTTGGGAGGCTGGATCACCTGAGGTCCAGGAGTTCGAGACCAGCCTGGCCAACATGGTGAAACCCCGTCTGTACTAAAAATACAAAAATTAGCCAGATGTGGTGGCGGGCACCTACAGTCCCAGATATTTGCGAGGCTAAGGCAGGAGAATGGCTTGAACTGAGAAGGCAGACCGCACCACTGCACTCCAGCCTGGGCAACAGAGTGAGACTCAATCTCACCAAAAAAAAAAAAAATAGAAACCAAAAAGAAGAAAATATAAATCACCCATGATCCCTCTAGGAAAACTATCAACTATTAACATCCTTCTAGTCTTTTTTTTCCTCCATCTAATTGTGGGACCATTCGGCATCTACCATTTTTTTTTTTACTGAACTAAAAGGTGAGCACTTCTCCTTAAACATTTTCCTACCGCCATCTTTCCTCATTATTGTGGAGTAGTCCACATACAAGATGTACGGAAGTTCATTCAACCAACTCTCTACTCGGGGATGTTGGGTTGTTTCCCTCTTCTCGGTGTGAGAAAACCCCACAGCTGGGCCCCAGGCAGAGTGGCTCTGGGGTCCTGGGCTTTGGTGACAGGATCCTGCAGGAACCCGGAACTCCTGACCCCAGCCTGGTGTTCCTTCTCCCCCTGGCAGATGCAAAGGTTTATGCATAAAGGGTGGGAGTGGGGAGCGGGGATTCTGCCCTTCTTCCCATCTCTCAGGCAATGAGTGGTCGCCAGTAACTCTCAAACTTATGCAGACTCCCAGGCCCCGCCCAGCAATTCTGAATCAGTAAGCCCAAGGCAGGGCTCAGGAACCTATATTTTTAGGTTCCAAGTTCTACCATGGCCAACCCCAGGAGACTCTGAGGCTGGAGTTAACCAATCTACACTCAGAAATCCTGCTCTGAAGGATGAGTCCTGGCCAGGACTGCTCAAGTGTGCATAAGCAGAACTTCCAGAGCTGGCTGCAGGCTCCCCTCCCAGCGATTCTGATGTGGAGGAGGGTGGTGGTGAAGGGATGCTGAGATGCTGCATTTCTAACCTGGTCCCAGGTGATGCTGAAGCTGCCGGCTCATGGGCCACGTGGGCACCTGTGCAGGCCCTGGGTTCTGCCTGGACGTACGATCACAGCAGGCTCTAATGCACTGACTATGGGTCAAACACTGCCCTCCAGACTCAAGGTGAGGTGTGCTCCAGGGCCTGCAGCAGCAGCATTATTGGGAGTTGTTAGAAATGCACATCTGGGCCCAGCCAGCCTAAACTGGAATCTGCGTTGGCAAGCTCCCCAGTGATCTGTGTGCCCATCAAAGAAGCACGATGCTGAGTCTGTCACAAGCCAGCATCATCTCATGTCACCTCCTAACACTCCTCAGAGGCCAATTATTCCCTGATTTTACAGGTGGAAACTGCAGCTGAGAGGTGAAAGGACCTGGTTAAGGACTCAAGACTACCCCCAGCAGGAGCTGCAACAGGCAGCCAGACCGTCTGGCCTGAGTTCTCAACCCTACATCCCAACACCCCCTGCGGTTTCCCATTCAATCACCACCAGCACTCCAAGGTGGGTTCACTCCACTTTATGGAGACTCGAGGAGGTCAAATCAACTGCTCCAAAGCGCTCCCTGGAGCATGGTGGAGCCTGCCCCTGTGGCTGTGTTTGTTCCCTCTCAGCCCACTCTGTCTGCGGGCACAGAGCCAGAGCACAGGGCCAGGTTGGGTTGGGGGGGGTCCCACCTCCAAAGGCTGCAGGCTCTGCAGACACAGTTGGAGGCAGGAAGTGGGAACTCGGGCGGAAGAACCAGGAGCTCGATTTGGGCTGAGGATATTCTTTCTTCACAGCCAGACTCAGTTTTGTGTGCCTTTTGAAAGGAGACAGAGAATAGCTGTGCTCAGCCCAATGAGGCCAGCCACTTTCAACCTTCTTGTTGTTGCCATTTCCAATTACAATTTCAGAGGGTTCCTATAATTTATACATCCCAGGATGCACTGCTCCAGCTGCTTTATGATGGGAGTTCATTACACCATTAAGGTTAAACTTTTATAAAGCACTGAGCAGCTGGTGGGCTGGGTGCCCAGCTTTGTTATTGCTGCCGGAAGCCTGCTGAATAGGGTTCACCTGGGGAAGGGAGGGATTAAAGGGGCGAAGAAATGGAGCAGGCAGCTGCTCAGGTGCCCCGAGCCCTCCATTAGGCTGTGTTCTAAACTGCATGGTGTAGCAGGCAGCAAAGAGAACAATCTGGAGTGGCACTGGCAGGGGCGTGTGGGGTGAGAGGAGCCATGCTGTGCGAGCCTGAAAGCCGCCTGCCACGGCCGGCGAGGTACAGGGTCGGTGAAGGTCGGTTGGACAACAGTGGGAGTAACAAGGTGGTGCAAGCCACAGATGGGTCTACATGTGGGGAGCGGCGAGGGCTTCCTGGGAGCGGGGCCTGGCCTTCGCAGCAAGAGGATAGCCAAAGGGGGCCTTCCTTTTGTGGGCGGCTGTTCCTCCCGTGGCTCACAGAATCCCCAAACCCCATGCCAGGTGAGGGGAATGTGCACACCCTGAGAGCAGGGGCCAGACAGACGGAACCTGAGTCCCAGCTACAAACACGCAGCCTCTAACAGATTCCCTCAATTCCCCAAGGAAGCTGAGGTCCTAGACTTGGACCCCTGCTGTGAAACGAGTGCTTCCTCCATGGGTGCCATGGGACTGTCCTGAGCACAGAGCCTAGAGGGGTGAGTGTCTAGAAAATGGAAGCCATCACTGTTCATTGCATTAAATGTGTCCCTACACATAAAGCACTGTGTAGCAGAGAGGACTCACCACATAGCTTTTGCCATTGTGGCTGCTGGTAGAGTGGTAGTGTCCGCTTATGCCAACCCAGGAACTCCCTCAGGACGAAGTGATACCATTATTCCCAGCTCCAGGCACAAGGCTTGGCAAGTAGGTGCTCAATAAATGTCCTTGAATAAATGGGGAGATGGGAGACTACACGTGGCAAAACTATTATCTGCTCCACGGTCTGGCCCCAGTCCCAGCGAAGGTGTCAAAGGAGAAGCAAGTTCTTTTCAAAGGTATGAAACTGAAACAACCCTTAAGAAAAATTCCTTAAGTTCCTAGGGGGAAAGAGACTTGGATACGGCTGGTGTTCTGGCCCTGGGGGTGCACTGGGGCTGACTCTGGCCCTGCAGCCCAGGAGAGTTTGCGGTGCCTGGAAGCTCAGGCCTCAGCTGGGGCTCTGCAGACCCGGTGGGCTGCACTCCCATTGCCCTGGAGAGGCTGCCCAGACCAGAGAGGATGGCATGGAATTCTGTGAGGCCAAGTCATGATCCCCCAACTCTTAGGAGGGCAGCTGAAAGGGCTGAGGGGCTTTGTGCGGGGAGACTCAGAGAATCTGAGGAAGAAACTGGCTTCCCCTAAAGGCCTCAGAGAGGAAAAGTTAGACAAAGAAAAGGCAGTGGATAGAAGCAGTACCAAAAGAGGCCAGGCACAGTGGCTCACTCCTGTAAACCCAGCACTTTGGGAGGCCGAGGTGGATGGATCACGAGGTCAGGAGATCGAGACCATCCTGGCTAACACGGTGAAACCCTGTCTCTACTAAAAATACAAAAAATTAGCCGGGCGTGGTGGCAGGCACCTGTAGTCCCAGCTACTTGGGAGTCTGAGGCAGGAGAATGGCGTGAACCCAGGAGGTAGAGCTTGCAGTGAGCCCAGATCACACCACTGCACTCCAGCCTGGGCAACAGAGCAAGACTCCATCTCAAAAAAAAAAAAAAGATGAGGAAACTGAGGCTCAAACAGGTCAAGTGACTTGCACAAGTAGTAGTGGTCTCATATAAAGCTCTGTCTTTATGCTAAAGCCCATGTCTGAAGGCCTGTGCTATGCTGAATTTAAAGAGGGAGAGAGAATGAATCAGAAGTGGATAATCTTGGAGACCAGGCAGACTCGAGTGGGTGAAGTGGGCAGGTGCTAACTGGGAGGCAGGGCACTGGGAGTTCCCAGCCTCTGCAGATGAGGCTGAAAAGGCCAGGACAGTCCCCTTAGCCACTGGGCCTAGGGCTGCGCAGTGATTCTGCAGCCTGCCCCAAAACTGCAGCGGGGCAGCTGTCCCAGGGCAGTGGAGGAGCTTGGATGAAGTGGGAGTTGGCTAAAGGGCGTGCCAGGGGAGCCTGATGTAATCCCGGCCCGCAGAAGGCGGAAACTTGGGAAGTGAAACAAAACATCCCCTAACAGTAGCCTGGCCACAATTTCCAATGAGCGATGGCAGGCATGCCTTGCCCCCACCCACAAGTCCAAGGGCTCTGCCCTTTTCTTCAGGCCCTGGCAGCACGTGTCATCTTCCCCAGCCCCAGCCCAGCACTGAAATGCGCTCCGAGTAAAGCTGATGAGAAAGCAGAGGATTCCCAGCCAGTGCCCCGGGAGCCTTGCCACTGTGAGGCTGGTGGCCCCGTCGCTTTCCGGAACAGACACAGGGCTCACCTCCTCACAAGGCTTTCCGCATGTGTTGAGGGGTGAGGGGAGGTCTGGGTGGCTGCCTGGCGAGCTATCCTCCTTCCTCCCCACACCCAGCCTGAACTGACCTAGTTAGGCTGCATGTGGGAGATGGGAGAGGAAGCAGGGCCCAGAACCCCCCACGGGCCCCCTGCACTTCCACAAAATCCAGGCGCCCAGAGTGGGAGGGACCGCCTCCAAGGACCCAGGCACTGCTCATCCAGCCAGGACAACAGACCAGGGCCTGGCAGCCACTCTAAGGATCTCCCGCCCCACTCCTGGCCACACAGGTTCCTCAAGCAAGTTCTTGGCAGCTGGCAAGCTGCAGAATTCATCTGCCGGGCTGGGGTGGCTTAGAGGGTGGGTGCAGATGCCTTGGCTTGGGTTTATGTGCCCAGCCTTAAGTATTCCCAGCCTTCATGCCAGCTCTTGAATCTCATGTACGAGCAATCCTAATCCTTTTTTTTTTTTTTTTTTTGAGACAGAGTTTTGCTCTGTCACCCAGGCTGGAGTGCAGTGGCACGACCTCGGCTCACTGCAAGCTCCGCCTCCCGGATTCACGCCATTCTCCTGCCTCAGCCTCCCAAGTAGCTGGGACTACAGGCACCCACCACCATGCCCGGCTAATTTTTTATATTTTTAGTGAGACGGGGTTTCACCATGTTAGCCAGGATGGTCTCGATCTCCTGACCTCGTGACCCGCCCGCCTCGGTCTCCCAAAGTGCTGGGATTACAGGTGTGAGCCACCGCACCCAGCCATCCCTAATCCTTTGTTAGTACAATGTCTTTCCCAAAGGCCTTTCCCATCCAGTGTCACCTTTGAACAGTGAGGGAGACAGGACAAATATCATTGCTGCTATTATACAGACAGGGCAACTGAGGCTAACAAAAGAAAAGTGACTTGTTCACAGCTGCCCAGCAGAGCCAGGAACACTCCAGGCCCAGCAGTCCCATGCTCCTTGTTATGGTCATGAGGATTAAATGAGAGAAGATACAAAAAGTACTGAGCTTGGTGCCTGGCACCTGTGCTCCCTAAATGTTATTTCGCCATGATTGTTATGCTTCAGTGAGGACACAGATCAGTGAGGGGAACACACATGCTCTCTCTGAGGGGCGCCAGCGCTATTCAGATAAGAGAGTGCTACAAGATGCCTTTGTTTGGCCAGGCGCGGTGGCTCATGCCTGTAAGCCCAACACTTTGGGAGGCCGAGCGAGGCGGGTGGATCACCTGAGGTCAGGAGTTCAAGACCAGCCTGGCCAACATGGTGAAACCCCATCTGTACTAAAACAAAAATCAGCCGGACGTGGTGGCACGTGCCTGTAATCCTAGCTACTAGGGAGGCTGAGGCATGAGAATCACTTGAACCAGGAGGCGGAGGTTGCAGTGAGCTGAGATCACACCACTGCACTCCAGCCTGAGTGACAGAGCGAGACTCCGTCTCAAAAAAAAAAAAGAGTGCTAGAGTCAGTGGAGCATGGAGAATGGCCTCATGGAGGAGGTGGGATTGTGTGGGACCTGAGGGAGAGGTGGCGTATGGACAGGGACACCAAAAAGAACCCATCCTGGGTTCAAACCCTGGCTCCCTGCCTCTCTGAGTGTCCCTGAGCAGGTGATGCAAGCTCCCTAAGCCGCCCGTAAGATGGAGGTTGGAGGGATGGGAGCGTGCAGGGGGTTGCTGTTGCAAGGAGTAAATGACATCCTCTATACACTCTCCTGGGTTCAGTTCATCCACATTCAGAAAATGGAAGTTATTGTTACTAGTATTATTTTGTGGCTGAGCAAAGCCTCCTAAAGACACGCCCTGGTGCCCTCCCTGACCCCAAACCTGAAAGGCTTTGAGAAAGCTAAGTGCAGGGCCCTGTCCCCAGGAGACAGAGGTGCAGCCCCAGGGAGCCCACTCCACGGTGTGGCCTGCCCATCAGGAGCAGCCAGGGGCTGGGAGGTGCAGCATATGTTATATAAACGAAGGGACATCAATAATAGATTAACCTCAAGGAAGTCCAGGAACATCAATCATCAATTAATTAAATGGCTCCAGGAGAGACAATGACGAGGGGCCCATTCAGGATGAATTCGAGGCAGCATCCTGTCTCACCTTACACAGCGGAGGGCCACCGTCCCGACCTCCACCCCAGAGCCGCAGGCTCCCTGGCCAGGACCGTCTCCAGGTGTAGGACTGGTTTGCAGGAGCAGCCCCCAAACACAGGTGAGGGCAAGCCCTGTTCTCCTCCATCCTCCTCCAGGCTCAGAGAACTCCCAAACACTGAAAAGGTTTTGATGAAACTTCCCAGAATAGTAACCTCCTGGGCTGAACTCAGGCAGGCGAAATTTCAAGGGGTAATTTGGTGAGAAAATGATCAAATGCCTGGAAATAAGTGCTGTGAACACTGGAACCCCCTCAGTGGGTCCTCAGGGATGGGAACGGCCTCGAGGGCAGCCCTGAAAGCCTGCCGTTCACACTCCCGCCCAGCACTGACGGGAGTCAGACCCGCTGAAAGTCAAGTGTGGGCAACACATTCTAGGCAGCGATTCCGAGGCCCAGCTCAGCTTCCTGGCCCCACTTCCCACCCCTTCCCCTCCTAGTGACCACACTGACCAATCTCATGATTTCTGTCTCCCTTCCATAATCAACCAGGCTTTGTCTCTCCCCTTTCCCCTGCAGAGTGGCCACTGCCCTGGTTCAAGCCCTCTGTACCTGGGCACCCCCTACTCTTGTCCCTCAGTACCCTGCTGCCATACCACTCTTCCTGGTGGGTGGCACCAGCCTCCAAACCCTTGCTCAGAACACTTCAGTGAATGCCCATGCGTTCACAGATTGGAAACCAAACCTTCAGCCCTGCCATCATGGCTCCTGGGGACCCAGCTCCAGCTCATTTTTCCAATCTTAGCTTTCACCACTTCTGTTGTATGCGCCCTACAGCACACAACAGACGGGCAGCAGTTTCCCCTCCCAGCCACCAGTCACCCCGCCAACCCGCCCCCGTTGCTGCCAGTTCCTCTACAAGCACCTTCCTTTGTTCACTCCCACCGGTACCCATGGCCCACATAAAAAGGCCGTGGCCACCCGAGTCTCCCCAACCTCCCTGGCTCGAGTCACTCTCCCTCCTTTGACCTCTGGCATCACTCATTTCTAGAAATTAACTATATCTTCTCAACAGATTTTAAGCAACTTGAGGTCAGAATCTACACCTTATAGGCTCTGGTATGACCACCTCATCTGCATGCCCTCACTAACCCCCAACTCACAGCAGGCGCTCAAGAAATAACTATCGACTATGTCCAAGTGGAAACATTCCTCAAGGCTAAGATATACTCTTGCTGATGACACTGCTAACAGATATGCAAGATTCTGTCTATCCCAAGGATGTGGGGAGCTAACTTCTTATCAAGTAATGAGACCCATTACATCTTCCCTACTGCTAATATATGCAGATCACGACATAACCACTTCTCTATGGAAAGGATTCCGGCCGCAAGAGCAAAAACATTTTTTCAGTGCGTGTTTTCATCAGGATCTCTCTACGCACCAGGCATTACCTGGGAGAATTCTTGCCATTCGGCTCTCGGAGGTTTTACTGTCCCCATCTTACAGATTAGGAAACTGAGGTGTGCCAGCATCCAATCTGGGTCCGTGAGGTTCCAGAGTCTGAAGTCATAACTACCCATGGGCTACAATGCTATCTTCTGTCATGGGGGGGAGGGGACTGTCCCCAGCTGACTTCCAGGTGGTTCAAGGAGGAGCATGGAAGCAGGCGTGTGAGACGCCCCCAGGTAGCACACAGAAGGGTGTGTGAGAGCCCCGCCTGCAGCCCAGCTTCCTTCTAAGGAATACTGAGAAAGCACTCGGCTCCTCATGTAAAGAGTCATAACATGAGGTATGAAACCCACCCTCTGCCCTCCCACAGCCTGAAGGCAGCCTCCTCCGACTCCCACTGTTCCCTCCTGCTGTGAAGAGCCCGGCAACCCCCAGCTCCGCACACCCACCAACACCAGGCCAGCCAGACACGGGAGCCTGCGCGCTCCCACACCACCAGGCGCTCCACACCCCCTCCGCCCTCACTTCCCACAGAAACACTTATGGGCACAAGCAACTTTACACACGTGCACTCCCCGGGCAGCCCCGCGGTAATAACAGCCCCATCCCCATCTAGAGGACTTAGGCGTTCCTGCCAAACACCCCATGAAAACACCCTTACCCGTGGTCACACCAATCCCCTCCACGGCATCTCCCTGGACTCCTTCCTCAGCAGCAAAGAGGTCCTCACAGATAAGGCAGTTTCCTGGGTCTTTCCTGCCCACACACACAACCCACGTCCACACCCACACTCACGCTTCCCATCCAACCCAGAAAGACCACGCCCAGCCCAAGTCAGTATCAGAAACAAAAAAAGAAAATCAAAATAAACCATTTTCAGCCCTATCCGCTGGGGAGGTAACCGCATCCTGCAATGTCCTGGGCTCCGCGGTTCTAAAAGATTTATCTTCCTCTGACCACATGCTCATTGATATTTCCCCCAGCGCTACTTGCCCAGTCCACTGGAGTGTAATGTAAAGCTATTCCGGTGAGAAATTGAAATCACAGAGTGATGGGCCAACAGGTGATTAAACACTGAGGTTCCCCTCTGGTCTCGAGGAGAGGGACTGGGGGAGGAGTGGCTTCCAGTGACAAGCTGTGCCTTCAGCTGCAGCCTTCTGGCCCGCTGCTGTCAGCTCTGGTCCAGCATCCTCTGGCCACAGATGCCTGGCTCCCCGGCACCCCTAAAGCACAGCAGCCAGGCACTGTGATTTATGGGGCAGCTGAGGAATTGCCAGGAGCTGAGGAAAGCAACTTTTAGAGAAACATGGACAAGGAAAATGGGAATATGACTGGGGACCAGAGTTGAAATATTGTAGCTCCAGGGAGCTGCTTGCCCTCGAGGTCCACTCCTAAGTGACTGGCCCCCTGCCTCAGCTGGAACTTACTCGAAATCAGCATCTGTGCACAATGACAAGGGTGCTAACCTGGCTGGGCTCCCTGCTACCCCAAAACCCCAGGACTGGGAAGAAAGCTCAGCTCTCCTTTTGGGGAACAGAGGCCAACTCCTCCTCTCAGTGTCTTCAGATCTGCCCTGCCTGCCACTCAGCTCTGGTGGGCAGTCCCAGCATCCCAAGCAGAAGGCAAAGGGTGGCTGAAAAGGGCTCCTGGAGCCCCAAACCATAAGGCTGAGCCACAAATCAGAACAAACAGGAGGAGGTGTGGAGGGTGAGCTGAGGAGACTTGAATACTGAATATTCACAACAGGGAGGCTGTAGGCTTCCTCCTTAATGGACTCTGCACTTAAGAGAGCTTTCCAGACATGAGCTGAAGTGCCCAGCAACTCCTCGGGGGAGGTATGAAGCACTGCAGGGAGCGGGTGAGACAGGCCATGGATACCCCTCAGACCAACATGGGAATGACCAGGGAAGCACCTGCAATGCTGGACAGTGTCTGCGTGGCAGCTACGGGGACAGGGCGAGTCCATAGCATGGAAAAGTCAGCTCACAACCCTGGGTCTGGGAGGGCCGTGTCCTCCTTCCACCCACATGGCTTGACACTGCAGCCTGGGCACAGGGCAAAAACTTTCCTCGGGGAGCAAGGATGTGAAACAGGTTGCTGGCTAAGGCAGACACCCGCATGGAATGCTGAAGAAACGGCCTGGGTGAGAGAAAAACAGGACTTCCAGCGCCATGGGGCAGGGTCTGCAACTCAGGCTCTGCAGCTTGTTGTCGGGAATTAGGCTCCTGGTGGCAGAGAGCAAAGCACTGTGCAGCCACCCTCATCCTCCCCACCTGGGAAGGCACTTCAGCCAGAAGTGGGGCCACATTGGGAGAGGTGCCACACCTGTCTGCCCTCAGAGGTGCCTGTAGCCCCCTTTCCTTTCCCCTATGTGTCTGAGGGCATCCTCCACACCTCCCCCCCCCGTCCCCCTGCCATCCAGCCTCAACCTCCCGCAGAACCATCCAGACCTGAGCCACATCGATCTGTGGATGCTCTGACCCACTTCATTTCCTTCAGGCCACAGCCCAAAAGACGCTGATGTGACTGCTCCCCACCCCCGTTCTCAGAACCCAGAGCCAAAGGAAATTCTCCAGAGAAAACACACACACTTCCCAAGTCTTCCTCCCACACAGGTACCCTAGATCTGTCAGCCACAGACACCTCCCAGACCTACCCTGGCAATGAGGCACGTCTGCTGCCCAAGCAAAGTGCTTCCTCCTGCTTGGGCCACTCCTGCAGGACTTCACAGCTGCCGGGGCCATGCTCAGGACTGTCCTCTGGAGACCGGGGGCCTGGTTCCAGCTCAGCAGCTGACTCACAGTGTCAACAGATCCCACTTGCCCCCACCGGGAGCATGTGCGCTCAGGGCCTCTAATTCCCTATGACAGGCCCTCAACCTTCCGGCTCCCTTCCTCCCAATCACATCCCGTGCCACCATTTCCTATGGCTCCTGCCTCCAGCCCTGGTCTCTTTACTTGATGAGACTCTCTGACCTTTGTACAGTCTTTCGCTGTTTGCAAAGTGTTTCCACGTGCACCATTTCCTTTCATTCTTTACTACCAGACCACCATGTGACATGCCTTGATTGGTGAAGTCACCTGCTGAAGGTCACACAGCCAACACTGGAATTAAAGTGATATGGCTCCAAAGGCATCGGACAGTGCTCCGGTTATAGGGAACTCATCAGCATCTCCAAGCACCCACCTTGGCAATTTGGCGACCACCTGCCACCCTACCCTCAACATCATCTTTTTGGACTCATAAGTGCCTTCCCCAGCACAAGCTCAACCCTGTGATTCTTCTACCACTGATCCCACTCCCCCAAGAGATCCACAAAGAACTGAAGATTTCCCCTACACTGTAAGACTTCTCTAGGAGGAGCTGCAAATTGCTTCTCTGTAAAGTAAGGCACTAGGTGATGCTGAGTGAGACCTTCACCCAAAGCTTCCCAAAGGACTGGTGAGAGCAAACACAATCTCAGCGCAGATGGAGGGGTTTTAACATAGGAGCTAAGCAGAGAGGACAGACAGAGCCCTTGGAAAGGAATTTAAGCCTGGGGGTGGGAGTCCCGGTGGCCCCAGCAGATTCCCAGTGGCTGCAGAATCATCTTTCAAGCATACCCCAATCGATCCAATCCTCTGGACCCAAAGGCTCCCCAGCATCAAAGAAGAGAGGCAACTCCCAGATACCCTGGAGTGAACCCATCAACCCAGGGAGAAGGCAGGACCCCGTGACTACAGATAGATGGTGCGCCATACCACTCCCTCACTCGCTGACCCGGGTTACCTCTTGGTCCTGCTTGCTTCTCAGGACATATTCTGGGACACCGATCACCACTGAAAATCATCCACCCCTCCCTTCATTCCCAAAGCTAGATGAAAAGCTAGATGAATGGTTCTCTCTACCTTAGCCCAGGACAACGGTAGTGCCTGGAAGGTCTCTATCTGGGTTACCATCAGGGCCCTTGTGGTAGAAGCTTCTCCTGGCATCTCTTGTTTATGCCCATTATAAAGGACACCAACCTTCTCCCAGCCTTCTGCCCTCCTCAGTCCAGTGTACCCAACAGGCATTAAAACTGGACCCCCATGACAGAGGCAGTGTCCCCTTCATCGCCCGTGAGGAAGGATGGGCATTTACCCTTCCCATTCATCAGGATGGGAGGGCCACGGACTCCCCCCGCGGCAGTGCCGGGTAGCCCCCCGCACCACACCGTGCCAAGGCCCTTTCTCACAGTCATGCCAGGAACTCTAGCCATGCTGAGAACACCAATTCTTCAAGCCCCCAGTGCTATCACCCCAGATCATGTCAAGCCCAAGGCCAGAACCATCCCAACACCCAAGCAATGGCAGCACTTCCTCACACCCATGCTAGCGGCACCACCATGCCGGCACGAGCTGGCCACCTATCCCATAACCAGTCCGAAGGCCGTGCCCATCACCTACCTGTGCAGACAGCTGCACCACCTCACACCTGCGTGGCCACCACCGCACCAAGGTGGAGGCGAGTCTTCTGAGACCCGTTCCAGGAAAACCACGCCGCCTGTGCCGGACCCACGTTGCCCACGCCCGTGCCACGCGTGTCACCATCCCCACGCTGGTGCCAGGGGCTCCACAGACCTCACACCTGCCACGGGCGCGCGTGGCAGCTGCAACTCCGCCCGCCGACCCGTCGGGCCGGCCACCGCGCGCCCTGGACACTGCCCAGCCCGCCGCGCCGCTCGCACCGCGCCCGCGCCCAGGACCGGCCCGCCGCGCCGGAGGCCCCCCTTACCTCCCGCCCGCCGCAGGGCTCGGCCCGCCGCCGCGACCGCCACCTCCATCCTGGGCTCCCCAAGGCCCCGATTCACTAACGCCGCTTCCGCAGGGCGCCGGCGCCGGCGCGAAGGCCGCCTCCGCCCCCCGGGGGACGCTGCGTCCTTTACGTAAACCCCTCTCCGCCGCCAGCGGTGACCATGGCGACGGTCGTGGGGAGGCAGCGCCCCCTGGCGCCAGGGAGGGGAGCGGCGTCGAGGCCAGGGAGAGCCGAGTCTTCCGCGGGCGCCGGCCCTGCGCGTGGGGGCGGTGGGCGCCTGGCTCAGGCTCGGCTGGGGTCCCGTGGGCGGCCGGGAGGGGCTGGACTGGCCGCGATGCGTGCGGGGAAGGGAGCCGCCTGGGTGCCTGCCCCTCCTTTAGGTCCCTCGTGACCAGTTTTAGCGTGGGAGAGGGAAAAAAGGAAGTAGGATCACTGGAGAACTGGTTCATTTGTGGGGAGGAGAGAGACGGGTCCCACCTCCTCGGGGTGACTGAACTCTGCTTGAGAAGTCAGAGCATGGCTAGAGTTCCTGGCGTGACTGTGAGAAAGGGCCTTGGCACGGTGTGGTGCAGGGGTCTACCCGGCACTGCCGTGGGGGGAGTCCGTGGCCCTCCCATCCTGATGAATGGGAAGGGTAAATGCCCATCCTTCCCCACGGGCGACAGAGCCCGTGGGTACCCTGGGTACCCCCTCCTCCCTACCACCCCCCCACCCCCCACCCCTACCCCCGTTCCCAGTGCCCAGCATCGTGCCTGGTCTCCAAAGGGGTTTACTTGGTCAATTTTGAATTTCTGGTAAATGAAGAAAACCGCCCCTCCTGTTCCCCTTCACGCCCTTTCATTCACCGTAAGTCGCTTACACCTCCCTGGGAGCACTGTGCTGAACTGGGGGAGTGGAGCACAGAGAGGAGCAGAAGGCGGGCCCTGACTTCAAGGAGCTCATTCTGCTGGGGAGGAGACGCAGATGGAGGGGGTTTTAACACAGAAGCTAAGCCGAGAGGACAGACAGAGCCCTTGGAAAGGAATTTAAGCCTGGGGATGGGAGTCCAGTCTGCAGGTCGGGATGACTCAGCTGGGTCCCAAAGATCCAGTAAAGATTCATCAGAGACAAAAAGGGGAAGAACGTTTTCTTTCAGGCAAGAGAAGTGCCTCTAAAATGTTTCCTAGGCCCTGTTGCCACCCCCAAAATCACAGTGATCGCGCAGTTCAGTAGAAGTGGGAGCCATAGGTGAACAAGGAGGTGTGGGTAGTGGGGTGCCCGGCTTGAGCAGAAGCCTCGGTCTGAAAATTACGTGGACATTTGGGTTGGAAATGAGACTGTGAGGCCAGGACTGCCTTTTATTGAAGCAGATGGAGCCACTTCTGGAAGGAGTTCTGTGTTACCTGTGATTATTTAGAAAGCAAACTCACGTAGGTAACAAGGAAAATGAGGAGTGGGCGCATATACCCAGTGGGGCACCTCAGGGGATTCAAGGAGGAGTTGAATTCCTCAAGGCTCAGGAAGGGCAGAGATCAGGGGAGGCTTTAAGGGACAACTGTAGCAGTATCAGTTTAGGGATCTTCTTTCTAGATCATTGCCATTAATCAGAATCAAAACTGCCAGATTGGATGTCTCTTGGTTCAAAGTTCCCGATTCCCAGAAAAAAAGAATCTTATTAGTCCAGATCAGGCCACGGTCAATCAGCTATGGCCAGGGCAGAAAGTGCTTTGTGATACAAACATGTCAGTCCACTTTTCCCCGTTGAGAGACACTCCCAGAGGAGGAGAATCATGACCTGAACAGCCAGTCCAAAGACTGTCGGCCAGGGGCGGTGGCTCATGCCTGTAATCCCAGCACTTTGGGAGGCAGAGGCAGGTGGATCACCTGAGGTCAGGAGTTCGAGACCAGTCTGGCCAACATGGTGAAACCCTATCTCTACCAAAGTACAAAAATTAGCCTGGCATGATGGCAGGTGCCTGTAATCCCAGCTACTCGGGAGGCTGAGGCGGAAGAATCACTTGAACGTGGGAGGCAGAGGTTGCAGTGAGCCGAGATCGTGCCATTGCACTCTAGCCTGGGCAAGAGAGCCAGACTCCATCTCAAAAAAAAAAAAAAAAAAAGGCTGTCTACTACGGATCCATCCCTTAGCTGTCCCATGTACACAAACTCACATGTGTCCATGTGCACACATGTGTCCCGACACACGCCAGTCCTTCTTCCCATTCCTCCAAAGTTGTCTTCACCAGACAAGTACCAACAGTCACCTTCACACTTGATGTCATGAGGCTACTATTATTTCAAGATCTTCAAGGTGATTGATCCCATCTGGTCATTTAACTGAATTAAAGGGTTACTTTTACCATCACCAAATCCTTTGAACTCTTGCTACTCAGAGTGAGACATTGGCACCACCCAGAAGCTTAACGGGAATGCATAATCTCAGGCCCAAGAATCTCAGGTTGGCAACAAGATTCCCAGGTGATTTGAATGCACATGAAAGGCTGAGAAACACCACTATTATAAATGTTAGGTGACCGGGTGCGGTGGCTCACACCTGTAATCCCAGCACTTTGGGAGGCTGAGGCGGGTGGATCACCTGAGGTCAGGAGTTCAAGACCAGCCTGACCAACATGGTGAAACCCCATCTCTACTAAAAATACAAAAATCAGCTGGGCATGGTGATGGGCACCTGTAATCCCAGCTATTCGGGAGGCTGAGGCAGGAGAGTTGCTTGAACCCGGGAGGTGGAGGTTGCAGTGAGCCGAGATCCCGCTACTGCACTCCAGCCTGGGCAACAGAGTGAGACTCCGTCTCAAAAAAAAAAAAAAAAAAATAGGCCCAGCGTGGTGGCTCACGCCTGTAATCCCAGCACTTTGGGAGGCCGAGGCAAGCAGATCACAAGGTCAGGAGTTCAAGGCCAGCCTGACCA
This sequence comes from Homo sapiens, assembly GCF_000001405.40. Classification (NCBI taxonomy): domain Eukaryota; kingdom Metazoa; phylum Chordata; class Mammalia; order Primates; family Hominidae; genus Homo; species Homo sapiens. The sequence continues at coordinate 61,677,575 of NC_000011.10, read as the reverse complement.
ACATGGTGAAACCCCGTCTCTACTAAAAATATAAAAATTAGCTGGGTATGGTGGCGCGCGCCTATAATCCAAGCTACTCAGGAGGCTGAGGCAGGAGAAGCGCTTGAACCTGGAATGCGGAGGTTGCAGTGAGCCGAGATCACGCCACTACACTCCAGCGACAGAGCAAGACTCCCTCTCAAAAAAATACATACACACATAAATGTTAGGTGAAAGGAAAAGGAAAGATAACAAAAACATTTTCAAATTGTGATTCATATTTTCTTAAAGGGGGAAATGGTCAACTATTTAATCTTCAACAACTCTAGTAACAAGCAAGGAAAGACAGGGAGGGACTGCAGTCTTTATTTTTGCAATTGGTCACAAACTCCTAGAAGGTACTAGCGAATTCCATCCTCTAACGCCTTATTTCTGTGTTCTGCAGGTCTCCTGCCCGATTCTTATTCAGTCAGGATTCTTTGCCTGACAGACTGACCTAAGCCTTCTTCTTGAGGGCTGAGCCATGGCTGTAAGGCATCTCAGCAGGCTTCCAGCAACATCGACCACTGGGTACAATGATGTAAGAGGTCCTTCACGGGGGTGTGGGTTCTACCCATGGTGTGTGTGTGTGTGTCTGCGTGTGTCAAAGATCCCCAGATGGCCAGTCCCAGTTTCCAGTGGAACCACAATGGTGCCTCCTGATGGATTTGCTCCTCCCTTCCATTCTAAAACCACCAGACACACAATCAAAACCCAGAGCCGCCTGCACAGGAAACAGGCATTTTGATGAGAGAGAGGGGCACCCTCATCACTTCTATTTCTAGTTCCAAGACGCTTTGGAAGAAACATATCAGAAAGGGTGGCTGTTCCAGAGCACACACTCCCCACAGACCTGACCTGGTCCAGCTACCAGAGGTGCATCCTCTCCACGCCAAAGCCATGCCTGGCCTTCTCTCTGAGCACCTTCAGGCCCAGTTCTGACAGCATTTGGCCAGGTGTCTTTGGAGATAGTCACCAGCACTGTGAGCAGACAGGAGCTGGGGAGGAGGACAAGAGCGAGGGCACCAGAACAGACAAGTCGTAGACTGGTCCCAGTCCAGCTGTCAGGCTGTGCTCCCTCCGCTCTGTGCCAAGTTCCCACTCTGGCCTCAGTTTCCTTCTGAGTCCCAGTGGGGATAATAACATGACTCTTCCTCCTGCGGGGCTGTGCAGATTAACTAATTAATGAGTGTGACAGCGTCTGCATCCACAAAGGGGCTGATTAAATGCTGAGTGTTGTTATTAGTAGCTGTGGCAGTTGTGTGACAGGCAGTTGGCTGGAGACAGATCTGCCCCCTGCCTCCTCCCCATGGAGGACCCAGATGGAAGGGTCCTCCATCTGCCCCATGCTCCGCAAGCCGAACATCTTGCAAGACAAAGCCAGGATGATTTTTAGCACCCCAAAGACAGCATAGAACTTTTGCGCATTTCCCCTGTGCTGGAATGTGAGTCACAGCCGAGCTTCATAGTGTAATCTATCTCCGACAGCTGGCACAGCTGTACCCTGCCCCAACTCAGCTCCCAGCAGCTGCAGGATGGGATGGCTTGGTCAGTAACTGCAGTAGGGTAGAGCTGCCTGCAGAAAGACAACTGCAGAATTCCTAAGCTGAGCACCATCCCCTGACTGTATTGCCCTGTGGAGGCAGGGATTGAGTGACCACCTTTCCTCACTGCCTGAGATAGTGGGAGCCAATATGACACCTTGGCTAAGCAGTCAGGGGAATTCAAAGCATGCAGGGTTTTAAAGTATAAAGTATCTGCTCATGGCCGAGGGAGATATAGTGACTATATTTTAGCTTGGCTGCAGGGTATAGGATAACTGGATGAAATCACAGCTCTGGGGCATGATAGCTTTAGCCTAGCTTATTCCCAGACGTAGAAAGTCCAGAGAGGCCTCCGAGCTAAACAGTGAATGTGACTTTGCAATACACAGCCCTGGATCCCGTAGTATGTGTGAGGTCTGTTGCCCACCCCTCCGATGCTGGGTCTTCCACCCTTGAATGTGATGAGTGCTGGTTCCCACCCTGAGTCCTGATGCATCTGACGAGGTGGGTAGGAAGGAACTGCTGCTACCAGGTAAATAAGTCTGTCTCTGACAACCGCGGGGAATGTTGTTTACCCAAATAGCACAATCTCAGCCTGTCTGGGGAGGCCAGAGAAAAGCTCTGGAGGCTAGGCTGCAGACTGTCACAGAGGGAGAAATTAGCCAGTTGCAAGGTCTAGCAAATCCATGTGAAATGGACCTCAGGACACCTGGAGTCAGCTCTGGATCACCAGGGCTTCTCCTAGTAGGATTTCAGACCTTCTTGCTTCTGAAAACAGCGACTTTCCCTGCACTGCCAGAACTTTTCTCTCCCTGCCTTCCTTGTCCCTCCTGCTATAAGGTAACATGAATGGATCACAGGACCAAACAGGCTAGAAGTGGGAGCTGGACCACAAGGCTTTGCTGGTAACCCAGGGGTTAAAATGTTACCCACCACCAAGAGACGAGTTGTTCTCTCTTGCCAGAGGGGCGCCTACAAGCCCCTATCTTTTACCTGGTAAACACAATTTTCAGTCAGAATCTCAAAAATCTGTGTGGTAGTGGTTGTAATGGGGGTGGTGACAGAGGAGATGCTGGAGGTGGTGACAGTGATGGCAGTTTGGTGGTCATGACAAGAGGGAGGAGAACAAGGACTGACAGCTTCCTAGGGGAAGCTCTGGGAGTTTTTTCCACCTCTGCCTAATCCCCATTAGTTTGGGTATCACCAGCACTTCCCCTGAAATGCCCAGCGGATTGGGAGATCCTTGCATCTCATTAAGCAGCCTATTTGTGTTTGCTCGCTGATGGGTATGGTAGCAAATAGTTTTTCTCCTTGGGGCACTGGGGAGCTATGGGAGAGTAAACACAGATGTCTCAAAGGAAAACGGGTATTTACTGACTAGTGTGATTCATCTGCACTTTCTGGACACCAACAACCAGAGGAGAGAGTCTGTCCTCTTGAAGGTGTTCCATCCACCCATTCACCCACACACTCATTCTTCCCCCTACCTTTTCACCCATCTACCCATCTACACACCTGCACACCCACCTACCCATCTGCCCACCCAACCATCCACTCACCTATTCATCCACTCAGTCTGTTCATTCACCCATGCACCTACCCATCCACTCATTCACCCATCCATCCATCTGTCCATCTATTCATTCATCTATCCATCCATCCATCCATCCATCCATCCATCCATCCATCCATCCACTTATCCATCCATGCACTCATCCATCCATCCATCCATCCACTCGCCTATGCATCCATCCACTCACCTATCCATCCATCCATTTATCCATCCATCCATTCATCCATCCATCCATCCATCCATCCACCTATCCATCCATCCATCCGCCTATCCATCCATTCACTCACCTATCCATCTATCCATCCATTTATCCATCCATCCATTTATCCATCCATCCATTTATCCATCCATCCATGCATCCATTCATCCATCCATCCATCCACCTATCCATCCATCCATCCATCCATCCATCCATCCACCTATCCATCCATCCATCTATCCATCCATCCATCCATCCTTCAATCCATCCATTCACCTATCCATCCATCCATCCATCCATCCATCCACCCATCCATCCATCCATTCACCTATCCATCCATCCATCCATCCATCCATCCATCCACCCACCTCTCAACCCGTCCATCCATCTATTCAACTACTGTATCTCCTAAATCACGTCCTATTGATTCTTCCTCCTAAATATATTTGAAACCACCAACTTCTGTCCATTTCCCTCAGTACCTCCTAAGCCAAGGGCACCTTTGTCTTCAGGGCAACAGCAGCTGCTCTCACTTCTCATCTGTTTTCTACCCAACAGAGAGAGTGACCTTTTATAAGTGAACACCAGATTATGTCACGTCACTGCTTGAAACCCTGCTGTGATCTCCCATTGTTTTGAAATACAGACTTCAACCAGGCGCAGTGGCTCACACCTATAATCCCAGCACTTTGGGAGGCCGAGGCAGGTGGATCATGAGGTCAGGAGATCAAGACTATCCTGGCCAACATGGTGAAACCCCATCTCTACTAAAAAAAGAAATACAGACTTCAATTTTTCTTAGTTATAACTCACTGACAGTAAAGCATGCAGCATGACAAACTTCTATATATGTGCATACCTGTGACCACACCCAGATGAAAATGCAGATCATTTCCAGCCCTTTGTGCCCTTCAGAGTCAATTTCCACCCCCAAGTAGTAACCACTATTTGGATTTCTGTGCTATGCATTGGCTTTGCTGTTCCTGAACTTCTTATAAATGGCATCATCTAGTATGCAGTCTTTTGTGTCTAGCTTCTATAGCTCAACATTATGTCTGTGAGATTCATCCATGTTATTGTATGTATCAGTAGTACATTCTTTTTTATTGCCGTGTAATATTTCATGAGATGAATATACTATAATTTGATAATCTATTCTGCTGTTGGTGGATTTTGGAGCTTTTTCCAGTTTGGGGCTCTTATGAATAAAGCTTTGCTATGGTTTGAATGTATGTGTCCCTCCAAAGTTCATACATTGGAACTTAACCCCCAAAGTGATGGTATTAAGAGATGAGGCCCTTGGGAGGTAATTGGGCCATAAGGGCAGGTGGCATTAGTACCCTTATAAAAGGGTACAAGGGAACTTCTGTCCCTTCTGTCCCTTCTGCCATGTGAGGACACAAGAGACACCATCTTGAAAACAGCAAGCTAGCCTTCCCCAGACACCAGTCCTACCAGTGCCTTGATCTTGGACTTCCCAGGCTCCAGCATGGTGAGAAATAAATTTCTGTTACTTGTGAATTACCCAGTCTAAGGTATTTAGTTATAGCAGCAGGAACAGACTAAGACAGTCTGCTGTGGACATTCTTGTACATGTCTTTTGGTAGATACTATGCTTATTTCTCTTGAGTTAGTGTGGTAGGCAGAATAATGGTTCCCCAAAGATGACTGTGTCCTAATTGCCAGAAGCCATGAATGTGTTAGGTTACATAGCATAGGGAATTTTTTAAAATTAATTAATTAATTAATTTCTTAGACAGAGTCTCACTCTATTGCCCAGGCTGGAGTGCAATGGCACAATCTCAACTCACTGCAACTTCTGTCTCCCAGCTTCAAGCAATTCTCGTGCCTCGGCCTCCCAAGTAGCTGGCATTAAAGGTGCGTGCCACTACACCTGGCTAATTTTGGGGGTGTTTGTTTGTTTTGTTGTTTTTGTTATTGAGATGGAGTCTCGCTCTGTTGCCCAGGCCGGAGTGCCATGGCACAATCTCAGCTCACTGCAACCTCCACCTTCCGGGTTCAAGATTCTCCCTGACTCAGCCTCCTGAGTAGCTGGGATTACAGGTGCCCACCACCACGCCTGGCTAATTTTTGTATTTTTAGTAGAGACAGGGTTTCACCATGTTGGCCAGGCTGGTCTCAAACTCTTGACCTCTGGTAATCTGCCTGCCTCAGCCTCCCAAAGTGCTGGGATTGCAGGCATGAGCTGCCACGCCCGGTCGGCATAGGGAAATTAAGGTTGCAGATGGAATTAAAGCTGCTAATAGGCTGACCTCGAGATGATGTATTATCCTGGATTATCTGGATGGGCCCCATGTAATCATAGGATCTCTATAAGTGGAAGAGGGCAGCAGAGTGAGAGGACCAGAGAGATGACAGCGTGAGAAAGACTCAGCTGGCCATTGCTGGCTTTGAGGATAAGCCAGGGAGCACAGGCAGCCTCAGGGAGCTGGCAGAGGCAAGGAAACGGGTCTTCCCCCTAGAGCCTCCAGAGGGAGCAGTCCTGCAGCCACCATGATGACAGCCCAGTGACACCCAGTTTCTGACTTCTGACCTTTGAAACCGTAGGATAGTAGATTTGTTTTAAGCCACCAAGTTTGCGGCAATTTGTTACAACGGCAATAGGAAACTGAAACAGGAAGAAGCCTAGGAGTAGGATTGCTGGGTCCTGGAATGGGCTAAAGACTCCTTTTTTTTTTTTTTTGAGATGGAGTCTCACTCTGTTGCCCAGCCTGGAGTACAATGGCATGATCTCAGCTTATTGCAACCTCTGCCTCCTGGGTTCAAGCAATTCTCTTGCCTCAGCTTCCTGAGTAGCAGGGACTACAGGCACGCGCCACCACGCCTGGCTAATTTTTGTATTTTTAGTAGAGACGGGGTTTCACCATGTTGGCCAGGATGGTCTCGATCTCCTGACCTCGTGATCTGCCTGCCTCGGCCTCCCAAAGTACTGGGATTACAGGCGTGAGCCACAGCATCTGGCCAAAACCCTAATTCTTTGCATGGTCTCCACCACCCAGCACAGCCAGCCCTGCCAACACGTCCACCCTATCTCGTGCCACTCTCTGCCCCACCCTCCGCACTCCCACCATGCCAGCCTTCTCGCCATTCCTCAAAGGTCTCCTTTGCATGTGAGTGCCATCTGCTGAGGTGCCTTTTCCCCTTCCTGCCCTTCAGTTATCAGTTCAAAGGATATTCCCTCAAGGGATCAAGGCCAGGTTCTCTGTTTTGTACTCTCTCAGTGCTCTGTTCTTTTCCTTCAGGGCACTTGCCAAGGTTTGCCATGCCATCTTCACTTCAGTGATTATTTAACTTTGTCCCTTCACACTCCACCCTCAGACTAGAAGCTTCATGTGGGCAGGGACTGAGCCACCATGGTATCCTCAGCACTTAGTAGGCTGTGTGCCTGGCACATAGTAGGCCCACCACAGCCACTTGCTCAATGTAAGGTGAACTCTTTCTGTTTGGTAGGGAGGGGGAGTTGTCAACTGGATGCATGAGGATGTCAGAGAGCATGAGAATAGGAGGGAAGAGAAGGAAGGAAGGAGAGAGGAGAAGGGAGAAAGCGAGAGAAACTTACACCCTGGAGGCCAGGTGCGGTGGCTCATGCCTGTAATCCCAGCACTTTGGGAGGCCGAGGCGGGCATATCACGAGGTCATGAGATTGAGACCATCCTGGCTAACACGGTGAAACCCCATCTCTACTAAAAATACAAAAAATTAGCCTGTTGTGGTGGCGGGCACCTGTAGTCCCAGCTACTCGGGAGGCTGAGGCAGGAGAATGGTGTGAACCCGGGAGGTGGAGCTTGCAGTGAGCCGAGATAGCACCACTGCACTCCAATCTGGGCGACAGAGCGAGACATTGTCTTAAAAAAAAAAAAAGTAACTTACACCCTGGAGATCACCTCTGCCCTCAGCTTTAGTCTCAGGTCAGCATCTCCAGGACAAGAAGATTCTTGAAAACCATTCAAGAATCTTGAGTGGGTGGGTGGATGGATGGATGGATGGACAGATGGGATCAAACCACAGAAGGAAAATGCTGATTTCTTAGGGAGAAAGGCCCTGTATTCCTTTATAGACAACTCGATGCCTTTCCAGGGATCTTGTGATCCATGCTTACTGCCCTTCGGAACAGCTGACCCTGTCCCTCAGGCAGGAGGGACATCATAAGTAGGTGAGGTGACCAAGATTCAGAGAGGGGCAGTGAGTTGCCCAAGGTCACCAACATGTTGGAATCAGAGGGCTGGGACCCGCAACTGGAACTCTTGACTCCCCGCTCAGGGATGGGGTGAGGTAGGGTTGCCAGATTCAGCAAATCAAAAAACAGGACACACAATTAAATTTGAATTTCAGATAAACAACAAATAATTGTTTAGTATAAGTCTACCCCTAAAGATTGCAAGAGACATACTCATACTAAAAATTTACCTGTCCATCCGATATTCAAGTTTCCCTGGGCATTCTGTATTTTATCTGGGGTCGGGGTAGGGCTTCAGGGTGGTGGTGGGGATAATCCTTGCTACACTACCAAGCAGTCCTTTCTAGGGACCCTGCCCATGCTACCCACAACACAGCCTGTTTGTTCCCTGGACGGAGCTGGACACTCTCTGACCTGTTTGGCCTCCTTCCCTGTTGGCCTCTGAGGATACTCCAGCCTTCAGGCAGCAGGCCACTGTTCCCAACTTAACACATTAGAATCCCCTGCCCTGGCTGCACCCAAGGCCAATTACCTCAGAAACTCTGGGGGTTAGACATCAGGAGTTTTAAAACTCCTGATTCCAGCATACAGCTGAGGTTGAAAACCACTGTGCTGGAAGTGTTACCGGAAAGTGGTCCCAATCCAGACCCCAAGAGAGGGTTCTTGGATCTCATGCAAGAAAGAATTCAGAGCGAGTCCACAGTGCAAAAGTGGAATCAATTTTATTAAGAAAGTAAAGGCCAGGTGTGGTGGCTCACGCCTGTAATCCCAGCACTTTGGGAGGCCAAGGCGGGTGGATCGCCTGAGGTCAGGAGTTCAAGACCAGCCTGGCCAACTTGGTGAAACCCCATCTCTACTAAAAATCCAAAAATCAGCCAGGCGTGGTGGTGGGCACCTGTAATCCCAGCTATTCGGGAGGCTGAGGTAGGAGAATTTGCTTTAACCCGGGAGGCAGAGGTTGCAGTGAGCCGAGATCGTGCCACTGCACTCTAGCCTGGGCTACAGAGCGAGACTCCATCTCAAAAAAAAAGAAAGAAAGAAAGAAAGAAAGAAAGTAAAGTGGTGAAAGAACAGCTACTCTATTGACAGAGTAGGGAGTTCTCGAAAGCAATAAGAGGAACGTGTCCACCCTCGGTACAATACTCATTTATATATAGGATTTAAAAAAGATCATGGGGAGATGTGCTCTGCTACAAGGGTTTGTGATAAAGGATTACTTTTCTTAATTACTGTGTTTTGCAAGAATCGATATTATTATCTTCAAAGCAAAATTAAGAATGCTTCTGTTCTCATGGCATCAGGATATCAGGACACTCCTCTAAGTCTGGGTCTGTTTAGTAAACGTTATCAATCTGTTTCCTTAACCGTAACATCTAGAGGCTAGGAATAGCTAACTTTCTGGGAATGCAGCCCAGCAAATCCCAGCCTCATTTTCCTAGCCCTCAATCAAGATGGAGTCGCTCTGGTTCGAACGCCTCTGACAGAAGACTTGCTTCTCCGCTGTTAATGTGGAATGGGCTCCGCCTTTGCCTGTTGGAGGAGCCTCAGGAAGCTCCGCAGTCTATCCCAGCTCTCCCATTTGCAAACCTCCCTGGGATGGACCCTTCTGCCTTTGACCTTCTCATCCCTTTCTGGTTGATTCAAGGAGTTTCCAGTTCTGAGGATGACAGTTTATGTCTACCTTCAGACTCATCGGGAAAGCAGGGGTGGGAGCACCCCACTCAGGATCTGAGCCCCTGATGTACTGACCCCAGGTAGTGGGGATCTGGAGCATTGGGGAACAAAGAGCTACGTGGGGCTCCAAGGCAAAGCCCAGGCAAAAGCTGAGTTGTTCTCTGAGCTGCTGCTTTGTTCTAAGCCCAATGCCTAAGGCTGGGTTGGATCTGTCAGCTGTGGGCCCCTGCAGTGCCCTAGACTGCTCTCCAGAGTGCAGTGTCCTTGTGATTACTTGCCAGTATCTGTCTTCCCTACTAGAATCAACTTCTGGAACAAGGGACAGGTCAGTCTTGCTCCCAACTGTATCCCCAGAGCTTGGCTGCTGGCTGAAGTAGGGGCTTAATCAATATTTGTGTAACCAGTACATGAACCCTTAGCAACCATGAACTCCAATCCTACTGTTGTACAGATAAGAAAACAGAGACACTGAGAAGGGACAGGACCTGCCTCAGGTTGCACAGCATGGTGGGGGTTGAGTTAGGAATAAAACTCACGGCTCTGATTCCCACTCCAGGGCTCTTTCCACTCAAGAGCACTAGGAGCGCCCTGACTCCTATGCCCACCCTCCCCATCCCTCTCACCCAGTTCTGAGCCATCAACTTCTCCAATCAAGATAGCTCCCCAGAGGTCGGGCGCGGTGGATCACTCCTGTAGTCCCAGCACTTTGGGAGGTCAAGGCGGCAGATTGCTTGAAGTCAGGAGTTCGAGACCAGCCTGGCCAACATGGTGAAACCCCGTCTCCACTAAAAATACAAAAACTAGCCGGGTGTGATGGTAGGCGCCTGTAATCCCAGCTACTAGAGAGGCTGAGGCAGGAGAACCACTTGAGCCAGAGAGGCAGAGGTTGCAGTGAGCTGAGATCACACCACTGCACTCCAGCCTGGATGACAGAGTGAGACTTCACCTTAAAAAAAAAAAAAAGATAAAAAAGATAAGCTCACCACCCCAACACACGTACATTCTCTCTTCCCAAGGCTTCCCTGTCTGTAAAGGATCAGCGTGACCCTGGCTGTTGGCAAGGAGGTAGGCAAAAAGGGGAGGAGAACTGTATTCTGTGGGAGACACAGAAGTCCCTCTAGCCAGAAGCCTCCTCTACCTGAAAGATTCCTGGGTGAAGAGACCCTGCCAGATATGCAGGGAGCCAGGGCTTCTATTTTGATAGGCCTCACAGAGGGGGCTGAGAGTGGACTTTGCCCTCTCTCTCCTGCCTCTTATCTCTGAGAAAGGGCTGCTGTTGCCTCTAAGCTCAGAGAGCCTGCTGCACCCCCCAAGGCCAGCCATGAGTCTGGAAGGTCCCTAACTGGGATTTAGAGCTGGCTCTGAAGTGTGAATCCCTCATTTTCTAGTTGTGGGACTCTTTATGAGGCTCAGTTTCCTAATCAGGGAAATGTGTTCAATAATGTCCTCTTTGGGTGCTGTTAAGGATTCTAGGTGTGGTGCTTGGTGCACGGTAGGTGCTCAGTCGAGGTGCTTTCCCTGAGCTTTTGCCCTGGGGTACTGGCGACATTCAAAGCTGAGCTTGAGCAGCTAGCAGAAACTCAAGGCTGATCCCTTGATTGGGCAAACTGATGTCATCCCATCCTCTGCTGAGGTGTCAGCCAGAAGGTGGCCTTTTTGGTAAATTCATGAATGATGATGGCTTCCTAATGGGCCCCCAAAGGAGCCAAAGCTCCTTTCAGATACTTTTCTGCCTTGGGAAGCTGATGTCAAGAAGGATCTGCAAGCCCTTGAACTCCAGGGTGCTGAAGGCAGGTTTGTGATGGGGTCTCAAAGAACAGGACCGGCTAGAGGAGGAGGGGGAAATCCAGGAAATCTCAGGGAAGCCTGAGCTCTCAGAACCTTTTTTTTCTTAGTAGCTTTAAAAAAGAAATTGACGCAGGGCACGATGGCTCACACCTGTAATCCCAGCACTTTGGGAGGCCGAGGCGGGTGGATCACCTGAGGTCAGGAGCTCGAGACCAGCCTGGCCAACATGGTGAAACCCTGTCTCTACTAAAAATACAAAAAATTAGCCGGGCGTGGTGGCAGGTGCCTGTAATCCCAGCTACTCATGAGGCTGAGGCAGGAGAATCGCTTGAACCCAGGAGGTAGAGGTTGCAGTGAGCTGAGATCTCACCATTGCACTCCAGTCTGGGCAACAGGAGGAGACTCCGTCTCAAAAAAAAAAAAAAAAAAAAAAAAAAGAAGGAAAAGAAAAAAAAATTGATCATGCTAAAATATACATAACATTAAATTTGCCATTTTAACCTTTTTTTAAAAAAAAATTGACAGGGTATCCCTGTGTATCCCAGGCTGGAGTGTAGTGATGTCATCATAGCTCACTGCAGCCTTGAAATCCTGGACTCAAGGGATCCTCCTGCCTCAGCCTTCAGAGTAGCTGGGACTACACGGTGTGCCACCATACCTTGGCTACATTTTTATTTTTGTAAAGATATGGTCTCACCATGTTCCCCAAGCTGGACTCAAACTCCTGGCCTCAAGTGATTCTCCTGCCTTGGCCCCCCAAAGTGCTGGGATTACAGGCATGAGCCATCGCACCTGGCCCTTTTAAACATTTTTAAGTGTAGAGTTCCGGCTGGGTGCAGTGGTTCATGCCTGTAATCCCAGTATTTTAGGAAGCTGAGGTGGGAGGATCCCTTGAGCCCAAGAGTTTGATACCAGCCTGGGCAACATGGCGGGACACTGTATCTACAAAAAAAAAATACAAAAATTGTCCAGGCATGGTGATGCACACCTGTAGTCCCAGCTACTTGGGAGGCCGAGGTGGGAAGACAGCTTGATCCCAGGAGGTTGAGGCTACAGTGACCCAAGATCACACCACTGCACTCCAGCCTGAATGACAGAGCAAGACCCTGTCTCAAAAACACTTTATTGTGCTATCATTACCACCACACAACTCCAGAACTTTCTGACTTCACAAACTGAAACTCTGTTCCCATTAAACAGTAACTCCCGTTCCTCTCTCCCCCCAGCCTCAGTCACTAGGATTCTACTTTCTGTGTCCATGAATTTGACTATTCTAGATACTTCATAGAAGTGGAATCATATTATAAATATATATATATTTTTTCTTTTTTTTTTTTTTTTGAGACAGAGTTTCTTTCTGTCACCCAGGCTGGAGTGCAGTGGTGCGATCTTGGCTCACTGCAACCTCGACCTCCTGGGTTCAAGCAATTCTCCTGCCTCAGCCTCCCAAGTAGCTGGGATTACAGGCACCCGCCACCATGCATAGCTAATTTTTGTATTTTTGGTAGAGACAGGGTTTTCATCATGTTGGCCAGGCTGGTCTCGAACTCCTGACCTCAGGTGATCCACCCGCCTCGGCCTCCCGAAGTGCTGGAATTACAGGCATGAGCCACCGCGCCTGGCCTGGAATCATATAATATTTGTTCTTTGTGACTGGTTGGTTTATTTCACTTAGCATAATGTCTTCAAGATTCATCCATGTAATAGCATGTATCAGAATTTCATTCCTTTTTAAGTCTGAATAACATTCCATTGTATGTATCATATTTTCTTTTTTGTTTCTTTTTTCTTTTTTCTTTTGAGATGGAGTCTTGCTATGTTTTCCAGGCTGGAGTGCAATGGTGCAATCTCAGCTCACTATAAACTCCGCCTTCTGGGTTCAAGTGATTCTCCCACCTCCGCCTCCCTGAGTAGCTGGGATTACAAGCACCCACCATCATGCCTAGCTAAGTTTTGTATTTTTGTAGAGATGGGGTTTCACCATGTTAGCCAGGCTGGTCTTGAACTCCTGACCTCAGGTGATCTGCTTGCCTCGGCCTCCCAAAATGCTGGGATTATAGGTGTGAGCCACTGCCCCTGGCCATATGTATTGTATTTTCATCCATGTCTGAAAGCCACATTTCATTCATTGATGGACGTTTGGGTTGTTTCCACCCTTTGGCTATTGTGATTAATGCTACTATAAACATACGTGTACAAATGCCTGTTCAAGTCCCTGCTTTCAATTCTTTTGGACATATACTCAGAAGTGGAATTGCTGGATTTTATGATAATTCTATGTTTAGTTTTCTAAGGAACAACTCTACCATTTTCCACAAGGGCTACGTCATTTTATATTCCCACTGACGGGCACAAAGTTTCCAATTTCTCCATATCCTTGCCAACATTTGTTATTTCCTGTTTTTTGTTTTGTTTTGCTTTGCTTTGTTTTTTTTTTAATTTTATTTATTTATTTATTTATTTATTTATTTGAAACAGAGTCTTGTTCTGTCTCCCAGGCTGGAGTGCAGTGGCGCGATCTTGGCTGAGTGCAAGCTCCACCTCCCAGGTTCATGCCATTCTCCTGCCTCAGCCTCCCGAGTAGTTGGGACTACAGGCGACCACCATCATGCCCAGCTAATTTTTTTGTATTTTTAGTAGAGACAGGGTTTCACCGTGTTAGCCAGGATGGTCTCGATCGCCTCACCTCACAATCTGCCCGCCTCGGTCTCCCAAAGTGCTGGGATTACAGGCGTGAGCCACCGCGCCCGGCCTTAATTTTATTTATTTATTTATTTATTTTTTGAGACGGAGTCTCACTCTGTCACCCAGGCTGCAGTGCAGTGGTGCAGTCTCAGCTCACTGCAACCTTTGCCTCCCAGGCTCAAGCGATTCCCCTGCCTCAGCCTCCTGAGTAGCTGGGATTACAGGCACCCGCCACCATGCCAGCTAATTTTCTTAGTTTTAGTAGAGATGGGGTTTCACCATGTTGCTTAGGCTGGTCTCGAACTCCTGTCCTCAGGCGATCCACCCGCCTTGGCGACCCAAAGTGCTCGGATTACAGGCGTGAGCTACCACGATGGCCTGCTTTGTTTTCTAATAGACATCCTGATGGGTATGAAGTGGTGTCTCATTGTGGTTTTGATTTGCATTTCTCTAATGATTAATGATGTTGAACATCTTTTCTTGTACTTACTGGCCATTTTTAAGAAAGATTTTTTCTTTTTTATTAAAGTTACACACTAATCCTAAGTGAAGGGCTTGATTAATTTATTTTATTTTATTTATTTATTTATTTATTTTGAGATGGAGTCTTGCTCTGTTGCCCAGGCTGGAGTGCAGTGGCACGATCTTGACTCACTGCAACCTCCGCCTCCCAGGTTCAAGTGATTCTTCTGCCTCAGCCTCCCAAGTAGCTAGAACTAGAGGCGAGCGCCACCACACCCAGCTAATTTTCTTTGTATTTTTAGTAGAGATGGGGTTTCACCATGTTGGACAGGCTGGTCTCAAACTCCTGACCTCACGTGATTGGTCTGCCTTGGCTTCCCAAAGTGCTGGGATTACAGGCGTGAGCCACCGCGCCTGGCCAATGAATTTATTTCACATATGTATACACCCAGATATTCAGATCTTTCCTTCCTTCCTTCCTTCTCTTTCTTTCTTTCTTTCTTTCTTTCTTTCTTTCTTTCCTTTCCTTTCTTTCTTTTTTTTTTTTTGAGACGGAGTCTCACTCTGTCACCCAGACTGGAGTGCAGTGGTGCAATCTCGGCTCATTGCAACCTTTGCCTCCCAGGTTCAACCGATTCTTCTGCCTCAGCCTCCCAAGTAGCTGGGATTACAGGTGCCCACCACCACGCCCAGCTAATTTTTGTATTTTTAGTAGAGATGGGGTTTCACCATGTTGGCCAGGCTGATCTCAAACTCCTGACCTTGTGATCTGCCCACCTCGGCCTCCCAAAAGTGCTGGGATTACAGGCGTGAGCCACCGTGCCCGGCCACACCAGGTATTTCTCAGGAAACACACACACAAGTGTTTTTCTGCCCTCTCAACACAACCACAATCAACACCACAGAATACTTCCGTGACCAAATGCGTGGGTTTTTTTCCCCCACACACCAAGCAGCAGACACTGGCTGGGTGTCCTCTCATTCAGTTCAATTCTGGTGCTGTTTACCTGGAGATAGCATCACATCCCACAGGGTTAGAACTCAGTCCCATCAGACTGTCCCCACTTCAGACACCTGCAAGTCCAAGCCTCCAGAACTTCTGACCGACTGGTTTCAAGTTGGGGTTCCCCGACCTCCTCGATTAATTTGCTACAGCGGCTCGCAGAACTCAGGGAAACTTACGTTAACCAGTTTATTATAGAGGATTACAAAGGACACAGATAAAGGGATGCATTGGATGAGGTATGGGCTCTGAGCTTCCACGCTTTCCCCTAGGCGCCACTCTACAGGAAACTCCAGGTGTTCAACTGTCCGAAATCCTGTCCTTTTGGCCTTTTGTAGGAGCCATGGGAAAAGTTCCCCTTCACCCACTGAAGGTTTGCTGAAAAATCAACTGACAAAAAGCTGATTAATAAGAGAAAAGGCGGCCAGGTGGAGTGGCTCACGCCTGTAATCCCAGCACTCTGGGAGGCCAAGGCGTGTGGATCACCCAAGGTCATGAGATGAGTTCGAGACCAGCCTGGCCAACATAGTGAAACCCCCATCTCTACTAAAAATACAAAAATTAGCCCGGTGTGGTGGCACATGCCTGTAATCCAAGCTACTCCAGAGACTGAGGCAGGAGAATCGCTTGAACCCAGGAGGTAGAGGTTGCAGTGAGCCAAGATCACGGCCACTACACTCCAGCATGGGCAACAGAGCCAGACTCCATCTCAAAAAAAAAAAAAAAAAGGAATGTAATCCCCAATGTTGGAGGTGGGGTCTGGTGGGAGGTGCTTGGGTGGATCCCTCATGGCTTGCTTCTGTCCTCTTGATAGTGAGTGAGTGAGTTCCCCCAAAATCTGTTTTTTGGGGGTTTTCTTGTTTTTTTTTTTTTTTAGGGGGACAGAGTCTTGCTCTCTTGCCCAGGCTGGAGTGCAGTGGCATGATCTCGGCTCACTGCAACCCCCACCTCCTGGGTTCAAGAGAGTCTCCTAGCTCAGCCTCCCAAGTAGCTGGAACCACAGGCACCTGCCACCACGCCTGGCTAATTTTTGTATTTTTTTTTTTTAGTAGAGACGGGGTTTCACTATGTTGCCCAGGCTGGTCTCGAACTCCTGACCTCAAGTGATTTACCTGCCTTGGCCTCCCAAAGTGCTGGGATTATAGGCATGGGCCATTGCACTCGGCCTCTGTTCTTTCATAATGTGTGGCAACTCCTTTCCCCTTGCTCCCCCTCTGGCCATGTGATGTGCCTGCTCCCACTTCACCTTCCACCATGAGAAAACCTCCCTGAAGCCTCATGAGAAGCTGAGCAGGTGCCAGCACCATGCTTCCTGTAAAGTCTGCAGAACCATGAGCCAATTAAACCCCTTTTCTTTATCACCTATGCAGCATCAGGTATTTCTTCACAGCAATGCAATAACGGCCTAACACACTCCCCAACCATGTGTGAGGGTTTCAGTTGCGTACATCCTTGCCAACAGTTGGTATTGTCATTCCTTTCAATTTTGCCAATTTTCCAGCCACCTTTTGAAGACTGTAGCCCCAACCTGCTCCTTTTGTTACCGGAAAGGGGCCCCGGTCCAGACCCCAAGGCAGGGTTCTTGGATTTTGTGCAAGAAAAAATTTGAGGCGAATCCATAGAGTAAAGTGAAGGCAAGTTTATTAGAAAAATAACAGAATAAAAGGGCTGCCGGTTAATCATTTTTATGGTTCTTTTTCTTTTTTTTTTTCTTTTTTTTTGAGACAGAGTCTTGCTCTGTTGCTCAGGCTGGAGTGCAGTGGCGAGATCTCGGTTCACTGCAAGCTCCGCCTCCTGGGTTCACGCCATTCTCCTGCCTCAGCCTCCCGAGTAGCTGGGACTACAGGCACCCGCCACCATGCCCGGCTGATGTTTTTTATTTTTTTAGTAGACATGGGGTTTCACCGTGTTAGCCAGGATGGTCTCTATCTCCTGAGCTCGTGATCCTCCCACCTCAGCCTCCCAAAGTGCTGGGATTACAGGCGTGAGCCGCCATGCCCGGCCTCTTTATTTTTTTTGAGATGGAGTTCCGCTCTTGTTGCCCAGGCTGGAGTGCAATGCTGTGATCTCACTCACTGTAACCTCTGCCTCCCAGGTGCAGGAGATTCTCCTGCCTCAGCCTCCCGAGTAGCTGGGATAACAGGCACCCGCCACCACACAAGGCTAATTTTTTGTATTTTTAGGAGAGACAGGGTTTCACCATGTTGGCCAGGCTGGTCTCGAACTTCTGACCTCAGGTGATCCATCCACCTCAGCCTCCCGAAGTGCTGGGATTAGAGGAGTGAGCCACCATGCCCAACTGGTTATTTCTTGAGGATATGCTAAATAAGGGGTGGATTATTCATGCCTCCCCTTTTTAGACCATATAGGGTAACTTCCTGACATTGCCATGGCATTTGTAAACTGTGTACCAGTGAGGGCCACCAGAGGTCAGCCTCATTGCCATCTTGGTTTTAGTGGGTTTTAGCCGGCTTCTTTACTGCAGACCGTGTTATCAGCAAGGTCTTTATGACCTGTATCTTGTGTCAACCTATCTCATCCTATGACTTAGAATGCCTAACCATCTGGGAATGCAGCCCAGTAGATCTCAGCCTTATTTTACCCAGCCCCTATTCAAGATGGAGTTGCTCTGGTTCAAACGCCTCTGACACTTCATCCATCCCTCGCAACGGCCCCACTGGGAACAGGTGATTGCCCTGGACTGACCTGCAATTGTCCAGCGCCTCCATTTGGGCTGGACAGGAGGTCAGCTAGCCTCTTGGTGGGGGCTGGCCTAAGCTCTGCCCCATGGAGTTGCTCCATAATGAGTGGCACTAGGATGGCCCAATCAAAGCCTTTTCTCAGCACATATACCAGCAGGGAGTAGGTGACATGGATCAGGACTGTGGTAGTGACCCTGAGCCACCCCAGGGGGTTGAGCTGGGTCCTGGGGGATTCTGGCGCTGGTGCATCAGTCACTTCTTTCTTGCCTCTTCCTAGTTTCCACCTATGCCTTTTACTCAGCATTGGCCATAAGTGCCCCAAGCACTGTCGCTGGAAAGCATTTGGCTTCTACAGATGTAATGTTTTTCAAATGAATGTGGATGCCACTGTGATTAATAACATTCAAATTCACTGAAAGCATTTCTGAATTCAAAGTAGTCTTTTGTGCTGTATTTTCTCAGCCAATGAATACATTAAAATACAGCTATTAACAAATGGGATGGAAATAGGTGAAGCTGTTGAAATTTAAGAGTTCAGAAACAAACAGAGTTCAGATGGGCCCTGGATGTAAACCAACATGGCCATTTTGGAGTTTCCATTGGGACAGGATGCTTCTGATCTTCCACCTCCCTGGAGTCACCCTTCCTTGTAAGATCCAGTGAAAATGGCTGTCTCTGTCCTTCATACCAGGGAAGGCTAGCATCCTTCTCAATGTTTTTGAGAATCTCCAGTGAATGCCTATGATCTCCTGTTACCTCTTAGCCCAGATTTCTTCAACCCCGCCCCAGCTCCCTCCATACTGCTGCGATTTCCCTTCGCAATGCTTCACTAGAGCACAGGTCTGGCCCTTGCTAGTGGGGTGATCAAACAGGGGCCACAGGAGCCAGACTGCCTGGGTTCAAAGTCTTGCTCTGCAACTGATGAGCTGATTGGCCTTGGGCAATGGTCTCCATCTCTCTAGGCTTTGGTTTTCTCATTATAAACTGGGGGTAAGTGTGGCCCCTACCTCTTAGGCCTTGCTGCAGGTCACATGAGTTAGTGTGAGTAAAGCATCAGCAAGTTAGTTAGGGAATATGAGCCATCATTTTTATTGATCCCCCTCCAAGCACTATAGTGTGTAACTGACCTTTTTTTTTTTGAGACCGAATCTGGCTCTGTCACCCAGTGTAGTGCAGTGGTGCAATCTCTGCTCACTGCAACCTCTGTCTCCCAGGTTCAAGCAATTCCCCTGTCTCAGTCTCCCAAGTGCTGGGACTACAGGTGTGCACCACCATGCTTGGCTAATTTTTGTATTTTTAGTAGAGACAGGGTTTCACCATATTGGTCAGGCTGGTCTCGAACTCCTGACCTCAGGTGATCCACCCATGTTGGCCTCTCAAAGTGGTGGGGTTACAGGCATTAGCCAAGGCACCCAGCCTGTGTAACTGACTTTTATGGACGAATTGGGAACAGCAGAGGGGGGATTACAGATTTACAGTTTAGCACCTTTTGTCTGTCCCCACCCCAGGAAGCGTCTCAGCAGCCTGCCATCTCCTCTGGCCTTGGCCTGTTGCCATTTCTTGGGGGCTGCTCACTTCCCACCTCTCTGGACCCTTCTCCCAACTGTCCTCTAAGTTCCACAGCCTCCCGCCCGCCTCTCAGCCACCAGAAGAATATGCAGATTGGTTTTACGGGGCACCTGCATTCTGGTCTCAGCTGCTGTAATTACAGAAAAGGCTCTAAGACAATGACACCCAATGAGGCCAAGACGGCCCCTCAGAGGAGTCTGGGAAATCTGCAAGGGCATTTTTCTTTGTCAAAATGGGAGACAGAGACCTGTTTTTATATAAACACAAAATAAATAACTTTTGCATGCTTTCAACATACACAGAATTTTCTAGGAACATGACTATTGTGTATACAAGAGAAGATTGTCCTTTGTTTTGCTTGGAATTTGGCCAAGACTCGTTGCCCATTTCATGTCACTGGCAACAGCACCGCCTGTGGGGTCTGAATCACCATCACAACTACCTGTGTCCATCTGCCTTGTGGCCGCCATGGTCTCCGTGGCCCCACCTCTAGGAGCAAGTGTGGGGCCACCTCATCTCTGGCTGTAGTCAGCCTGCAGATTTTCTTTCTTTTTCTTTTTTCTTTTTTTTTTTTTTTTTTTTGAGATGGCGTCTCACTCTGTTGCCCAGGCTGGAGTGCAGTGGCACAATCTTGGCTCGCTGCAACCTCCATCTCCCAGGTTCCAGCGATTCTCCTGCCTCAGCTTCCCAGGTAGCTGGAATTACAGGCGCCCACCACCGCGCCTGGCTAATTTTTGTAGTTTTAGGAGAGACAGGGTTTCACCATGTTGGCCAGGCTGGTCTCGAACTCCTGACCTCAGGTGATCCGCCCACCTCAGACTTCCATAGTGCTAGGATTACAGGCATGAGCCACCACGCCCAGGCTGCCTGCAGATTTTCATCCTGAAATTTATATTATTTTATTAGAAATTACCCTCCTTTTATTTCTCCTTCATATTATAGTTAGGATATCATTGATTTTTTTTTTAAAGCATGTGTGAGGGTAGGTTAGTTTATTTATGAATTTCATTTCAGCTTGGTGAAGGGAACATTACAAAATATTTGTAATGGGGGGCGGGGGTTGGGTCTGACTTCTCTACCTTTGCATAATTCAAGAAATCCATTTCTGAGCTCTCGGCAACCTGGAGTGATTTGCGTCTGAGATGAAGTGCCCAGAGGTGCAGGCCGCTGCTGCCCTTTAGTCTTTGGAATCGCTTTTTCCTCTTCCCTATAAGTGTTCTGGGTTCACGACCCCATTGCTAATCTCTTGCTCCCAGGCCTCTGGCCTGGACCTGTCCTCCACAGAGTGGCCCCAGGAGATGCTCCCAGCATATCAATACTTCTCAGCTTGAAACACTCATGTGGCCCCACGTTCCCCATGATCTACGTTTGTCCCTTGAGCTATGTGCAGGGCACAGCATCAGTTCAGCTCACTCCTCCCCTCTCATTTTGCATCCAGCCTCCTCTCCTTTGCCCATGCTGTTCCCTCTGTCTGGAATGCTGCCTCACCACCCTGCACCCCTGCACCCTCTCCTCCCTGCACCCCCTGTACCCTCACCACCCTGCACCCCCTGCACCCTCACCACCCCGCACCCCCCTGCATTCTCACCATCCCTCACTCCCTGCACCCTCACCACCCCGCGCCCCTGCACCCTCACCACCTCGCACTCCCTGCACCCTCACCTCCCCGCACCCCCTGCACTCTCACCACCCCGCACCCCTGCACCCTCACCACCCCACACCCCCTGTACCTTCACCTCCATTTCTGACTGTCCCCAAGGACTTCCTATTCTTCTCTTCATTAGAAACTCAGTCCTGAAGTTCCTGGGTCTTGAAGATGCCTCTAGAAAATCAGCTTCTAGACCAGGCGCAGTGGCTCACACCTGTAATTCCAGCACTTTGGGAGGCCGAGGCGGGCAGATCACCTGAAGTCAGGAGTTCAAGACCAGCCTGGCCAACATGGCGAAACCCCATCTCTACAAAAATACAAAACTTAGCCGGGCGTGGTAGTGTGCACCTGTAATCCCAGCTACTCAGGAGGCTGAGTGGAAGAATTGCTTGAACCTGGGAGGCGGAGGTTGCAGTGAGCTGACCAAGATCATGCCACTGCACTCCAGCCTAGGCAACAGAGCGAGACTCTGTCTCAAATAGAAAGAAAAGAAAATCAGCTTCCACCTGAGCGTGGAGTTGGGCAGGGGAGAAGGGTGTGGGGAAAAGCAAGAGAGATCAGATTGTTACTGTGTCTGTGTAGAAAGAAGTAGACATAGGAGACTCCATTTTGTTATGTACTAAGAAAAATTCTTCTGCCTTGAGACTCTGTTAATCTATAACCTTACCCCCAACCCCGTGCTCTCTGAAACATGTGCTGTGTCAACTCAGAGTTAAATGGATTAAGGGCGGTGCAAGATGTGCTTTGTTAAACAGATGCTTGAAGGCAGCACGTTCCTTAAGAGTCATCACCACTCCCTAATCTCAAGTACCCAGGGACACAAAAACTGCGGAAGGCCGCAGGGACCTCTGCCTAGGAAAGCCAGGTATTGTCCAAGGTTTCTCCCCATGTGATAGTCTGAAATATGGCCTCGTGGGAAGGGAGAGACCTGACCGTCCCCCAGCCCGACACCCGTAAAGGGTCTGTGCTGAGGAGGATTAGTATAAGAGGAAGGAACACCTCTTGCAGTTGAGACAAGAGGAAGGCATCTGTCTCCTGCCTGTCCCTGGGCAATGGAATGTCTCGGTATAAAACCCGATTGTACGTTCTATCTACTGAGATAGGGAAAAACCGCCTTAGGGCTGGAGGTGGGACATGCGGGCAGCAATACTGCTTTGTAAAGCATTGAGATGTTTATGTGAATGCATACCTAAAAGCACAGCACTTAATCCTTTACCTTGTCTATGATGCAAAGACCTTTGTTCACATGTTTCTCTGCTGACCCTCTCTCCACAATTGTCTTGTGACCCTGACACATCCCCCTCTCGGAGAAACACCCACGAATGATCAATACTAAGGGAACTCAGAGGCTGGCGGGATCCTCCATATGCTGGACGCTGGTTCCCCGGGCCCCCTTATTTCTTTCTCTATACTTTGTCTCTGTGTCTTTTTCTTTTCCAAGTCTCTCGTTCCACCTTATGAGAAACACCCACAGGTGTGGAGGGGCAACCCACCCCTACAGAAGGGGCCACTGGGGCAGGGAAGAGACAGATGTTGGATTTTAGAGGATCCGGTAAAGGATGCTACTCTTCTCCATCCAAGTTTGAAAGCGACTGAGAGAGACACACAACAGTCAGACAGAGAGAGATCAAAATATTTTCCTGTGACTTAAGAGCAATGGCCAAGCTGGCTTCCTGCTATCCTACCCTTGAACTTGACATTCACCCACTGAAAATGCCCAGTCCCTGGCTCAGTGGGGATACCAGAGGCTGCTAACTGCCAGGCAGCAACAGACCAATAAAGGCTTCCAAAAGAGATGGTGCGCTGGGCTGGGCATGCCCAGGAGCTCCTCCCACGCTTGGCCATCAGGTAAGTCACTTCTCTGCAGGGGAGAAGGAGGGAGTGAACACATGGCGTTGCTGTAATTCAATGGACACTTCCCCATGGAAGCACCATGATGTCGGGGAGGGAGGGGAGGAAGGAAGGGCGGTGCTCAGAGGGGAGGAAAGCTGTGACCCGAGGTGCCATTGCCTGGTTAATGTTCTTGGCAAGTCCTGGATGGGGCAGGAGCTGAAAGAGGAAGCTGAGGCCACAGGAAGCTGTCAGAGCCCGGGACTATGCCAAGAACTTCTCTACTTTAAAATAACTTTTGGCTGGGTGTGATAGCTCATGTCTGTAACCCCAACACTTTGGGAGGCTGAGGCAGGTAGGTTGCTTAAGGTCAGGAGTTCGAGACCAGCCTGACCGACATGGTGAAACCCCGTCTCTACTAAAAATGCAAAAATTAGCTGGGCGTGATGGCATGCACCTGTAGTCCCAGCTACTCGGGAGGCTGAGGCAGGAGAATGGCTTGAACCCAGGAGGTGGAGGTTGCAGTGAGCCAAGATTGTGCCACTGAACTCCAGCCTGGGTGACAGAACGAGACTCCATCTCGAAAAATAGTGAAATTAAATAACTTTTATTATCAGCAAAGCTGTGTAGGGGTAGAAAGGTGTGCTAACTTTCCTCATTCATCATAAAGGTCATGGCTGACACTCCTATAATAAAAGACTGGTTAACAAGAGGAAAGCAAAACAAATTTATTTAATCAAAGTTTTACAAGACACAGGAGCCTTCAGAATGAAGACCCAAAGATCCAGGGAAACCTATCTATTTTTATGCTTAGATTCTATGCAAAGCAGACAGCCGTGTAGAAAGTGATCGGACAAAAGAGCATGATTCATGGGAATAGACTGAGCGCGGATACCCAGCAAGTCCTGTCTATTGAGATGCTTCTTGGCCTCTCTGTACGGCACTCCTTCCAGCAGGTATCGGGCAGGACCCTTTCTGGAATAGGGGTCTTCAGGGGAGAAGGGAGAGAGTGACCCTTTCTAGGTTTTATGGCTTGCTTTAGGGGAGAGGGGTTCTAGTTTCTATGACTGGGGAAAAAGAATTCTGGTGTCTATGGATTCCTCTGGGGGCGAAAGAGGGGCAGGAGACAGGAGGATGGGAGAACGTCAGAGAGAGAGTTGACTTTTGAGACCTTCCAGTTTCTTTAGTTCAAAGTACTCAGCCTGCCATAGTGCCATACTTTGGAGTACCGTTTCTGAGCCCCAACAGCTGTGCACGTACATTAGAGAAAGCTGGAAGTTACAGATGAGCAAAAATAAGAAAACAAAACCACTCTATTCCTACCATCTAGGGAGTATCCTCATTGTCTATCCTCCCATATATATATATATATATAAATTTTTTTTTTTTTTTGTGAGACAGAGTCTTCTCTGTCACCCAGCTGGAGTACAGTGGTGTGATCCTGGCTCACTGAAACCTCCACCTCCCGGGTTCAAGCGATTCTCCTGCCTCAGCCTCCCAAGTAGCTGGGATTACAGGCACATGCCACCACACCCAGCTAATTTTTGTATTTTTTTAATAGAGACGGGGTTTCACCATGTTAGCCAGGCTGGTCTCCAACTCTTGACCTCAAGTGATCCGCCCGCCTCGGCCTCCCAAAGTGCAGGGATTACAGGCATGAGCCACCGCACCCGGCCCCGAATCTCTTTTTATGCCTATGTAATTTTTTATTATTTTTTTAGAGGCAGGGTCTCACTATGTTGCCCAGGCTGGTCTCAAACTCCTGGGCTCAAGTGAGCTGCTTGCCTCAGCTTCCCAAAGTGTTGGGATTACAGGCATGAGCCTCAGCGCCCAGCCCTGCATATGTAATATTTTTGTGTTTTGTTTGTTTGTTTTTCTGAGACAGAGTCTCGCTCTATTGCCCAGGCTACAGTACAGTGGTGCGATCTTGGCTCACTGAAACCTCCACTTCCCAGGTTCCAGTGATCCTCCTGCCTCAGCCTCCCTAGTAGCTGGGACTACAGGCCCTTGCCACCATGCCCGGCTAATTTTTGTATTTTAGCAGAGACGGGGTTTTACTGTGTTGGCCAGGATGGTCTTGAACTCCTGACCTCAAGAGATCCACTTGCCTCAGCCTCCCAGAGTGCTGGGATTACAGGCATGAGCCACTGTGCCTAGGCATATGTAATTTTAAAAATCAAAATGAGATCATGCTGTCCTTGTCAGTTATCTCAGCCTCTCCCTGTCAATACATCTCCATCTTATCTAATGCTCAGCCCACATTCAAATTCTCTCATTGCTCCTAAAATGTCCTTTATGCTGGCACCTGAAAATGGGAGTGCAGTCAAGGACCCTGCAACGCCTGTGGTTGGATGCCCTTAAGTCTCTTTTAGTCTGGCAAGTCCTTTTTTATGACAATGACATGTCATAAAACTGGACTTGTTGTTTGCAAAATGCCCCACCTTCAGGGTTTATTGTGTTGTTTTTCTCTTGTTTCATTTCTTCCTTAGTCTCCTGTATTTCTGGTAAACTGGAAATTATTGGACCCAAGTTAGGCATTTTGGGCAAAAAGACATCATGGGTGATGGTGGTATGCCACGCAGCATGACAGCAGAAGCACCTTCACATCATGAGTGATACTGAGCTAGGGGGATGGTTTCCTGAAGGACTGGATTGGAGGCCTTCCTGGCTAGAAGGCCCTTGCAAGCTCCTTGCTCTTATTTTACAGACATGGAAACGGAGGACCTGAGAGCAGCCTCCTGGAGCACAAGCCTTTGCAGTTTATAGAGGGTCTTCTTGAACCTGCAGGGGCTTCTCCACAGGCCCAAGATTCAGTTTTGATTTCTTTTTTCCTTTCTTTTTTTTGTTTTGAGATGGAGTTTCGCTCTTGTTGCCCAGGCTGGAGTGCAATGGCACAATCTCGGCTCACCGCAACCTCCGCCTCCCAGGTTCAAGCGATTCTCCTGCCTCAGCCTCCCGAGTAGCTGGGATTATAAGCATACACCACCACACCCGGCTAATTTTGTGTTTTTAGTAGAGACAGGCTTTCTCCATGTTGGTCAGGCTGGTCTCGAACACCCAACCTCAGGTGATCCGCCCACCTCAGCTTCCTAAAGTGTTGGGATTATAGGCGTGAGCCACTGCGCCTGGCGGAGTTTTGATTTCTGTGTTAAGGAAACTGACACTCCAAGGGTGAAGTGACCACAGCTGGGACATGCTCTCCGTTTCCTCTGTGCCAGGCCCCGGGGTTCTGCCTGACCTTCTGCAGCAGGAGAGGCCTCGTGTATCTGGCTCTTGGGTTATCAGGGCGTGCTCTGGCTCCAGGGAAGCCCAGCACCTGTCCTTGCCTTTCAGAGGGACGGGCCTTCTCTCTGGGCTGGGGGCGGGGAGGGGACACAGCTGTCTGGGCCCACAAATCTGCTGACTCAGCAGGTCTCAGGTTTCCCTGTGAGAGGGAGGTGGCCTTTTTGCAGGCAGCAGAGGACACAGTGGGAGGCTCTGGGGCTCTGAAGGTGGCCCCCGGCTTTGTCTGTCCTGCTGCTCCCTGGTTCTGCTTCCTGACTCAGGAGTAAACTGAGTCTCAGAGAGCCTGGAAAGCAACTGGCCCTGGACACACAGCCAGATATAGCAGAGCTGGTTGTGCCCAAGCCATATGGCTTGACTTCACATCGCAACCCAGGGCAGCTTCCATTGCGCCCCTGCCCGGCAAACCAACCTGGGGGAGGTCCCCTCTGGCCAACCAGTCCCCAGCCCATTAAGAAGCCAGGTGAAGTAGGGCCAGGCGCAGTGGCTCACGCCTGTAATCCCAGCGCTTTGGGAGGTGGAGGCGGGTGGATCACCTAAGGTCAGGAGTTCGAGACCAGCCTGACCAACATGGAGAAACCCTGTCTCTACTAAAAATACAAAAAAAAAAAAAAAAAATTAGCTGGGCATGGTGGCGCAGCCTGTAATCTCAGCTACTCGGGAGGCTGAGGCAGGAGAATAGCTTGAATCCAGGAGGCGGAGGTTGTGGTGAGCCAAGATCGCGCCATTGCACTCCAGCCTGGGCAACAAGAGCGAAACTCGGTCTCAAAAAATAAAAATAAAAATAAAAAAGAAGCCAGGTGAAGTAAAGAGGGCACCGGGTGAACTCCAATCACAACCCAGCCTGCCTTCCACCTAGCCAGGCCTGTTCACACAGGCATTCATTGACATTCATTGCTGCCCAATGTGGGCCAAGCTCCCACTAAATGTGGGGGATATACAGCCGGGCACAGTGGCTCATGTCTGTCTAATCCCAGGACTTTGGGAGGCTGAGGTGGGCGGATTCACGAGGTCAGGAGTTCAAGACCAACCTGACCAACATGGTGAAACCCCGTCTCTACTAAACATACAAAAAATTAGCCGGGCGTGGTGGCGGGCACCTGTAATCCCAGCTACTTGGGAGTCTGAGGCAGGAGAATTGCCTGCACCTGGCAGGCGGAGGTTGCAGTGAGTTGAGATCACGCCACTGCACTCCAGCCTGGGCAACAGAGTGAGACTCTGTCTCAAAAAAATAAAAAATAAAAAGATTTAGAATCAGACAGAATTATTTTCATACTTGGCTCAGTGACTCACATATTTTGTGACCTTGGACAAGTCATTTGACCTCTCTTAATCTCAGTTCCATTATCCAAAAATAGTGATAAAATTTGCTGGTTGGTTTGTTGAGAGAGGTAAATACACGTAGAGTACTTAATAACCGAAGCTCTTGCTTATATGATGCTTACCATGTGCCAGGCACTGTTCTATGCATTACACAAAGATTTATTCAATCTGTACAACAGAGGTAGGTACTATTATTTTCATTCTCATTTTACAGATTAGGATCCTGAGACCCGGAGAAGTTAAGCAACCTGTCCAAGTTCACACAACATGTAAGTGGTGCAGCTGGGCTTCAAATTCGGCAGGAAGTCTGGTTTCAAAAGAAAGTAATGTTTGTGGGCCCAGGCATGGTGGCTTATGCATGTAATCCCAGTGCTTTGGGAGGCTGAGGCAGGAGGATCACTTGAGGGCTGAAATTTGAGACCAGCCTGGGCAACACAGCAACACCTTGTCTCTACAAAAAATTTAAAGATTAGCTAGGCTCGGTGGCACACACCTGCAATCCCAGCTAATCAGGGGGCTGAGGTGGGAGGATCCCTTGAGCCCAGGAGCCCAAGGCTGCAATGAGCTATGATCACACCCTTGCCCTCCAGCCTGGGAGACAGAGTGATGAGACCCTGTCTCGAAAAATTTTTTTTTAAAAAAAAGAACAATGCTTGTACGTCCAGGCACGGAGGCTCACGCCTGTAATCCCAGCACCTTGGGAGGCCGAGGCAGGTGGATTACTTGAAGTCAGGAGTTCGAGACCAGCCTGTCCAACATGGCAAAACTCCATCTCTACTAAAAATACAAAAATTAGCCAGGGCCGTGTGCGGTGGCTCACGCCTGTAATTCTAGCACTTTGGGAGGTCAAGGCAGGTGGATCACCTGAGGTCAGGAGTTCAAGACCAGCCTGGCCAACATGGTGAAACTTTGTCTCCACTAAAAATTCAAAAATTAGCCAGGCGTAGTGGCAGGCGCCTGTAATCCCAGCTACTTGGGAGGCTGAGGCAGGAGAATCGCTTGAACCCGGGAGGCGGAGGTTGCAGTGAGCCAAGATTGTGCCACTGCACTCCAGCCTGGGTGACAGAGTGAGACTCTATCTCAAAAAAAAAAAAAAAGAAAAAAGAAAAATGCTTGTAATCACTGTGCTTAGACTATGGCCTGGCCATAACCCTTGTAAAGGCTAGATGCTAACATCGGGTTCCAGAAGGGAAATGTTCCCTGTCCACTCACTCTCCTCCACTGTGCTAGGCTCCTTAAGTTCTCTGAGGTCAAAGGGCTGATATGTCTGTGCACAGCACAGTTTGAGAAGGTATATTAGGTAACTAATGCTGTGATAATGCTGTACGTCACCCCAAAGCTCAGTGGCTTAAATCAGCAATCATCTATTCGCAGGCCCACAGGCCTGCAACTTGGTCGGACTTGGCTGTGTGGCTTTGCTGCAGATGGTGGGTCCAGCTCAGCCCAGCTGCATGTCTCACCCTGGGGCCCGATAATAGTCAAGGATCTCCAGAGAAATGGAACCGATAGTGTGTATGTGTATACAGATGAGGAGATTTATTATGAAAATTGGCTCGCGTGATGATAGAGGCCAAGAAGTCCCACGATCTGCCGTCTGCAAGCTGAGGACCAGGAAAGCTAGTCATATATGTAATTCAGACTGAATCTGAAGGCCCAAGAACCAGGAGCACGTGGATGTCCCAGCTCAAGAAGAGACAGAGACTTCTCCCTTCCTCTGCCTTTCTGTTGTATTCAGGCACTTAATGGGACTGGGTGCTGCCCACCCCTTTTGGCGAGAACAACCTTCTTTTATTTATTTATTTATTTTCTGAAATGGAGTCTCGCTCTGTCACCTAGGCTGGAGTGCAGTGGCGCGATATTGGCTCACTGCAACCTTTGCCTCCCAGGTTCAAGAGATTCTCCTGCATCAGCCCCCCGAGTAGCTGGGATTACAGGCATGCACCACCATGCCCTGCTAATTTCTGTATTTTTAGTAGAGATGGGGTTTCGCCATATTGGCCAGGCTAGTCTCCAACTCCTGACCTCAAGTGATCCACCTGCCTCAACCTCCCAAAGTGCTGGGATCACAGATGTGAGCCACCACGCCTGGCCTAAGAGCAACCTTCTTTACTCAGTCCATTGATTAAAATGCTATTCTTTTCCAGAAACACTCTCACAGACACGCCCAGAAATAATACCAGCTATCTGGATACCCTTAGCCCAGTTAAGCCTATAAAATTAACCATCACAGGCCTGGACTGAAGGGGCAGCAGCAGCCATCTGGGAGGTATTTATTCTTCCAGTGGCTACAGCAAAAGCATAAGGAACCAGGAAAGCTAGTTTCAGCTTCTGTTCACGTCTGAACAGCAAGTCCTGGCAAGTCACATGATCAAGCTGAAAGTCTAGAAGAAGAGAGTACACTCCATCCACAAGGAGGCCACGGTTGATGGGTAAAATGCTAAACACCACTACAGGGTAATGAAGAATTGGGATCAAGAACTCAAACTTTCACAGAAGGGAAGGGCCCAGGGCTGGGCAACCCAGCCTGTGGCCAGATATCAGGGTGGGAACTCTCTAGAAGCCAAGAGTGGCCCCGAGCTCCTTCCAGTTTTGGAAACTCCTGGGTTTTATTGTTTTTTTTGTTGGTTTGTTTGTTTTTTTTTGGAGTCTCACTCTGTTGCCCAGGTTGGAGTGCAATGGCGCAACCTCTGCTCACCGCAACCTCCTCCTCCCAGGTTCGAGGGATTCTCCTGCCTCAGCTTCCCGAGTAGCTGGGACTACAGGCGTGCACCACCACACCCGGCTAATTTTTGTATTTTTAGTAGAGACGGGGTTTCACCATGTTGGCCAGGATGGTCTCGATCTCCAGACGTCGTGATCCGCCCGCCTCGGCCTCCAAAAGTGCTGGGATTACAGGCGTGAGCCACCGCACCCGGCCACTCCTGGTTTTTTAAAAAAATCAAGACATGCTAATACGGCTTACGATGATTGTGGCATGTTTTAGATGTTTACATTTAACAAATTAATGCTTTTAGCACACACACAAATTGCCAAGCAATATAATTATGCTATTCACAAGAAAATTATAGGATTTATTAGAATTATTAATTGCTGGTACACTTCGGGCAGTGGGCCGCAGGTGTGAAGCTTCCCAATGAATGTTGTCATCAGTTGTCATCAGTTGGGCCAGGTTCCCTGTCACTGAGCAGGTGACCTCCTTTGGAGACAATGCCCAAGGTCTAACCCTGGGGCACTCACTGCGCATTAGAAATACCTGGGAAGGGCCAGGCGCGGTGGTTTGGCTCATAATCCCAGCACTTTGGGGGGCCGAGACGGGCAGATCACCTGAGGTCAGGAGTTTGAGACCAGCCCTACTAACATGGTGAAACCCCATCTCTACTAAAAATACAAAAATTAGCCGGGCGTGGTGGCAGGCGCCTGTAATTCCAGCTACTCGGGAGGCTGAGGCACAAGAATCGCTTGAACCAAGGAGGTGGAGGTTGCAGTGGACTGAGATCAGGCCACTGCACTCCAGCCTGGCAATAGAGCAAGATTCTGTCGCAAAAAAAAAAAAGAAAAAAGAAATACCTGGGAAGTTTTTAAAAATGCTGAGGCCTGGGCTTCACCCACAAAGTTTCTGATTTGATAGGGCCACGGTGGTGCCTAGGCATCAATATTTTTTCAAAAACTTCCTGTGAATTCTGATGAGCAGTCAGGGTTAAGAATTAATGGAGTCCGGGCGCGGTGGCTCACGCCTGTAATCCCAGCACTTTGGGAGGCCCAGGCAGGCGGATCACAAGGTCAGGAGATCGAGAGCATCCTGGCTAACACGGTAAAACCTCATCTCTGCTAAAAACACAAAAAATTACCCAGGGGTGGTGGCATGTGCCTGTAGTCCCAGCTACTCGGGAGGCTGAGGCAGGAGAATCGCTTGAACCCGGGAGGCAAAGGTTGCAGTGAGCCAAGAGCGCGCAACTGCACTCCAGCCTGGGTGACAGAGTGAGACTCCGTCTAAAATAAAATAATTATTGGATTATGGGATGGGCAGGTCTAAGCCAATTTGGGCTAACGAGGTGAGATGTAAAGGGAGGCTTACTTGGGACTTTTGGGAAGGCATCTTCCTCATTCTGGAAAGCAAGCCCTGGGAAGTTCAGTCTCTCCTGCTGGACAGGAATAGGAAGCATTCTGTCCAGCTGCTCCTGGTGGCCATCTCGCAGCCATGAGGGAAGTTTGTGTGAAAAAGAAAGTCAGAGAAACAGTCAGAGCTTTGATCCCACCATACCGAGGCTTACTAACCCGCGGTTGTGTGAGCCAATAGAATCTCCTCTTGCTTAAGCCAGTTTGGGTCTTGTTTCTGTTGCTTGCTCCTGCACATGTCTAATCACGAAAGCACTTGTGAGGATTGAGTGAGACATTGTGTACGGAGTGCTCGGCACAGGGCCTGGCACTTGTGAGTGCTCCGTAAGTGTTAGCTGCCACTTGTCACCCCCACAGAGGGAGTGCACAGAGCAAAGGGAGTGCCCTGGCACAGGTAGTCCAAGGCATGCTGCGTTGCAGAACCTAGACCCAAGGCTTAGGTTCTTGATACATTTATTTTTTAGTGGGTACTTAATAAATTTCTGCCCAATGGGATGGATGCTTTGTGCTTTCATTTCCCTTTGCTCAGTGCACTGATCTCTGCCAGATGCAAAGAGGAAGTAATCTGATGATCTGATTATAATAATATGGTCCCTTGTACCAGCAAAGCTGAGGCTTAAACCACAGGGGCAGATTTGTGTGAGTAAGAGGCTTACCACCCAAAGGGTGAAACAACCAGGCAGGCAGGGGAGCAGTTAATTAAATGAAGGCTTACTAAGTGCCTACTACGTGCTGGACATTGCACTAAGGCAGCTGAGGAAGCTCCAGGGTCTTTGCCCCCAATAGAAAGCTTGAGGAGTCTTTGAGGAGGGGAGAAGCACCCTGTCTCTTACCCTGTGTCATCTTCTATATACCTCAGCTAATATAATGGAGGGCAACTCCCCCAGAGAAGGTCCGAGGCTTCACCCCTGAGCTGGAGCACCGGACAGACAGACTGACAGACGTAGCCGAGGTGTTACAGGAACACACAGAGCTCACTGCTGTCCACCAAACCTTCTCCTCTTCCAAGGCCTCCCCATGCCTCCATGATGTGGGGAACAGGGAAGGAAAGCTACTCTTCCACGTGCAGTGCTTTTTAAAAGAATGATGATTTTTGCACCAGGCAATACAGTCCCATGGTCCAAACATCAAAACAGGATAAAAAAGCAGGGGCTGGGCCAGGCGTGGTGTCTCATGCCTGTAATCCCAGCACTTTGGGAGGCCAAGGCGGGTGGGTCACGTGGTCAGAAGATCAAGACCATCCTGGCTAACATGGTGAAACCCCGTATCTACTAAAATACAAAAAAAAAAAAAAATTAGCAAGGCCTTGTGGCACATGCCTGTAGTCCCAGCTACTCTGGAGGCTGAGGCAGGGGAATTGCTTGAACCCAGGAGGCAGAGGTTGCAGTGAGCTGAGGCCGAGATTGCGCCAGTACGCTCCAGCCTGGTGACAGAGTGAGACTCCGTCTCAAAAAAAATAAATAAATAAAAATTTAAAAAAGCAGGGACTGAGAAGTCTTGTTTCCATCCCATCCTGTTCGCTTGTCTCCCGTCTCTAAGATGACCCCTTTTTCCGTTCCTTGGAAGTCCCTCTCTCAGAGCTGCTGCTGCTGCTGCGGTCTGCTCTGCACTGGTTGTTAAATATTTTGATTATCACCCTGCCTTCCCGCGTCTCTGAGACAAAGAACAAGGAGATGCAAAAATAGATTTTTTCCTTGCCTCCTGCCATGGGCTGGATGTTTATGTCTCCTCTGTCCCCCACATGCCTACGTTCCTACCCCCCAAATTCCTATGGTGTAATCTCCACCCTCAATGTGATGGTATTGGGAGGAGGGGACTCTGGGAGGTAAGTGGGTCATGAGCGTGTAGCCCTCATGAATGAGATCAGTGTCCTTATAAAAGGGACCCCAGAGAGCTCTCTGGTCCTCTTCCTGCCATGTGAGGACACAGTGGCAAGTTGGCAGTCTGCAACCCAGAAGGGGCCCTCACCAGACCCAACCATGCTGGCACCTGGTCTTGAACTTCCAGCTTCCAGAACTTTGAGAACTACATTTCTATAGTTTCCAAGCCACCCAGTTGATAGTATTCTGTTATAACATCTCAAACTGACTAAGATAATGCCCTTCTTTCTCACACAGAAGTAGTAACATTATAAACACTCTGTTCTGTATCTGGCCTTTTTAATTAAACTATCCCAGGGGTCTTTCCCTCTCTGTATAAGAAGCTTGTTTGTTCTTTTTTGTTATTGTTGTTGAATAGTATTCCTTCCATACTTTGTTTAATCAGACCGTGATAAAATGCACACTTATATTGTTTCCAATCTTTTTTTTTCTTTTTTTTTTCTGAGACAAGTTCTCACTCTGACACCCACGCAGTCTAGAGCAGTGGTACAACCATGGCTTGTTGCAACCTCGACCTCCCAGGCTCAAGCAATCCTCCCACCTCAGCCTCCCGAGTAGCTGGGACAACAGGCATGCGCCACCATGCCTGGCTAATTTCTTTTTGTTTTTCATAGAGATGGGGTCT
Organism: Homo sapiens; assembly: GCF_000001405.40. Taxonomy (NCBI): domain Eukaryota; kingdom Metazoa; phylum Chordata; class Mammalia; order Primates; family Hominidae; genus Homo; species Homo sapiens. The sequence goes on along the minus strand of NC_000011.10, from coordinate 61,643,456 downwards.
CACTATGTTTCCCAGGTTGGTCTCGAACTCCTGGGCTCAAGCAATCATTCTGCCTCAGCCTCCCAAAGTGCCTGCACCCGGCTCCAATCTTTTCTTTTCTTTTTTTTTTTTTTTGAGATGGAGTTTCACTCTTGTTGCTCAGGCTGCAGTGCAGTGGCATGATCTCGGCTCACTGCAACCTCCGCCTCCCAGGTTCAAGTGATTCTCCTGCCTCAGCCTCCCGAGTAGCTGGGATTACAGGGGCACACCACCAGGCCCAGCTAATTTTTGTATATTTAGTAGAGACGGGGTTTTGCCATGTTGGCCAGGCTGTTCTCGAACTCCTCACTTCAGGTGATCCACCCGTCTTGACCTCCCAAAGTGCTGGGATTACAGGTGTGAGCCACCGTGCCCAGCCTCCAATTTTTTGTTAGTAGAAGCCATGCTGCCGTGAATAACCTGGTACATCATCCTTGCTAGGCTCTACCTATAAGAATAAAATGTAGACTCAGGACTGCTGACTCAGAGGGCAAACACATTTACAACTTTGATAAATATTGCAGAATTGCCCTCCATAGGGAATATAACACACTGAATCCCCACCGGCAACATACGAAGGTTTATTTTTTTTAAGGGAATCAAATAAAATACTTTTCTTATTGAAAACAAAAACATAGTCTTCATGGAGGACTGGGAAATACAATCACAGAGCAGGAAGTAAAAATTACTCAGAATCAGAATGTGCGGAGACCTCCCAGATTTGCAATCTGGCGTATTTCCCTCAAGTCTTGATTCATACCCTGCATACTGTTCCAGAACCCGATTTATTCACTCCACCAATATTTTGTGAACAGTGTTGTCTCATGTCAGTAAATATTTTTTTATTATACCTTCAGAGACAGGACGGAACAGAGATATTAATTAAGCAAATGGACCCTGGTTCAAATCTCGGCTCTATTGCTGTCTGTCTGTGCAATGTTGGGCAAATTATATAAGTATTCCCGGCTTCGATTTCCTCTTTGTGAAATGAGGATCATAAAAGCACTTACCTGTAGAATTATTGTGAGAGTTGAGTGCATCAGAATACGTGAAATGTGCAAACAGGGCTTGGCACAGTAAACACTATAAATAATCCCAGCACTTTGGGAGGCCCAGGCGGGTGGATCACCTGCAGTCAGGAGTTTGAGATCAGCCTGGCCAACATGGTGAAACCCCATCTCTACTAAAAATACAAAAATTCGCCAGGTGTGGTGGTGGGCGCCTGTAATCTCATCTACTCTGGAGGCTGAGGCAGGAGAATTGCTTGAACCCGGGAGGCGGAGGTTGCAGTGAGCCAAGATCGCGCCATTGCACTCCAGCCTGGGCAACAAGAGCAAAACTCCATATATACACACACACACACACGCACACACACACACACACACACGATAAATGTTAGTCGATGCTGCATCATTTTTGACTGCCTGGTAGTCCCTTGGATGGACACGCCATAGTTTTTTGGATAAATTCCTTGTCGTTAGACATTTAGGTTATTTCTGTGTTTTCGGCACTACTTCGATGATGCAGCTTGGTGGATATAGCTTTATCCAGATCCCTGGTTTACCTTTGCTGAGGGAGGTGAGGGGACAAGTGTGGCCCATCCCTCATGGCTGCTCAGGGTCTACCTTGTTGTGCTCCTTTGGAACTCCCTGGAGTTGGTTTCCACATCCCTTCTCCTCTGGATTTTCCTTCCTGCAGGCTCGAGAGGCAGGGTCTGGGCTTTCTGATGCCTCTCTCAGCCCTACCACCTGTGTTAACTCGGTCGCTTCTCTTGTCTAAGAGAATGCCAGAGCCTTAAAGCCATCTATCTACCAATGAATAGATTTTAAACATGTGGTCCAGCCATACAATGGAATATTATTCAGCAGTTAACAGGAATGAAGTCCTGATGCATACTATGACATGGATGAAGTTTGACAATATTACGCCAAGGGGAAGAATACAAAAGAGCAAAAATGAAACACAAAAAGGCCAGATATTGTATGATTCCATTTATATGAAATGCCCGCAATAGGTGAATCCGTAGAGATAGAAAGTAGGTTAGGGTTGCCAAGGGCTAGGGGGAGGGGAAATGGGAAGCTCATCACTACAGGGTTGCTTTTTTATTTTTCTTTTTTCTTCTTCTTCTTTTTTTTTGTTTGAGACGGAATCTCAGTCTGTCACCCAGGCTGGAGTGCAGTGGTGCGATCTCGGCTCACTGCAACCTCCACCTCCCGGGTTCAAGAGATTCTCCTGCCTCAGCCTCCTGAGTAGCTGGGATTACAGGTGCGTGCCACCAGGCCTCGCTAATTGTTTTGTATTTTTAGTAGAGATGGGGTTTCTCCATGTTAGCCAGGATGGTCTCAATCTCCTGACCTCGTGATCCACCCGCCTCGGTCTCCCAAAGTGCTGGGATTACAGGCGTGAGCCACCGTGCCCGGCCACTACAGGGTTGCTTTATGGGGGGATGGAATGTTCTGGAATCTGATGGTAATGGTTGTACGACCTTGTGAATATGCTAATCCCCCACTGAATTTTTACTTCCAAGGGGTCAATTTTATCTAATAAATAGCAAAAGGCAACTGAGTAGACCTAGGGCTGGGGGGACATGAGGAGCCACCACTGGTTTGTCACCTAGCAGAATAAAGTTTAATCTCTGTACCATAGCCTGTGAGGCCCTTTGCAAACCTTGCTGCTCATTAGAATCACCTGGGAAGCTTAAAAAAATCCCAGTGTCCAGGATGCACCCAGACCAAGGAAACTTAATGAATCCAATGGGCATCCAGAGCTGGGAACTAGCCCCCACATGGTCTTAAAACAAAAACAATAAAACAAATAAAACTAAACTAAATATCTGACCTGAATGGGGAGGACCCCAAGGCCCAGAGAGGTGAGTGCATTTGCTTAGTAAGTCATGGGCTGCCCCATTGTTACTGGAAAGGGGTCCTGATCCAGACCTCAAGAGAGGCTTTTTCGGCCTCATGCAAGAAAGGACTCGGGGTGAGTCCATACAGTAAAGTAAAGGCAAGTTTATTAAGAAAGTAAACAAATAAAGAATGGTTACTCCATAGGCAGAGGGCTGCTGGTTGGCTAGTGTTTTGGTTATTTCTTGCTTATATGCTAAACAAGCAGTGAGTTATTCATGAGTTTTCCCAGAAAGGGGTGGGCAATTCCTGGAACTGAGGGTTCCTCCCACTTTTAGACCATATAGGGTAAATTCCTAATGTTGCCATGGCATTTGTAAATTGTGATGGCGCTGGTAGGAGTGTCTTTTAGTATGCTAATGCATTATAATTAGCATATAGTGAGCAGTGAGGCTGACCAGAGGTCACTTTCGTCGCCATCTTGGTTTTGGTGGGATTTGGCTGGCTTCTGTACTGCCTCTTGTTTTATCAGCAAGGTCTTTGTGACCTGTACCGTGTGCCGACCTAGCTCATCCTGTGACTAAGAATGCCTCACCTCCTGGGAATGAAGCCCAGTGGGTCTCAGCCTCATTTTACCCAGCCTCTATTCAAGATGGAGTTGCTCTGGTTCAAACATCTCTGACGCTGCTAGGCAGACTCATTGCTTTGTGCACCAAAGCTTGGGCTCTGGAGCCATGTGGGCCTGGGTTCAAATTCCGAATCTACCACTTTAGCCTAATCGCCTAAACCTCTCTGGGCATCAGCTTCCTCATACAGGCTAATAGTACCTGCTCCTCAGGGATCAGATGAGGTACTACATGCAAAGGGCTTCTCCTAGTGTCTGGCACATCATGATCCTTGTTTTAAGCATTTTATTAGCAATTTCTACTGCTTGGAGGGGAGCAAGGGAGCATGACTCTGACCCAATTTACCTGCCTCCACCACCTTTTTGAGAGAGGGCCTCACTCTGTCATGCAGGCTGGAGTTCAGTGACGGGATCCTAGCTCACTGTAGCCTCAGAACTCCTGGGCTCAGGCAATTCTCCCGCCTCAGCCTCCTATAGGTGGGTGCCACCACACCCAGCTAATTTTTTAATTTTAATTTTTTATAGAGATGGGGGTCTCACTATGTTGCCCAGGCTGGTCTTGAACTCCTGGGATCAATCCATCTTCCTACCTTGGCCTCCCAAAGTGCTGGGATTGCAGGTATAAGCCACTGCACTTGGCCTCAATTTACCTGTCCTTTTATACCTTTAATAATCATAAGAATTTTTGAGCTCTGGACTATTCCAGGTACTTTACAGGGTACCACGCCCATAAGGCCAATATGGGGAGCAAGGCATGGGAAAATGGGTGTCTTGCTCTAGGTCCCCTGATTGAACCCTGAGTTCTCTTCTATATGGATGTATACAGGGGTGGGAGGTAGATATAGGGCGGCCCAGCCTCTGTAACTCTCCCGGTGGTAGATTCTCTGGGATGGGAATCACTTCCTTTCTTTGTCCATAACACCAAGCATAAATCGTGGCACCTTTAAAGGAGCTCAAGCAGCCGGGTGCGGTGGCTCACGCCTGTAATCCCAGCACTTTGGGAGGCCGAGGCGAGTGGATCACTTGAGGCCAGGAGTTTGAGACCAGCCTGGCCAACATGGCAAAAACCCGTCTCTACTAAAAATACAAAAGTTAGCCGGGCGTGGCGGCGCACATCTGTAATCCCAGCTACTCAGGAGGCTGAGGCAGGAGAATCGCTTGAACTCTGGAGGCGGAGGTTGCGGTGAGCTGAGATTGTGCCACTGCACTCCAGCCTGGGTGAGAGTGAGATCCTGTCTCAAGAAATAAAAATAAAATAAAAAGGAGCTCAAGCAATGTTTGCAGAGCTCTCCCAGGGCTACATGCAGAGCAGCCCCGATGCTGGCGAGAGGTCACACGCTGAGAGCTGCAGTCCTCCGTGTGGCCACGAGGGGTCTCCACGCTCCACCGAATGGCTGGAGGGTCTCTCCTAAGGCTACGCGCCAGGCCATGGCTAACTCGGAGCCCCTGGACACTGGGCACGAGGGTGACAGGGTGGGACGCCAGGCCCTGGCCTCCCAGGGTGCTATCCGTCCTCCCTCCTGTCCTCCCCTGGGGTCAGGTTAGAGATCACCATGTGGTCCTGCCTCAGGCTGTCATGGCCTGTCAGGGGCTGGGGGCCTGCTTCATGTGGGCTGGATGCCTACTGTGTGCTCCTTCTGCCTGCTCTGAGGCTGTCGTAGCCTGTCAGGGGCTGGGGGCTTCACGCTGGCTGAACACCTACTGTGTGCTCCTTCTGCCTGCTCTGAGGCTGTCGTGGACTGTCAGGGGCTGGGAGCTTCACGCTGGTTGAACACCTACTGTGTGCTCTTTCTGCCTACTCCTTTTCTTTTTCTTTTTCTTTTTTCTTTTTTTTTTTTTTTTTTGAGACGGAGTCTGGCTCAGTCACCCAGGCTGGAGTGCAGTGGCGCGATCTCGGCTCACTACAAGCTCTGCCTCCTGGGTTCATGCCATTCTCCTGCCTGAGCCTCCCGAGCAGCTGGGACTACAGATGCCCGCCACCACGCCCGGCTAATTTTTTGTATTTTTAGTACAGATGGGGTTTCACAGTGCTAGCCAGGATGGTCTCGATCTCCTGACCTCGTGGTCCGCCCGCCTCAGCCTCCCAAAGTGCTGGGATTACAGGCGTGAGCCACCGTGCCCGGCGCCTGCTGGTTTTCTTTAAACCCCACTGTCACAACCGTGGGAGCAAGTGTTGTTTTATTTTTTTTTTCTTTTCTTTCTTTCTCTTTCTTTCTTTCTTTGTTTCTTTCTTTCTTCTTTTTTTCTTTTCTTTTTTTTTTTTTAAAGAAGTAAGCCTTTATTTCCTTGTTTTGCAAATAAAGCTGGCTAAGTTGGTTGCTTTTTGGTGATTAGTCAAAGAGACCCAATCCCATATCCTCGTCTGACTCCTCCCTCCGACTCTTCCTTGGCTTCATCCTTAGCTGGGGCTGCAGCAGCAGCAGCAGGAGCAGCTGTGGTGGCAGCAGCCACAGGGGCTGCAGCCACAAAGGCAGATGGATCAGCCAAGAAGGCCTTGACCTTTTCAGCAAGCAGGAAGTTGTCATCAGTCTCCACAGACAAGGCCAGGACTCGTTTGTACCCGTCGATGATAGAATGGGGCACTGATGCAACAGTTGGGTAGTGGATCTGCGGACAGACACCGGCAACATTGCGGACACCCTCCAGGAAGCGAGAATACAGAGTTTCCTCTGTGATGTCAAGCACTTCAGGGTTGTAGATGCTGCCGTTGTCGAACACCTGCTGGATGACCAGCCCAGAGGAGAAGGGGGAGATGTTGAGCATGGTCAGCAGCGTGGCTTCACTGGCTCCCACTTTGTCTCCCGTCTTGATCAGCTGCGCATCACTCAGGATTTCAATGGCGCCCCTGGAGATTTTAGTGATGATACCTAAAGCCTGGAAAAAGGAGGTCTTCTCGGGGTCCAGACCAGTATTCTGGGCTGGCACAGTGACTTCACATGGGGTAATGGCACCAGCACGGGTGGCAGCTGGCACCTTATTGGCCAGCAGCAGGTCCCTGATCTCAGTGAGGTCCTCCTTGGTGAACACAAAGCCCACATTCTCCCAGATGCGAGGCAGCAGTTTCTCCAGAGCTGGGCTGTTTTCCAGGTGCCCTCGGATGGCCTTGCGCGTCATGGCGTTCTTGCCCATCAGCACCACGGCCTTGCCGCAGAGGGACATGCGGATCTGCTGCATCTGCTTGGAGTTCACATTGTCTGCTCCCACGATGAAACATTTCAGATAATCATCCAATAGCTGGATGATCTTAAGGAAGTAGTTGGGTTTCCAGGTCACCCTGTCTTCCCTGGGCATCACGGTGGTGCGTCAGGGATTGCCACACAGGTTTAAAGACGATGTCACTTCCATGAGGATGCCTGGCAAAAGGCAGGCATTGTTTTCTACGCTGCCTGAAGAGTGAAGAGAGGTGAGGTTGGTGGGGTTGGGACTCCAACTCAATTCTGCCTCGTTTCAAAGCCTGTGTTCCTTTGGCTTCTCTCTACCCCTCTTAGCACCCCCAGGGCATCTCAGGCCTGGCGTCTGGACAAGCCGACTGGGCCTGAACCTCACACACCCAGTTGCTCACACAATCACACCCACACACACTGACACACACATGGGCCCCACACTCCATCCACACCTGGAACCTCAGAGCTCAGTAGGGATTTGATACTCAGTCCTTCAAACCAGCTTCTCATCGAGGGGGTGGGCGGAGAGGAGTTATAAGAGCAATTGCTGTAATCCAATCGTCTCTGCTTTTCTTGTTTTCTTCTCTCTGAATACACTTTGCATTAAGGGCTTGTCTTCTTGGTTCCCATGAGAACGCTGTGCTTTTTCTTAAATGAAGGTTCGTTGATCGTTTTTTCCTGTTATTACAAAAGCAATTTGTGCCACTGCAAAAAAGCACAGAGAAGCCAAGAGAACAAAAACTCCTCCCTCCCCTCCTCCAGGGACAGCCCAGGCTGACAGGTGTGGCACTGTCCTCCCCACACCCCTCCTCCCCAGCACACCCTCCTCCTGCCATGGAGCCCCGGCGTCCTCATCAGGCCTAAGCTGCTTCTTCCAGATGGGGCTCCCAGGCTGGGAGTCAGAGGCTGGATCTTTGTTCTGCCTCATCACTGGGTCCCACATGTCCTTGGCAGGTCCTCACCATTTTGGGGTGGGAAGGGGATGATCTCAAAGGGTCTTCTGCCCTCACACTCAAGGATCCTGTTCTCTTATTCCAGACATGAATCTGGGGCTGGGCCAAGCAGCAGCTATTAGGAGTTCCTAGGTAACAAGGGGTTCTCCTAGAATAATCTGGAGACCAGGGGAGGTATGGAACCCAAAGCCTCACTCATCGCCAGCATTGAACAGAGAGGCAACCCTCCCAAGGACAGAGAGCTGAGCCCATTATAAAGATTCTGGTGTCCTGTGTCACAGTCCCAGCCAGCTTCATGGTTGTGCAGCCTTTGCAGCTGCAGAGGGCCCTACACTCCAAAGGGCTAGAGCTTGATTTAATGCTCTGCTGTCAACACCTTGAAATTCTTCATGATGTGTGAGCAAGGGCCCCACATGTTCATTTTGCACTGGGCTCTGCAAAGTATGTAGCTGTCCCTGTTCCTAATAATAATAATACCTGTTACTGACATACAGCTTGCTGTATAGCCAGCACTGCATATTTTTCCTATATACTGTATAATTCACCTGTCCCTCACAGAAGCCCGGTGTAAATTGCCTCTCTTAGATTTGGCCAGCCCAGGTGATAATGTGAACTGGGTGCTAGGCACTTTAGATATGTGACTCTCTGGAGGCTTTCAGCAGTACCAGAAGCCATTGTAAGCCAGGCACCATGGCTCATGCCTGTGATCACAGCACTTTGGGAGGCTGAGGCAGGTGGATCACCTGAGGTCAGGAATTCAAGACCAGCCCTGGCCAACATGGGGAAACCCTGTCTCTATTAAAAATACAAAAATTAGCTGGGCGTGGTGGCGGGTACCTGTAATCCCAGCTACTCGGGAGGCTGAGGCAGGAGAATCACTTGAACCCAGGAGGCGGAGGTTGCAGTGAGCCGAGATTGTACCACTGCACTATAGCCTGGGCAACAGAGCAAGACTCTGCCTCAAAAAAAAAATTATAGATGGGGCACATTATAGATGAGGCATGAAGTCTGGGGAGGTTAACTCCCCTGCAGTTGCAGAGCTAGTGAGGAGCCCACAGACCCTCCCCTCCCTGCCCAGCTGGCCAAGGGCCACCCCAGGGGCTCTGCAGCCCTCATCCTGCCCTAGCCACCATCCCAGCTGTGGTGGGCACCTGGCAGTGCCTAGGGGGGTGAGAAGCTCCACCCACACTGTCAGTTCCCATTTCCACCACCTCCTGATCTGCCAGCAGTTGCTGCACTTCACCACTTCCTGTGCCCAGGTGTGCAATTGGCTTCCTACATGGGGCACGGAGCCGTGGGGCCAAGAGGTGTCAGTCTCCATTTCTCCCCACTGTGCTGAGCTCCCAAGCATTCTTTTTTTTTTTTTTTTTTTTTTTTTTTTTTTTTGAGGTGGATTCTCGCTCTGTCACCCAGGCCGGAGTGTAGTGGCACAATCTTCGGCTCACTGCCACCTCTGCCTCCTGAGTTCAAGTGATTCTCCTGCCTCAGCCTCCCGAGTAGCTGGGACTACAGGCACATGCCACCATGCCTGGCTAATTTTTGTATTTTTAGTAGAGATGGGGTTTCACTATATTGGCCAGGCAGGTCTCGAACTCCTAACCTCATGATCTGCCTGCCTCAGCCTCCCAAAGTGTTGGGATTACAGGCGTGAGCCACTGTGCCTGGCCTGCTCCTGAGCATTCTATGCTACAGGTGTGGCTCCAGGAACTCTGGTTCATCAAAGCTGGTTTCATTTATTTATTTATTGAGACAGGGTCTCATTCTGTCGCGCAGTGCAGTAGCACCATCACGGCTTACTGCAGCCTCAACCACCCAGACTCAGGCCGTCCTCCCACCTCAGCCTCCCAAGTAGCTGGGACCACAGGTACGCATCACTACGCCTGGCTAATTTTTGTATTTTTTGTAGAGACGAGGTCTTGCTACGTTGCCCATACTGATCTTGAACTCCTAGACTCAAAGGATCATCCTGCCTCAGCCTCCCACAGGGTGGGGGTACTCAGCCCCCAATGCTGGTTATTGCTGAGGTAGCCCAGACAGAGATGGTTGATGCCAGAGTGAGCCCAGGCAGCTGGAATTGGAGTGGACAGAATAGCACTAGGAGACCCTCACACACCCAGGCTGACTTGCTCAGCATCTCTGTCTCAGCTCCCAAATCTGTAACATGGGGTAAAGCAGCGTTCCCCAAACTTTTTGGCATCAGGGACCTGTATAAGGAGTGCATAAGGCCAGGAGCGATGGCTCACGCCTGTAATCTCAGCACTTTGGGAGGCTGAGGTGGGTGGATCACCTGAGGTCAGGAGTTTGAGACCAGCCTGACCAACATAGAGAAACACCATCTCTACTAAAAAAAACACAAAATTAGCCAGACGTGGTGGTGAGTGCCTGTAATCCCAGCTTCTCGGGAGGCTGAGGCAGGAGAATTACTTGAACCCAAGAAACGGAGGTTGTGGTGAGCCAAGAACGCACCATTGCACTCCAGCCTGGGCAACAGGAGCGAAACTCCATCTCAAAAAAAAAAAAAAAAAAAAAGTGCATAATCTAGATCCCTTACATGCGCAGTTCACAGTAGGGTTCGTGCCCCTATGAGAATCTAATGCTGCTGCTGATCTAACAGGAGGCGGCACTCAAGCAGTAATGAGAGTGATGGGGAGAGGCTGTAAATACAGATGAAGCTTCTCTCGCTTGCCCTCCGCTCACCCCATGCCGTGTGGCTCAGTTCCTTACAGGCCACAGACCAGTACCAGTCTGCAACCTGGGAGCTGGGGACCCCTGGGATAAAGAAACCAGTCCAGCAGTTAAGAATTTGAGGTTTGGGAATACAACACCCTGAGTTCAAGTCCCAGGCCCAGCACTTAACAGCCATATGACCTTGCGCAGGTTGCAAAACTGAACTTCAGTGTTCTCCATAAAAACACAGCAAAAATGGAGGCATTCTAGTTAAGAACTCAGGCCCGGCAGACCGACAAGAGTTCAAATCCCACCTTGAGCACTTATTAATTATGGTAGCTTGTACAAGTTATTTCACTTTTCTGAGCCTTGGTTTCCTTGTCTGCCAAATGCAGATAATCCCTGCAGCATCCTCATGGGGTTTTGTGAGGACCAAATGGCCTGGTGCCTGTGGAGTCCTTTTCTCAGTCCCTGGCACTTAGTAAGTGCCCAATAAGCCGTTACAACAAGTGCAAACGGATGGGATTGCTGGGACGTCATGAGAGCAAGTGCCCTGCCAGAAGGGTCTGTGTCAGGACAAGCCATGGAATAAGAAAGCCAAGCACAATAGCCAGGTGGCCCTGGGAATTGGTGGCTGAGGCCTGGGAGGGCTGCTTATTGAGTGAGGTCCAGGGACTAAGCCACCAAGAGGCCATTGACAGGTCCATGGGGACAGCTTCATTTAATGGGAACTGTGGCAGTGGGATGAGAGAGACAAAACCAGGCTCACATCAGCCTGGGCTGCCTCCCAGCCTCTCAGCTACCTCTCCTGCCGGGCTCTGGGGTCAGGCTTCCCTCCCCCAACTCCCGCCAGATGCCACTCTGTAAACCCTGAAGCTGTGCTCCCACGCTGCACTGCACCGCGCACATGAATTCCCCGAGGAATTTCTTAATGCGCTGATTCAGATTCAACCGTGGGGGTGGCCCGAGACCCTGCATTTCTAATCAGCTCCAAGGAATGCGAGACCACGCTTTGAGTAGCAGCATCTAAAACATGATATAAATGTAGGTCATGAAAATTAATAATAATGTGGGGTGTGGAGTTACTACCGGATCTGACTAGCAGACTTTGAGAGAGAGCCTGTCTAGGAGAAAATTCTCCCCAGAGGTCAAAAGGAACCCCCACCCCACGTTCTGGGGGTGCTAGGATCTGATTTTGCTCCTAATAGCAAAGAGACAGGCAGAGGGTACCTTTCAGCTTGAGCCACACGGATGGCGGTTCCCAAACTGCAGACCACACACCAGCTGCATCAGAAGTACTTGAGGATTCGTTTTTTGGGTTTTTTTTTTTTTTGGTTTGTTTGTTTGTTTTTTGAGATGGAGTCTCAGTCTGTCACCCAGGCTGGAGTGCAGTGGCACAATCTTGGCTCACTGGAACCTCTGCGCCCTGCTAATTTTTGTATTTTTAGTAGAGACGGGGTTTAACCATGTTGGCCAGGCTGGTCTTGAACTCCTAACCTCAAGTGATCCGCCTGCCTCGGCCTCCCAAAGTGCTGGGATTACAGGCAGGAGCCACTGTGATGACTGAATTTTTTAAAATTACCGATTCTGAGTCACAAAAAGACAGATCCTGTAGACTCCCTTATATGAAGTATCTAAAGCAGTCAAATCCATAGAAACAGAAGTAGAATGCTGGTTGCCAGGGGCTGGCTGGGAGGGAGAATGGAAAATTGTTGTTTAATGGGTATAGAGTTTCAGATTTCCAAGATGAAAAAGTTCTGGATGTCTGCTTTACAATGGCGTGAATATACTTAACAATACTGAACTATCCACTTAAAGATGGCTAAGATGATAAATTTTATGTTATATGTTTTTTCTTTACCATAATGATAGACAGAGTCTTGCTCTGTCACCCAGGCTGGAGTCCAGTGACCCAGTGGCTCTCAACTCACTGCAGCCTCCGTCTCCCAGGTTCAAGCCTCAGCCTCCCGAGTAGCTGGGATTACAGGCGCGTGCCACCACACCCGGCTAATTTTTGTATTTTTAGTAGAGACAGGGTTTCACCATTTTAGCCAGGCTGGTCTTGAACTCCGGGCCTCAGGTGATCCACCCGCCTCAGTCTCCCAAAGTGCTGGATTACAGGCATGAGCCACCATGCCCGGCCTCGTAATGATAATCAAAAAAAAAAAAAAAGATCCTGGGCCAGGCACGGTGGCTCACACCTGTGATCCCAGCACTTTGGGAGTCTGAGGCAAGTGAATCACCAGGTCAGGAGTTCAAGAAAAACCTGGCCAACACGGCAAAATCCCATCTCTACAAAAAATACAAAAAGTTAGCTGGGCGTAGTGGCAGATAACTGTAATCCCAGCTACTCGGGAGGCTGAGGCAGGAGAATCACTTGAACCCAGGAGGTGGAGGTTGCAGTGAGCCGAGATCACGTCACTGCACTCCAGGCTGGGGGACAGAGTGAGACTCCATCTAAACAAAACAAAACAAAACAAAACAAAACAAAAAAACAGATTCTGGCTCTAGCCCCTGAGATCCCGTTTAAGGGCATCTTGAGTAGACCCCAGAAACCTATTTTTTTAAAATCTGCCCGGGGAATTTGGGTGCACAGCCAGGCTTGGGGACCACTGGCCAGGGGGAAGCTTTCCTCCAAATATCTCTGGAATCCTTCCACCTCTCCCACCTCCACCTCCGTCTCCACGGCTGAGACTCCATTCTGGACAATGACAGAAGCCTCCTGTACCCTCTCCCTGCCTCCGTCCTCTCCCTGCCTCTGTCCTCTCCCTGCCTTCGTCTGCCACGCGGCTGCCCCGGTGATCTTTCAAAGCACAAATTTAATCCTGTTGCATAGCTCCTTTGAAACTGTTCCATGGCCTCCCGTTGCCCTCGGTACAAAATAGAAAAAAGCACAACCTTCTCAGCAGAGTGGAGTCAGGGATTCAGCTGTGTGCACAGAGTATTACAGCAGGAAGCCTTTGGAGCCGCAGAGGTCTGTGCAAGGGCCCCGGGAGCACTGGGGAACACAGATGAATTCTGCCAGGAGGAGAGAGGTGGTGGGAAGCCTTCTCAGAGAAAGAGGCGTTGAGCTGGGCCTTGCAAGTGAGCTGGTGTTTGTCAGGAGAGTGGGGTGAAGGCAAAAGGCGGTGGCAGCAGGGGGATTCCAGGCAAGGGGGATAGCATCTGCAAAGCCAAGGAGGTGTTGGGGGCTATGTCCCCCTCAGTGCGGGCAGGGGCTAGGTGAGCTGGGAGAAGAGGGAAAGGTGAGGGTGGGAAGAGGCGGTGAGGAAAGAGCAGAGAGACTGTGAAAGTCCAGTTCAGCTGGGAAGCAGGGAGGGGGTGAGCGTCTCCATCGCCTCCCAGAGCCATCTCGCCCAGGGGCAGGTTACCAGCTTCAGGCCCTTGTCCTCACTCCCCACCCCCTGCCCCACCCCCCACTGCTTGGTGGGGGCCTTGGGCAAGGCCATCCGGTCGGGAAGGGGGACATGTTCCTTCTCTGCTCCCCCAGGGGCCCTATGGCTCCCACTAATTGTTCACAGTTCATACCCTTGGCTCTCCGCCCCCCTCCCCCAGGGCCTGCCTGGGCGCTTCTCCTTTGCCCTCACCCTTGTGTGTGTGTGTGTGTGTTGTTGTGTGAGTCCTGAAGGTCATGTGGTCACCCAGTCTCTGTCTTTGTCTGTCTAAAAGCTAGTATGGCACAGTGTGCATGTGTTTATGAACACGTCCCTCCCACCCGAGGGTTCCTAGCCTCAGAGTCAAGTCCCCCTGGGCCTTTCAAGGCTGTAAGAGGTGATTCTAGGGGCTACAGCAATAGAGACCCAGCCAGAGGGAGCAGGAGGGCTCCAGCCCACAATTCCAGGAGCCCCACGGCCAGCCACCTCCGGAGGAACACACGGCCTACGTGAAAATAGCCCGCGGCACAGCCACAGCACCTGGCGTGGCTGAATTCCTCTCCTGCCCCGCTCAATGCCCAGCACCAGCCCGACACTGCCGTAGAGGAACTCGGGAGCTGCTTGCATTTCAGAAAGGGCCCCTTCACCACAGTTAGAGAGCAAATAAATGGGTCCTCTGGGGCTGGGGCTGGGGCTGGGATTCCCTCTGTAGCCCCCTTCCCCACTGTGGAGGCCCCTTTCCTCCACACACCCTCACCCCTGCAATTCCTTACCTGGAGCAGAAACAAGGTTCTACCCAGGCCATGGGGCCTGGCCATGCAGGTCAGCCCTGGGTCCTGGTGGAGGACCCAAAGTCTCCCTGCTGAGGACCAACGTCCGGTGGCCCTAGCTGGGGTGACATCACACAAGGGGCTCGCACAAGGCTTCTGTCTTCCAGGAAGGAGATGGGAAGAGAGATCTCCCTGCAAAGGCTGGAAAAGAAATCACGTCCCAGAATTGTTGGCAGAAGGTTAATTGGATGCATTTGTAAGCTTGTTCCTGGGACAGGCATGTTAATAGCACTAAAACATCTGAAAACTTCCAGAGCTACACGGAGGAGTTAATAGGCCTGGAGAGTCCAAGGTTACATTGAGGCACCTCCCAGCAGTGGAAAGAGCAGTGGACCAGGAGCCTGAGAGCCTGAACCCCTGGCTCCTCACCACATCTCACTGTGGTCCCCAGGCAAGCCCTGGCCTCTCTAGACCTGGAAAACATTAGTGTGGAAGGCGGGTCGCCTGGGTCGTCCGAAGGAAGCCTCACTGTGGTCTTGTGTGGTGATGTTATCATTATTTCCGTTTTGTGGAAGAGGAAACTGAGATTCCTCAAATGAGGTGCAATTTGCCACTGCTGGTGCTGGGGTCAGTACTGGAGCCTGACTGCATGCCAAGGGCTAAAATCACAGGGCTGGACCAAGGGCCAGCCAGAATAGACGTTCCCTTGGTGTCCACTGGGAGGCGCCCTAGACTGCTTCTCCTAGTTGGCACCAGCACCTGAATCCCTCAGCCAGAGTGGTTTCCCCTGAGTGATCTCTGGACAAGGTGGGACTGGGGGCTGCCAGCTCCTGGGGCAAGGTCAGGAAGCTTCCTGGTCCTCCCTCCCCATCCTAGCCACCTCCATGAAGGAGCCTCCTGCTCTCACCTTCCAAGGGCAAGGGAGGGAAGAGTGAGGTTTCAAACCTTCCCTCCTCAGGCCCCTGGGGAGCCCATGTATCAGATTGGAGTCAGCTATAAATGTCAGAGGCTCAGAGAGGGTTAGTCACTTGCCCCAGGTCACATAGTCACGTCCGTCTGATTCTGAAAACCTAAACTTGGTCCTGATTCAGGCGAGGCTCACGGCAGATGTGGTGGGATTCCGTCGGTCACATGGCCCACAGCAGGCAAGAAGGTGCTGGTCAGCTGGGCCTGCAAGTCCCACTGGTGGCAAAAGGGCTGAGTCTCGTAGAGGGGGTTCCTACAGTCACTTGAGGGTCCAGGGCTGCGTGCAGGTAGTCAGGGCCAGGCATGGGAGCTCGTGAAAGGGCAGGAGGAGGCATTCAGCCAGTGGATGTCCTTGGCATCAGGGTCCGTGTCTGTATCTGAAAGTGGGCATGTAAGTGGGGGATGGGGTGGAGGCAGAGGGCTGCGGCTCAGGCCCAAGACCCCAGGTCATGCTCGCTCAGAATTCAAGTTTGTCAGCTTGTTAGAAGAATGAGGATGGTGACAGCCGGGGATCTGGGGAGGAAGGAGGCCTTTGGAGATGGGAGTTGGGGAGGCTGTGATTGGGGGATGTTGAGCAATGGCTTGAGGAAGTCGAAGGATCAACCTTCCCGAGTATTCCGAGTTGGTCTGGAGCTGACGGGGAGTGGCTGGGCTGGGTGAGGGGAGGTGACAGTGACATTGAGTTTGGGGACACAGTGCTCATCTCTCCCTGCTGGGCTTTCTGGAAGGTGGAGGACAACAGGAGGGAAGCCGAGCATCCCAGGACAGAGCTTTGCAAAGTTACAGCTGGTTCCTGCCCTCTATACTCAACTCTAGCAACTGTGACTCTCTCCTAGAGCAAGCCTGACCCTACTGAGACCCCTACCAACATAGAGACCACCTAACCCAACCCGTTACTCAGGTCACCTCACCACAGCAGAGGCAGGAGCAGGCCCAGGGCTGGAGAGAAGCCCATCCCCAGGCCCCAGGGCTCACAGCAAAGCCAAGGAGACAAGCAGCCACCAGGTGCACCGGATTAAGGCTGTCCAGGTAGGGGGCTCCATTTCCCCGTAGACAGAGGTAGCCAAGGGGACTATAGGGCTAGAGGAGGCATCCTGGAAAATCCCAGCCCTTCCCCAGCAGGTCACAGAACCGGCTCTCCCAGCTGAGGCCCTTCCCTCCCAGCAACATGTCCAGGGGCACCTGACTTGAACTATAAATAGAGGATGACGGAAGGCTCCGGAAGCCCAAGGGAGGGCAGGAGAAAGGAATTCTGATTCTCCCCCAGCGAGGCCCTGCAAGGCTGCACTGACAGAGCAATCTCTTCGAGGTTGGATAGGAGTGCCCCTGGCATTGGAGGTCCAGGAGGGCCATTCAGGCAGAAGGAACAGTCTGGGGAAGCAAGGAATGGAGCAGGCAGGTGGCTCTGAGAGGCTGGACACAGGCTGCAAGGGACTGCGGCAGTTCCTGAGACCCAGTGGCCAAGGGCCCTGAATGTCAGGCTAAGGGCTTTGTTCTGGAGACCTGAGTCTTGGTCTCAGGGCCGTTCTGGTTTTGTGGTGAGGAGTTAAGAGTAACACACAATGGGGGGAGGGGGGAGGGATAGCATCGGGAGATATACCTAATGCTAGATGACGAGTTAGTGGGTGCAGCGCACCAGCATGGCACATGTATACATATGTAACTAACCTGCACAATGTGCACATGTACCCTAAAACTTAAAGTATAATAAAAAAAAAAAAGAGTAACACACAAGGCCGGGTGCAATGGCTCACGCCTTATAATCCCAGCACTTGGGGAGGTTGAGGCAGGTGGTCACTTGAGGTCAGGGGTTCGAGACCAGCCTGGCTAACATGGTGAAACCCTGTCTTTACTAAAAATACAAAAATTAGCTGGGCGTGGTGGTGCACACCTCTAATCCCAGCTACTCGGGAGGCTGAGGCAAAAGAATCGCTTGAACCTGGGAGGCGGAGGTTGCAGTGAGCTGAGATTGTGCCACTGAACTCCAGCCTGGGCAACAGAGCAAGATCCCATCTCAAAAAAAAAAAGAGTAACACACAAGAACATGTAACATACAAGAACAAGGTCACCTGGAGCAGAGTACCAGAAAGTACATGGCCATCTTTCCCCGTGGAATGGAGGAATACCATGGTGTGCCAGAGACTATAACTATTCCCCAACATCTGTTCTGTCTTCTTTGCCACGGAACCCCTGATTTTTGCTGGGCAAACAACCCCCTGAAATACAAGCTACATTTCCCAGCCTCCCTTACAGCCAGGTATGGCCATGTGTATAAGTTGTAAGAAGAAGTGCCACTCAGAGGCAGCAGGTTGCACCCTGTTACCTCTTCTCCCTTTCTGCTGGAAAGGAATATGCATGTGATTGCTCGAGCAGGAGCAGCTATCTTGGATCATGAGGTAGAAGCCCCATGTTAAGGATGACCAAGCCACAAGAAGGAAGTGATCTGGGTTTCTGATGTTTGTGGAGCTGCCACACCAGCCCTGGACCAGAACCTCCAAATATTGTTTACTCGAGAGAAAAATAAACTTCTATATTATAGTTTACCACACAGTTTCTTAAGTTTTCCTTCAGATGAACATAACCTAAGCACATACAGGAAAGGAATTAGCCTCGAAAGAAGAACCTCAGAATTTTATACGTCTTTTTTTTTTTTTTTTTTTTTTTGAGATGGAGTCTTGCTCTGTCGCCCAGGCTGGAGTACAGTGGCACGATCTCAGCTCTCTCCAACCTCTGCCTCCTGGGTTCAACTGATTCTCCTGCCTCAGCCTCCTGAGCAGCTGGGACTACAGGCACCCACCACCACGCCCGGCTAATTTTTTGTATTTTTAGTAGAGACAGGGTTTCACCATGTTAGCCAGGCTGGTGTCAATTTCCTGACCTCGTGATCCGCCCACCTCGGCCTCCCAAAGTGCTCGGATTACAGGCGTGAGCCACTGCGCCTGGCCTTACCTTTTAAGTATTAAGAGGTATGCTCTGATTACATTCCACATATCGTCTCTCATGAACTTGCTGCAGAACCTTCCTTCCAGGTGTAGGGGTGGAAAAGGCATGATACCTCTTCTCATCCATCATAAGGGTCACGGCTGACACTCCTATACCAAAAGACAGAGAGAAGTTAACAAGAGAAGAGCATAACAAATGTATTTAATCAAAGTTTTACATGACATGGGGGCCTTTGGAAATGAAGACCCAGGCCAGGCGTGGTGGCTCATGCCTATAACCCCAACACTTTACGAGGCCGAGGTGGGTGGATCACTTGAGGTCAGGAGTTCAAGATCAGCCTGGCCAACATGGTGAAACTCTGTCTCTACTAAAAATACAAAAAATTACCTGGGCATGGTGGTGCACACCTGTAGTTCCAGCTACTCGAGAGGCTTGAGACATTAGAATTGCTTGAACTCAGGAGGTGGAGGTTGCAGTGAGCTGAGATCATGCCACTGCACTTCATTCAGCCTGGGCAACAGAGCAAGACTGTGTCTCAAAACAAACAAACCAAAAAAAAGAAAAAGGAAAAGAAATGAATACCCAGACTGTACAGTACCTTTTTATGCAAAGGTTCGATGAAGAATGGACAGTCATATAGGAATGTGATTGGACCAGCTGGGCACAGTGGCTCACACCTGTAATCCCAGCACTTTGGGAGGCCAAGGTGGGTGGATTACTTGAGATCAGGAGTTCGAGACCAGCCTGGCCAACATGGTCAAACCCCATCTCTACTAAAAATATAAAAATTATCTGTACTTGGTGGTGGGCACCTGTAATCCTAGCTATTTGAGAGGCTGAGGCACAAAAATCACTTGAACCCAGGAGTTGGAGGTTGTAGTGAGCCGAGATCTCACCACTGCACTCCAGCCTGGGCAACAGAGTGAAACTCCATCTAAAGAAAAAAGTGATTGGAGGCCGGGCGCGGTGGCTCACACTTGTAATCCCAGCACTTTGGGAGGCCGAGGCAGACGGATCACGAGGTCAGGGGATCGAGACCACGGTGCAACCCCACCTCTACTAAAAATACAAAAAATTAGCTAGGTGCGGTGGTGAGCACCTGTAGTCCCAGCTACTCGGAGAGGCTGAGGCAGGAGAATGGCGTGAACCCGGGAGGCGGAGCTTGCAGTGAGCCGAGATTGCGCCACTGCACTCCAGCCTGGGTGACAGAGC
Organism: Homo sapiens; assembly: GCF_000001405.40. NCBI lineage: Eukaryota > Metazoa > Chordata > Mammalia > Primates > Hominidae > Homo > Homo sapiens. The sequence goes on along the minus strand of NC_000011.10, from coordinate 61,623,921 downwards.
GAGACTCCGTCTCAAAAAAAAAAAAAAAGTGATTGGAACAAAAGAGTATGACCTAAAGGTAATAGGCCAAGGGAAGGAACCCAGCGAGGCCTGTGTGTGTACATTCTTCTTGGCCTGTCTGCCATATTCCTTATTTCTGGGTATGGAGCAGGACCCCGCTGGAGCGAGGGTCTTACGGCCTACTATCAGACCAAGTGGAGTCAGAGAATTTCCTTATGGCCAGCTGCTACACAGAAAAGCAGGGGAAGGTAAGAGTAATAGTTCTATTTTCTTTTCTTCTTCTTTTTTTTTTTTTCTTGAAACAGAATCTCTGTCACCCAGTCTGGAGTGAAATGGCACAATATCAGCTCACTGCAAACTTCACCTCCTGGGTTCAAGCGATTCTCCTACCTCAGCCTCCCAAGTAGCTGGGACTGCAGGCGTGCGCCACCATGCCTGGCTAATTTTTGTATTTTTAGTAGAGACGGAGCTTCACCATGTTAGCCAGGCTGGTCTCAAACTCCTGACCTCACGTCAGGCTGGATCTCAGCTCACTGCAACCTCTGCCTCCTGGGTTCAAGAGATTCTCCTGCTTCAGCCTCCTGAGTAGCTGGGACTACAGGCACACGCCACCACATCTGGCTAAGTTTTGTATTTTTAGTAGACACAGATTTCACTGTGGCCAGGCTGGTCTCAAACTCCTGACCTCACGTCATCCACCCGCCTCGGCTTCCCAAAGTACCGGGATTACAGGCATGAGCCACCACATCCGGCTCCCAATATTTCTACTTTCTATGACCTACCTTACGGAAGAGGAATTCTCATTTCTATGGCTGCCTTGGGGGAGAAAAGTGGGGACAGGTCAGAGAGAGAGAGAGATACTGCTTCTGAGGCTGCTTCTGAGACCTTCCAGTCTCCTTTAGCTCAAAGTACTCAGCATGCCACAGCACCATACTTTGGAATATCATTATCTCAGCCCCAATACGGGAAGATGCTTGAAAATGCACTGTGTTTGTTGCAGATCACAAGCAACATCCTATGAGAACGTGATTCCCATGCCAGGCCCCCCATCCAGACAGGCCTGGTTTTCTGGACCCCATGACTCAGGGCCCCAAGAGCCATGGGCTCACGGAAGCCCCAGAAACTTTATTTGACCCCTTTGGCATTCCTGGGTCGCTTCTTTGTCTCCTTTCCCAAAACACATGGTTGTGTGGTCTTATCTTGGCCACGATAACTACACAAGAACAAGAAGCTGCCATTCACTGAAGACACTACCATCTGCCCCCACAAGATCAGCACCCTAGGAGTGGACTGAACATGTGCCCTCTCCCCTTGGCTGAGACAGAAACAGAGGAGATGTGGCTCTTGGCTAAGGATTTAATGGAGCCCTTTCTGGGAACAGCCTTCTCTGTGCAGAACTGAGGGAGCAGTTGTTAGGGGCCCAAGCACCACTCTGCATGGTCATGCCACTTACTGGATCCAGGGCCAGCAGTGTTGAAAACAGGAGGTGGCTGGGAAATGTTCCCCTCTACCTTATGGCTCAGGCTCTGCTGTTCTGTCTCTGAGTCTTCTGTTTGCCTTCAGGAGCGGCTTGTGGTGTTCCCAGGGTATGGGAGTCCTGCCTGCGGAGGGAGATCTGCAGGTGAGCTAGGAGGGGCCGCCCAGATCCCTGACACTGCAAAGGCCAAGCCCACACCCTACCCCCCCATGCTGGGGCTGGAATGCCTTGGTCATTCCTCCTTACCCCGGTTGCTGGTAAGGTCCCTCCTGGTCCTGCCCCATACCTGGTGGGACTCACTTTCCAACACCCTGGGGGGAGGGGACATTCACACGGGCAAGGCAGGAAAAGGCGGCAAGTTTGAGGTTAAGAGAGCATGGGACAAATGAATGATTGGACCCAGAACCGCCTGGGTTTGATCTTGACTCCACCACCAGCTCTGGGAGCTGCCCAGTGACTTGACCTCTCTGAGCCTCAGTTTCCTCATCTGGATAACAAGAAAATTCATAATACCTTCCTCCTAGGGCTGTTATGAGTATTAAACGAATTAACACATGTCAAAGTTCAGGATGGTGAGTGGCGCATAAAACCTGCTCAGAGAAGATAGCTGTTAGTATTAGTATCAGTGTTAGTATTATTGTTAAAGTATTTCTTTTTTTTTTTTTTTTTTGAGATGGAGTCTCGCTCTGTCGCCCAGGCTGGAGTGCAGTGGCACAATCTCAGCTTACTACAGCCTCTGCCTCCCGGGTAGCTGGGATTACAGGTGCCCACCACCACATCTGGCTAATTTTTTTGTATTTTTAGTAGAGATAGGGTTTCATCATGTTGGCTAGGCTGGTCTTGAACTCCTAACCTCAGGTGATCCGCCTGTCTTGGCCTCCCAAAGTGCAGGGATTACAGGCATGAGCCACTGTGCCTGGATTGTTACAGTATTTCAAGAGATAAACTCAAACTCAGTGAGCCCCCTCAGGGAAGAGAACTAGTGAGGAATTAACTTCTGAAATGCCACCCCAGACATGCTCTCTCTAGCACACACCTTGAAGTATTACTCCGCACCCCTGTAAAGTTGTCTAATCACTCCAGCCCACCGGGAAGAGGGTCTCATCCTGTTTAGGGAGGTGGAGGAGTGTAGTGGTTTTGAGTGCAGACTTTGGGGCCAGACTGCCTGAGTCTGAATCTGAGCTCTGCACTGTTGGAAGGTTCCTTAACCCTCTGTTTCTTTGTTTCCTCACTTGTGGCATGGGAAGACGCAAGCACCTGCCTGGGAGGTTTAAGTGAGATCATGTGTGCCTGGTGAGCCCTGATGACAGCCTGGCATTGGTGGCACTGTGGACTAGGGGCTGGGTGCGGGAAGGTTGGGGCTGCCACAGGCCACCCCCGCTGGTGTCCCTAAGGGGTTGTGCCCTGGAACTCCAGTGTGACCAAGAGGGGGAGGGTGGTAAAGCCACATCATAACTTCCTCGTAGGCTCCTCTCTCCGAAGAGCCCTCGAAGCAGAGGGGCCCGAGTGGCTGCCTCAGGTGACCAGAGAGGTTCAGGCTCTGTCCAGCTCCCTCCAAGCTGGAGGCTGCTGACTGTGCAGGGCACAGGGTGGGGCACGCTGGTCCCCATTCGGTCATCTCATTCAAGCCTCCCTCTACCTACCTCCAGGAGGCTGGCATTTACTGCCCCATTCTGCAGACGAGGGACTAAGGCCCAGAGACCCAGACATGGCGGTATCAATTCCAGGCCTGACTGATCCTGGAGCGGCCCCATTCCTCACCAGGACATCCCTGGCATCCCCACTCTGGGATGAAGCCACTGTCTCCCATCTCAGGTACAGAGCCAGCCATGCACACTTTCCTTCCTTCCAGGTCTAATTTTCCATCCCAGCTAACTTTTCTGTTCCCACTTGCTGGCTCTCCCTTTCTCTATGTATCTGAAAGCTCACCCCTGTAATCCCAGCACTTTGGGAGGCCGAGGCGGGCAGATCACTTGAGGTCAGGAGTTCAAGACCAGCCTGGCCAACATGGCAAAACCCTGTCTCTACTGAAAATACAAAAATTAGCTGGACATGGTGGCATGCCTGTAATCCCAGCTTCTGGGGAGGCTGAGGTGGGAGGATTGCTTGAACCTGGGAGGTGGAGGTTGCAGTGAGCCAAGCTCGTGCCACTGTACTCCAGCCTGGGCAACAGAGCGAGACTCCATCTCAAAAAAAAAAAAAAAGATCAGTGAGTGATTTTTCATGCCTATGGACTCCGTCATGGAACCTCAGAGACTCACAGAGGTAAAAAGCAAGCCCTCCCTTCTAGAACTTGTCCAGGAGCTGGGGAGGAGGTTATGGTCTGGAATAGACATTCTGCAGCCCGGGAGGTTGGAGAGATCTGCCCTGGAGACAGCCAGGAGGGCTTCCTGGAGGTGGTGGACCTTGAGACGGGTTTGGAAGAGGTGGGGCCTTTTGGCCAAAACAATTCATGAAAGGCAACGAATGCCTGCAGACCTGGGATCAGATCTCAGCCTTGCTGCCACCTAGCTGGGTAACCTTGGTCCTGGTAATTAACCTGTCTTTGCCTCAATGTCCCCATCTGGAACAGAGGCATCAAGTCATTGATGAAGGAGTGTGACTTCCTGGCATGAGCACTGAGTCCAGAGGCTTGGGTCCCCACTGCACTAACAGGTCAAGCAACTTTGATAATGGATGTGGCTGAGCTGATTGGTGCTTGCTTGGTGCTGCATGCTTTACATGTATTATCTCATTTAAATGTCACAGTCACCTTACTTGAGAGGTCTCCATTTCTCAGATGAGGAAGCATGTCCAGAGAAGTCTGGTGACTTCCCCAAGGTCACACAGTTGGCATGTGTCAGAGAGGGTGTCTGTCAGATTCTCGAGCTCATGCCCCTAACATTCTGGACACTTTGACCGACCCTCCCTCTCAGGCTTCACCATCATTAAAAAGGGCAGGGGGTGGGCAGGTGACATTCTGCTCCATCACAGCTCACAGCCCAGCTGCCTGCTGCAGCAGGAAGGGTCCCTGCTGGAGCCCAGTGCCCTCGCCCGGCCTTTCAGCAACTTCCCTGAGGCCTCCACCCCCAGGATGGTGAGAAGTCGTGCCTGGGGGCTCTTTTCCTGCCTTTGAGAGGGTGGGGCCTTGGGGAGGGAGGAGCTGGGTCCCCAGTGCCCAGGTCTGCTGGCTAAATTTAGGTGCTGGGGCATAGAAAGAACAAGGGTAATTAAGGGGTGTGGTGTCACTTTCCAGCCGCCTCTCACATCCCCTGAGAAGTCACACGCCATTTGGAAAGGAGCAAGGAGGCGTGGGTGATAGAGGGGAGGAGAGGGGAGGAATGATGGACAGTTGGAGCCGGAGGTGGGGGAAACCTACAGCTCCTCCACAGACCTGATGGCTGCCTGAATCACAGTGAGACAATTTTCAGCCAAACACCCCAAGGGCTTCCTTCAATTAACACCATTCATAAATGGAAAGTCTGCCCTGAAAGTAGTGACCCCTGCCATTGGAAATGCTCTGCGCAAAAGGAAATCTAGCAAGCATCGATCAGGCACAAGATGCAACAGGATTTACACGTATGTTCTCAGCAAGCCCTTGCGACAACGCTATAAGGAAGGTGTTATCATTCCCATTTTACAAAGGAGGAAACTGAAGAGTTAGCCTCCCAGGTTGCACAGCTGAGACTTGGGGGAGCCAGGATCTGAACCAGGCAGGCTGGCTCCGGAGCCCGTGTGCTTAGCTGCAGGGTACAGCTAACTCTGGCCCACTGCAACATGGTCGGCTATCACTCTGCGATCAGAGAAGGATTATAAAGAAGGTTTAAAGAAGGCTGTGCTGAAGAGATGAGAAGAGAAGTCATTGTAGGTGGCAGACACTGCTTCTGTAAAGACTAAAAGGTAATTCTGCCCACCTCAAAGTGCACAGTCTGATGTCAAAGCAAGCACAAGGCTACTGTGTTGGAGCCTTCACAATTGTTGCTTTATCCCTCTATCAAAACGAGACCTGAAGCCTGAGCATGGTGGCTTATGCCTGTAATCCCAGCACTTTGGGAGGCTGGGGCGGGTGGATCACTTCAGGTCAGGAGTTTGAGACCAGCCAACATGGTAAAACCCCATCTCTACTAAAAATACAAAAATTAAGGCAAGGCGCCATGGGCCACGCCTGTAATCCCAACACTTTCGGAGGCTGAGGTGGGTGAATCACCGAGGTCAGGAGTTCCAAACCAGCCTGGCCAACATGGTGAAACCTCATCTCTACTAAAAATACAAAAATTATCTGGGCACGATGGTGTGTACCTGTAGTCCCAGCTACTTGGGAGGCTGAGGCAGGAGAATCGTTTGAATTCCAGAGGCGGAGGTTGCAGTGAGTTGAGATGGCACCACTGCACTCCAGCATGGGTGACAGAACAAGACTCCGTCTCCAAAAACAAACAAACAAACAAAAAACAAAAATCATCAGGTCATGGTGGCAGGCATCTCTGATACTAGCTACTCAGGAGGCTGAGGTAGGAGAATCGCTTGAACCCTGGAGGTGGAGGTTGCAGTGAGCCAAGATTGTGCCACTGCATTCCAGCCTAGCCAACAGATACCCTGTCTCAAAAAAAAAAAAAAAAAGAAAACACCCAGACCTGAATCACCCCATTAAAAATGGGCAAAGGATTTGAATAGGCATTTATCCAAAGCAGATATACAAATGGCCCATAAGCACACAAGAGATGCTCAGCATCATTAGTCATGGGGGAAATGCAAATCAACATCACAATGAGATACCCCTTCCCACCACTAGGATGGGCTACAATAAAAAAGAAAGACAATAACAAGTGCTGGAAAGGATGCGAAGAAATTGGAACCCTTGTGCACTGTGCTGGGAACGCACAGCAGTGCAGTAGAAAACAATCTGGCAGTTCCTCAAAAAGTTAAACATGGGCTGGGTGCGGTGGCTCACGCCTGTAATCCCAGCACTTTGGGAGGCCGAGGCGGGCGGATCACGAGGTCAGGAGATCGAGACCATCTGGCTAACACAGTGAAACCCCGTCTGTACTAAAAATACAAAAAATTAGCCGGGCGTGGTGGCGGGCACCTGTAGTCCCAGCTACTTGGGAGGCTGAGGCAGGAGAATGGCATGAACCTGGGAGGCGGAGCTTGCAGTAAGCCGAGATAGCGCCACTGCACTCCAGCCTGGGCAACAGAGTGAGACTCCATCTCAAAAAAAAAAAGTTAAACATGAATTACCATATGATCCAGCAGTTCCACTCTTAGGTATATACCTAAGATATCTGAAAACATAAGCCCACAGAAAATAGTGCTCCTATGAATCTGAATGTTCATAGGCTGGATCTGGGCTCACTGCAACCTCTGCCTCCTGGGTTCAAGAGATTCTCCTGCTTCAGCCTCCTGAGCAGCTGGGACTACAAGCATGTGCCACCACACCTGGCTAATTTTTGTATTTTTAGTAGACACGGGTTTCACCATGTTGGTCAGGCTGGTCTCCAACTCCTGACCTCAGGTGATCCACCCGCCTTGGCCTCCCAAAGTGCTGGGATTACAGGCATGAACCACTGCCCCCGGCAAAATGGAAACAAGTTAAATGTCCATCAACTGATGGATATATCCATACAGTGCAATATTACTTGGCAATAAAAAGGAATGAAGTACTGATACATGCTACAAGATGAACGAACCTTAAAAGCCTTATTCTAAGTGAAAGAAGCCAGACACATTTGATATAATTCCATTGATATGAAATGTCCAGAATCAACAAATTCATAGGAACAGAAAGGAAATGAGTAATTTTCAGGGCTTGGGTGTGGGAGGGAATGGGGAGTGACTGCTATTGGGTGCGGGGTTTCTTTTGGGGGTGATGTAAATGTTCTGAAATAGATACTAGTGATGAATGCATGACTTTGTGAATATGTTAAAAACCACTGAAGCATATACTTCAGAAGGGGGAGCTAAGGCTCCCATAAATTACATGTGAATTATATATACATATATATCAATAAAGCTGTTATTAAAAAAACTCCCAGACTTGTCTCTAATATTTGCAAGAACACAAATGAAGACCCACATACCATATGCCTAAATATTTCAAAATCAAGCGAACAAGCTGTTAAATAAAATATGTTCTCTTCTCTTACCTTGACAAATATACATTCATAGTGGCACAGTTGAAAAGCATGTGTAAAGCTCTGGTTTTTATATGCTTGAAAGCTGGTGTGTTTGGGTATTCTGTTGAAGGGCCGGCTGTGTTTAGACAAGTGATCAAATAAAGACATACATAATTCACAAATTCTTATCGTTTTAATCCATAAAAATGTTCAGGCCTTTATTTCACCAAAATTGCTAATTTGTGTTTTAGTGACAATACCCATCCAAAAAGATTAAAGAAATAAAATATAGTTTTTGTCCAAAAGGAAAATTATAGTAAAGGTAAAATTTTAAATGCTTTTTAAAAAGGTATTTTTTTCTAAAATATCCAAAATTATTTATTGAAATTAAAAGGTAAAATACAAATTATAATGAGTGTAACTGTTTTTTGAGAGAGAGTCTTGCTCTGTCACTGAGGCTGGAGTGCAATGGTGTGATCTTTGCTCACTGCAACCTCCACCTCCCAGGCTCAAGCAATTCTCACGCCTCAGCCTCCCAAGTAGCTAGGATTACAGGCACATGCCACCGTGCCCAGATAATTTTTGTAGTTTTTGCAAAGACAGGGTTTCACCATGTTAGCCAGGCTGGTCTTGAACTCCTGGCCTCAAGTTATTTGCCCGCCTTGGCCTCCCAAAGTGCGGGATTACAAGTGTGAGCCACTGCACCCAGCCTAGTGTAACATTTTAAATTAAATCTGGGGCTGGGCATGGTGGCTCACACCTATAATCCCAGTGCTTTGGGAGGCCAAGGTGGGAGGTTTGCTTGAGGTCAGGCATTCTAGACTGCTTGGGCCACATAGCAAGACCTTATCTCCACAAAAAGTTTAAAAATTAGGCAGACATGGTGTCGCACACTTGTGATCCCAGCTACTCAGGAGGCTGAGGTGGGAGAATCACTTAAGCCCAAGAATTCAAGGCTGCAGCGACCCATGATCGTGCCACTACACTCTAGCCTGGGCTACAGAGTGAGACCTTATCTCTAAAAAAAAATAATAATTTTAAAAATATATTAAATCTGAATTTTTATTAATCTTTTGAAATTGTAATAACATTTTATTAAACATTTTTAGAAAAATGACATATTAGCAATTCCAGTGTTTAACACTATACTGATTTGTTTTCACACTGCTAATAAAGACATACCCAAGATTGGGCAATTTACAAAACAAAGAGGTTTATTGGACTTACAGTTCCATGTGGCTGGGGAGGCCTCACAATCATGGCAGAAGGTGAAAGACACGTCTTACATGGCGGTAGACAAGACAAGAGAGAGAGAATGAGAGCAAGTGAAATGGGTTTCCCCTTATGAAACCATCAGATCTCGTGAGACTTACTCATTACCACGAGAGCAGTATGGGAGAAACCATCCACATGATTCAATTCTCTCCCACCGGGTTCTTCCCACAACACGTGGGAATTATGGGAATACAATTCAAGATGAGATTTGGGTAGGAACACAGCCAAACCACATCAAACACCCATCTAGTTCCTACTGTAAATAATCAGTATCACACTTCATGCATGTTATATCTAAATTTATATATATAAATATCAGAGGAAATGAACAGTTTAAACATTGCAAAAGTTCCTCAGCTGCTATAGGCGTCATTGTGGATATTGCATTAATCCACAAGAACCTCTGGAACCAAGAATTGGTACATGAAGAAAAGCAAGAAAATGGACAGTTGACCCTGCCGAGAAAAGGCTTCGGTTTGCAATAATCTACTGCATTCGTGCTCTCTGAGAGTGAAAATTTAACAAGTTCATCTTAGGCTTTTCTCACACATAAGCACTGCTGCCTCTCAAGTCTGCCCTGTCCTCAGAAGCAGAATCTGTCTCTCAGGTCAGCAGCTGCACAACCCCTAAACCTTCATACATTCCAGACTTAGATCACCTTTCGTATCCAGGACCTAGAGCAAGAGAAGAGGAGAAGCAGTCCCCCGGGACCTGGATGGTGCCAGGCACAGGAGTGGGTGTTCAGGGCTGTCCTTGCAGGGGGGCCAGTGCTGAGCTGAGGGCAAGGGTGCCTCTTCCCCTGGTCTGCCAGTGGGACTGAAGGAAAGTACAGCCCTTCCATGCGTCACACATCCCAATGGATGAATGCTCATGAGAATTGCCTCTTTGGGCCCCTGACCCTACTGTCTTCTCTCGCTTATCCACCTGCCTACCAGCTGGCCCCAACAACCCCTTCCTCACTGGCTGTCCTGCCACCCCCATCTGCCAAGCGTCAGCCTCAGCAGTGGGTAGAGAGGGGCCGCCCCCTCTCCCCAGCTGACGGGCAGATTATATAGCTGACTCTCCCGGAAGAGGGGGTGACAAGGCTAATTACCCACCCACCAGCTAGCCACCCAGAGGAGCGGGCTCTGCCCCGAGAGGTTAAAACAACAGGGGAAGGCTTCCTTCACCTCCCGTTATGGCCAATGCCTCCCCGCCTCCTGAAGGCTTCTGGGTGCTGGAGCTTTGAAGATGCCCAGCCCCCTAGTCCTCTAAAGGGGGCTTGTCAACCAAGCAGCCATATCACGTTGCAGGGCTGTAGAAAGAGCTCTGGCTACAGCCTTAGGAGGCCTGGGTTAAAGTCCTGCCCCTGTGTTGCTGTGTGACCCTGGGCAAGTCATTTCCCCTCTCTATACTCTGGTGCCCTGATATATAAATGGGCCTGGCTAGGGGATGACCAGCTCCAAGCCCCCTCCATTGTGTAACAGTGCAGACCCTGTTGGCTGCCCACCGAATTCCTTTTCCCTCCCTCCCTGCTTGCTGACCAGATTCCAATTTTGTACAGGGTTGCCACATTCCCCCACCTCACATCTGTATAAACAGAAGTTGACTGTGTGGGGTTTCAGGAGAGTTTTCACTTTTAAAAATAAGGGGCAGACTGGGCTCGTAGCGTTTCTTTTGGTCCTAACTTCCATTTTTCTTGCCAGGAATCTGAACGTGAAATCTGGAGGTACGGTAGCCATTGTGGCACCATACGGTTGAAAGTCAACATCTAAAGCTGTGGGAGCAGGAAGCTGGCATCCTGAAGTCAGCACACTGGTTCTGGGCAGCTCACCTCCAGAGTCCTTGTAATGTGAGAAGAGAAAGCCCTGAAGTGTTTAAGCCACAGTTTTTGGGTTTCCTTTGTCTTGGGACCAAATGTCTTCCTCATAGACACAGATTAGAATCTGTCTGTGGGGTGTGCTGGGTGCGGTGGCTCACGCCTGTAATCCGAGCACTTTGGGAGGCCGAGGAAGGTGGATCACTTGAGGTCAGGAGTTCAAGACCACCAGCCTGGCCAACATGGGGAAACCTGGTCTCTACTAAAGTACAAAAATTAGCCAGGTGTGGTGATGCACGCCTGTAATCCCAGCTACTCTGAAGGCTGAGGGAGGAGAATCGCTTGAACCCAGGCGGTGGAGGTTATAGTGCTTACAGTGAGCCAAGATCGCACCATTGCACTCCGGCCTGGGCAACAGAGTGAGACATGGTCTCAAAAAAGAAACAAAGGAATCTGTCTGTAGGGTGACTCCATCGCTCTAGGCCACTTTAGGATGTTTGGACCTGTGCCTGGATGGTATTATTATTATTATTATTATTATTATTATTATTATTATTATTATTTTGAGATGGAGTCTTGCTCTGTCACCCAGGCTGGAGTGCAGTGGCGTGATCTCAGCTCACTGCAAACTCAGCTTCCTGAGTAGCTGGGACTATAGGCACATGTCACCTCACCTGGCTAATTTTTGTATTTTTAGTAGAGACAGGGTTTCACCATGTTGGTCAGGCTGGTCTTGAACTACTGACTTCAGGTGATTCGCCCACCTCAGCCTCCCAAAGTGCTAGGATTACAGGTGTGAGCCACCGCGCCCGGCCATAAGCATTTGTTAACCTGTTTGCACGTCTCCATCTCCCCCTTGCTCCCTTGTAAGCCCCTGCAGGTCTAGAGCAGTGCCACTCACTAGCTCAGTGTCCCAGGGCTGCCATCACAACATACCACAAACTGAGTGCCTTGAAACAACAAAGCTTGATTGTTTCCCAGTCCTGGAGGTCACACATCTGAAATCAGGCATCAGCAGGGCCGTGCTTCCACCAAAACCTGCAGGGGAGAACCCTCCTTTGCTTCTCCCTACATTCTAGAAGTTGGCTTGGTGTTCCTCGGCTTGTGGGTGCATCACTCTCATCTCGGCCTCTGTCACCCCTTGGCATTCTCCTGGTGTGTCTGTGCCTTCACAGGGCTGTCTTCCTTCTTTTCAGAAGGACACCAGTCATATTGGATTAAGGGCCACCCTACTTCAGCAGAACCTTGCCTTAATTTGATTACATCTGCAATGACCCTATTTCCAAATAAGGTCATATTCTGTGGTGCTGGGAGTAAGGACTTCAACATTTCCTTTGGGGGTATATAATTCAACCTGTAACTATCCGCAAGGCATCCTCAGCACCTGGTGTAAGAGATATCTGCGGGATGAACAACAAATACAAATAAATAGATCCTTCTGACTGTGAGCCCCCACGGGCAGGGCTCAGCACCCCATCTCTGTGTCCTGGGGCTTAGGTCAGAGCCTCCTCTCCTGAGGGCAGGTAGATGGATTTTCATTTAGATATATCACAGGGAATCTGCCCAGCCAGCTGGCTGACCAAGCCACCCCTGACGAGAGTCCTCTGGCTGGGGGTGGGGGTGGCCCAGGGAGGGGTTTTCACCCCTCAGAGGTGCAGGCCTGACTGCTGAGCCCAGAAAAACTGACAGCCTGCTCAGTACTGCTGCCACTCAGCACAGACGGTGCAATCCCTAGGGAGATGTCACAGGCAGCCGGGGGCGACTGATGTCTTAGTGACACTGCTAATCCGGGGCCCAAGCTGCCCTTGTGTGTGTGCATCAGGCTGACTTGCAGTGGGGGTAGAAGGGGTCCTGGCTGCGAGGGGGCAGCGGATGCTGAATCAGGGAAGAGTGGGCTCCTCCTGCCTGGGGTGGGGAGGGGAGGGCAAGCTGGGCTCTGCAGGGCCTACCTTCCCGTCCCCCATGCCAAACAGCCCCTGGCCACCACCACCTGCCCCCTCTTCCCCTTCAAGGCTCCAGTATCCGGTGGCCAGCCTGGCTGCACTCAGAAGGCTGGAAGGGGAGGAAGGACCAAGGCAGCAGCCGTAAAGGTCAGCAGCCCTTGGGGCTGGGAACATCCATGATGCAAATGTGGAATTTACACTCCTGGAGTGCCTGTTGGCCAGCCTCCCGCCTGTTTCTATGCCAGCCGCAGCCTGGGCAGCAAGGACACAGCAGATGTTCTGGGCCCTGGCTGGAACGGACAGCTCTGGGACTCCCCACTGCTTTGGGCACCTCCCCAGAAGAGCCCTGATGTGCATGGGGGAGGGCCTCGGTGGGACTGGGCAGGTCTGCTCCGGCTGGATGAGCGCAGCCCATCCTACTGGTTGCGGGCTGTCTGCCTGGGATCTCCAACCTCAACTCTCCTGGTTCCATGGCTGAAAGGGCCAGACGTGGGGAGAACAACTAGACACTAACCGTGCCCTTTCCCATTCAACCTGCTCCACCCAGCTTCTTTCCAAGACCAGTTCCATTCAATGACTTTCCTGACCGTCACAGGGACTTGGGATGAGGGGAAGGAGAGGCAGGACCATGGAGCGCTCCTCTGTGTCAGGGGCTTTCCTTTAAACCTCCCAACAGCCCTGCTCTTATCATCCTGCTATTCCAGGAGAGGAAACTGAGGTTCAGAGAAGAAAGCCTCCCGACAAGATCACACACCCAAAGAATGGCAGGGCCGGGACTCAAATCTGTGTCTCCATCACTTCCTATGGCTCAAGGAGCTGACTCTAATCTTTACTCAGTACCCACCGTTCCTGGCCACCGTTCTGCAAACTGCTTAGCCTAGCAGACCTGAAACGATGTCCTCCAAACCTCACACCAGGCACTGAGAGTCACACGCCTTTGCTGTGTGTGTGTGTCTGTGTATGCGCGTGTCCCATGCAGTTGTGCGGTGCCGTGGTACTGCGTGGTGAGTGTGAGGCCAGGAGTCCCAGGTCCAACACCTGGTCAGCCTCACCTAGCCTCTCTGGACTGCAGGCTCCTCCCATGTCCTCTGTAAGTCTAGAATCCCCAAGGCAGAGTCAACCTCCCTCTCTCTCTGCTCTTCGAGCTCCTGCCTGCCCCCTGGCAACCACAGCAGAGCCTGACACGCCGTGGGTGCTTGATACATCTCGTCCTTGCCTGACTGACAAAGCTGCCATTCTGAGTCCCTGGGGACACCGTCCATGGCTTCCTCAAAAGGCTTCCCAGGGCAGAACTCTTCTCAGTGCTCAATCTTAATTTTCCTCTCATTTACAAACTTGCTTGTCCCCTCCCCCATCCCTCTGCACTGTCACACTCGCCCTTGCTGGCATGTGCGTGGGCACTCTCTCTCTCTCTCAATCTCTCTCTCTCTCTCTCGCTCTCTATCTCTCTCTCTTTCCTTCAATCTCTCTATCTCTCTGGTTTCTTTTGCTCTATCTCTCTGGTTGTATCTGGGATTCTGTCTCTCTCAGTCTTTTTTTTTTTTAACTTTCTCCTTTCTTGGTCTCTCATGCCTTCCTTTCTCTCCTTCTATCATCTGTCTCTGGCTTTTCTCTCTTTCTCTGTCTCTGTCACTTGTCTCTGTCTCTCTCATCTTTGCTACTATGTATTTGCTTCCCTTCCCCCTCTCTCTCTCTCACACACACACACGCACACACACACACACACACGGGACCCCACCCCCCGGGAGCCCTTCCACGCATCTGTCATGATGTGTCACGTCACATTTTTCTCCTGGACCATCAGAGCCTTTAATCCTATTGACATTCAGTTAACGAGTTTCTCTCGCTGTTGACAGAACCTCCTGCCCCACCCGTGCTGGGCTGACCGAGATCAGAGTTCAGAGTTGTTGCTGGGCCATTTAGGGCTTGCGGGGAAGGGAGTGGGGAAAATGGCCTCGGTTGTGAGGGGCTTATAGTCTCCTGCAGCGGCCTGAGGGGTGCCATGGGGAACAGCCCCTTGAGTAGTGGGAGTCGCCTCCTCCTTCCTTGGGATGAGGCTGGTGCTGGGGGAGCTGGCACATCGGGGAGGTGCTTCGTGGCGTGCAGGAGGCTGTGGACACAGTGAGGCCCCGGGAGGCAGAGGGACCTGACCAGGGCCATGCAGTGAGGTGCACTCATGGCTCAGGGCCCTTCTTCCCCCATCTCTGGGCTCGCCAGCCAGTTGTTGGTCATGCCAAAGAGATCTGGGGGCATGGAGCCAGAGAGGAGTGAGGCCAAGCCCAAGGGATCAGGGATCCAGCGCTAAATGTGCACAGGCTGCTGGGGCTGTGGGTTGCCTGGAGAAGGACAGGGGAGGGCTCAGGAAAGGGACAGAGACCTGGGGGAACAGCCTTTGGAAGTTGCTGCTGAGAAACGAACCCTTGGGGGTGCCAAGGGAGGTGTTGTCAGCATTGCCCTCTGGGGATGCCAACCTGCCCAGAGCTTAGGACCAGTGGAGCCCACCTCCCATGGAACCACACCCTGGGAGAGCAGAGCTGGGCTCTGGAGGTCCTTCTCAGGGAGGGCCTCTACCCCCATGCAGGGCTTGGGGGGTCCAACCCTCTGTTCATCACCCAACTCCAGAGAAGCAATAGCCCTGGGAGGGTCCAGAGCCTCGGTGGGCCAGGTGGGGTGGCTCCTGGCCTAGGGTGTCCTCAGCAGCCTGTCACTGAAAGGCAGCCTGGAATAAGGAAGGAGAATTGGCCCGAGTCAGACAAACTGGGTTCGAACTCCCATGCTGCTCCCAGGGCTATAAGGACTGTAGGAAAGTGCCTAACCTCTCTGGGCCTCAGTTTCCTCCTGTATAAAATGGAGCAACTGCTCTCTGCCTCCAGTGGCTCCCCATGAGGAATGAGCAGTATGTCATATGTAAACGTGCCTGGCATGGCGTACTCCTGCTCGGTAAACAGCCACCAATATAATTGCTGTTTTAAAATGTCTAACCACACTGACATACCATTATTCAAATATCAGACTGGCAAAGCTCACAGAGTTTGATAACACTGCTGGCAAAGCTATGGGGACCAGACAGATGCAGACAAGGCCAGTGGAAGTGTAGCCTGGTGTAATCTCCAAGGAGGGCCATCCGACCTCTCCTTTCCTTCGCAACTGTGCATAGCCACGTCTAACCCGGCGGTTCCACTCCTGGGAATTTCCCACAGGTCTGCTAGCACACATTTGAAGTGGGATGTGTACAAAGTTATTTATTGCAACATTTCATGTAATTACCAAACACGGAAACAAGCTAAATGTGCATCAATAAGGGATCAGCCGGGCACGGTGGCTCAGGCCTGTAATCCCAGCACTATGAGAGGCCAAGGTGGGTGGACCATGAGGTCAGGAGTTCAAGACCAGCCTGGCCAGCATGGTGAAACCCCGTCTCTATGAAAAATACAAAAATTAGCTGGGCGTGGTGGTGCGTGCCTGTAATCCCAGCTACTCAGGAGTCTGAGGCAGGAGAATCACTTGAACCCGGGAGGCAGAGGTTGCAGTGAGCTGAGATTGTGCCATTGCACTCCAGCCTGGGTGACAGAGCGAGACTCTATTTCAAAAAACAAAAAACAAAAAATAAGGGATCAGTTAAATAATGTGCAGTCCTTCCATACAATGAAGTCATCTGCAGCCACAAAATAAGAATGAGGAACCTGTTTTGCAAGTGACATAGAACAATAATCAAGATGTGTTTTTAAGGGAAGAAAGCCAGGTACAGAGCAGGATGTGTGTGCATTTTAAAAGGATAACAAATGAGAATTCCTAGGAGGATGACGGTTTATACATAGAAGATCTCTGGAAGAATACACAAGAACTGGCAACAAGGTTCCCTCTGCAGAGGGAAACTGGGTGGTGGGGACCAAAGGAGGAGCGACTTTGCACTGTCGGTTCTTTTGGAATTTTGAATTTTGAATCATGTGAGTGCATTAGCCATTCAAAATATAAATCATGTCTTCAAAAATAAATTCTTATTTCTGTACACTTAAAAAATATCCCTTTTATGATTAGCCTCTCCTGGCCCAGACTGAGCTTCAAATGGGCTTTTGGCTCCATGTAAAGTTTCTAGGGGTAGAAATGGCCTCTAGGAATACTCAGAAGCTGGGCCCTGGTATCTTCAGTGAGTTAGGACCCCCCGGGGGCCCCAAGCCCACCCCAAAAGCAAGGGAAGGGGGACACTGAGGGGCTGCGTTAGCACCTGCCCATCCATCGCCTTGGAACAGTTGTGAAGTCCTTGTGGACAGGTAAGTCCTCATTACATTCTGCTCCACATCCAACTGAGGCTGGCAGAGAGGTGGGAGTGGGTGGGTGTGAATGGGCAGAGGAGGGTGCTGGGGTTGAGGTCACCACTTCCTCTCATGGAGAGGGGAAGGTTGAACATGCTATATCCTCCAGACATCCGTTATCAAATGCCTGCCTCCTCCTCTGGGAATTCTGACTCTGGTGGTACCCAAAGTGTTCAGAATTCCACCAAGTGAAGATTCTCCTCATCACTAAGCATCTACTGTATACCTGTTCCAGGTGCTTTCCCTCTCGATGGCACAGGAGCCTGGGGCAGCCAGGACCTCAATCTTACCTGCCACACTCCTTGAGGGGTGCACCATGCTGGCACCTGCCCCTGGGAGAAGCAGGCACTCAGGCTGGCCCTGTCTCCAGTGCCCCTGGCTGGAGTCCCCTTCCCACTCCCGAGATTTAGTCCATCCTGATGCTGGAGTGCCTGCAGCCCCCAGTGGGCACGGCAGCATCACAGACACCCATGGCGGGCAGCAGGAGCTCCGCTGCCAGGAGACTGTCTCCCTGGATTCTGACTCTCTGAGGTGGCAACAATGTGGAGGAAGGAGGGTGCTGCCCACCCCCTCCCAGAGCTGGGGATGGTTGGTGCTGGGCTACTGGAAGTGGGATAAAGGCCCTCTGCCAGGACTGGTCACTAGGGACCAACTGCTATACAGTGACCCCTTCCTGGCCCTGTTGTTCAGAGAGGCACTGAAGGTAGGGTTCTCCCTAGGGACAAGGTGCTCGGGCACAGGTTTTCCTGCACTGTCAACACCAGGGGGTCTTCATTTGACTTCACAAGTGGGGAACTTGTCACAACGGGTAGTTATGGATTCATCATGTGCCAGAACCTCACAGATTACCATTATAAACCTTGGGAGAAGCTGGGATGGATATCTTCATTTTGCAGAAACTGGGGTTCAGGGAGATGGGGACTTGCCCTGAAGTCACATAACTGACCCTAAAGCCCCAAACCTCTTCACTGACTCCCCACACTGACACACATACCACTGCCTCCTTCCCCCAGGCCTCTGTAGGTGCTTGTATGTCATGGGTCAGCTCAGGCATAGGGTATTGGAGCACAGGCAGACATAGGGGAAAGAGCACTCTGGGAAGTGTGCACAGCTTAAGCAAAAGCACAGAGGTGGGACCATTCAGAAGGGAAGTGTGAAACTGAAGTGTGAGAGTGAGAGGTGAGCTGAGGCTCCAAAGTGTGGAGGGCTACCCTGGGGAATGGAAGCTTAGCCAGGAAGGATGTGGTTTGAACACCAGGAGGGATGCCTTAGGGATGCCTATTCAGGGAGCCCTAGGGCAGCACCGGAGGCTTCTGGCTTGAGGACTGGCAAGATGAGAGGCATCTTCCCAGAAGAGATGAGCAGGGCGGCAGCAAGGCACCGGCTCAGGCGAAGAAGCCCTGGGGCAGGTGCAGAAGGTGGTAGTTCAAAGAGGCTTCTGGAGTCAGGATGGTTGGATTGAAGCCCAGTTGCTTACCAGCGCTGTGACCTTGGGCCAGTTACTTAACCCATCTGGGACTAAGTAATCTCATCTATAAAATGGATATGACAATGATGACGACAATACAGGTTGAATATCTCTTATCAGAAATACTTGGAGCCGGGCATCATGGCTCACACTTGTCATCCCAACACTTTGAGAGGCTGAGGTGGGAGCCCACTTCTACAAAAATTAAAAAATTAGCTGGGTGTGGTGGTGCACAACTGTAGTCCCAGCTACTCAGGAGGCTGAGGCAGGAGGATCACTTGAGCCCAGAAGGCTGAGGCTGCAGTGAGTTATGATTGCACCACTGCACTCCAGCCTGGATGACAGAGCGATACCCTGTCTCAAAAAATAAAAAAAGAAAAGAAAAGAAAAGAAAACAGGCTGGGCACAGTAGCTCACGCCTGTAATCCCAGCACTTTGGGAGGCCAAGGTGGGTGGATCACCTGAGGTCAGGAGTTTGAGACCAGCTTGGCCAACATGGTGAAACCCTGTCTCTACTAAAAATACAAAAATTAGCCAGACGTGTTTACAGGTGCCTGTAATCCCAGCTCCTTGGGAGGCTGAGGCAGGAGAATTGCTTGAACCCGGGAGGCAGAGGTTGCAGTGAGCCCACTCCAGCCTGGCCAACAAAGCCAGACTCCATCTCAAAAAACAAGCAGGCCGGGCGTGGTGGCTCATGCCTATAATCCCAGCACTTTGGGAGGCTGAGGCAGGCAGATCACAAGGTCAGGAGATCTAGACCATCCTAGCTAACACAGTGAAACCCCGTCTCTACTAAAAATACAAAAAATTAGCCAGGCATGGTGGCAGCCACCTGTACTACCAGCTACTCGGGAGGTTGAGGCAGGAGTATGGCATGAACCCAGGAGGCGGAGCTTGCAGTGAGCCGAGATCACACCACTGCACTCCAGCCTGGGCGACAGAGCGAGACTCCGTCTCAAAAGAAAACAAAACAAAACAAAACAAAAAAACGGGCCGGGTGCAGTGGCTCATGCCTATAATCCCAGCACTTTGGGAGGCCAAGGCAGGTGGATCACCTGAGGTCAGGAGTTCGAAACCAGACTGACCAACATGGAGAAACCCCGTCTCTACTAAAAATACAAAATTAGCCAGGCATGGTGGTGCATGCCTGTAAGCCCAGCTACTCGGGAGGCTGAGGCAGGAGAATTGCTTGGAGCTTGAATCCGGGAGGTGGAGGTTGCGGTAAGCCGAGGTCGCACCATTGCACTCCAGCCCAGGCAATAACAGCAAACTCCGTCTCAGAGAAAAAACAAAAACAAAAACGAAAACAAGTTTTGGATTTCAGATTTTTTGGGGAATATTTATGTTATTCTTATCTGTTGAGCATCCCAAATCTGAAATCCGAAAGGCTCCAACGAGCATTTCCTTTTAGCGTCAGTCATGTGGGTACTCAAAAAGTTTTGAATTTTGGAGCATTTTGGATTTCAGATTTGGGGGTTCGGGATGCTCAATCTGTTCACGCATGGGGCTATTGTTAAGACAAAGTGGATAGACACATGTCCAGCACTCAGTGCCTGTTAGGACATAGTAAGCGTCCATCTGTCTCTGCGATTTGCTACTCATTATCATTACTACCTGTGACCCTCAGCCCCGCCTCCCAGCCCTGGGCTGCTGGGACAGATTGTTTCTGTTTCCTGCTCTGAGAGGGAGCAGAGGGGACAACATGGGCCCAATGGGGAAGGAGGAGCCGCCCTCCCTGGAGATTGACGTGTCCCTGGCCCAGACCTAGAGGGACCTCACTGGTTTTAGACCCCTGCTAGGTGACCAGACAGACAAGGACTGGCCCTGGAGGCTGGATCCCTGCCATACCTGTCCTTGCCCCAATTCTAGGTGGGTGGGGAACTATACACCTGTTTCCCTAGTCAGGGATCACTGTGCCCACTTATCGAGGCCCCAGGTCAGACTCCTGTGTCCCCCTTGACACACCTGGGAAGAGGAGTGGGTGGGGTGATGTCTGGGCCATGGGCTGGTGGGCATGCCCCAGCAGCTCTAATGAGGCGTGTGAAGGCCACAGAGGCTGCCTTGGCAGCGGCACAGTCAATGAGAGGGCAAGGGAGAGGCGGGCCTGGCATGACGGCCGTGGCAGTCGTGGGCGATCAGCCGTTCGCCGATGGTTGCTCGGGTGAGCAAGTGCGCTCTGAGCCATTCGGCTGTAATAACCCTAATCTGCTCATTACCACTCCCGGAGCTGATGGGTGACTCAGGCATGAGCTGTCAAGCGTTCCTGCCTTCGCAACCCCCATTCCACCCTCCCCCCTCACATCTGTGCAACAGCTGGGCTCCAGGACAGCCAGTTCCCAGCAGACTCTGGCACCATCTGCTTCTCCTGTGGGAGTCAGGCTCCGCAGAGGGTGTGCTCAGGGAGCCTCCTAGAAGAGCGGAGCTAAGGGACACCTGGTCTAGTGTTAGGGAGCTCTGTGTCTCACTCTGCTCCCTAGAGGGGGTGCAGGGGTCCAGGCTGGGGGCTCAGGAGGCTTGGGTCCTGATGGATGTTAAATGACTCATTTTCCCAACGCCTGAGACTCTAGGTCTCTCCATCTGCATGATGGAAGGACTGCCTGGCTCCCTCCCCACTTCTCCAGTCAACCAGACCTAGTGCCAGACAGTGTTTTTCCCATCTGAGGCCTGGGGCTCCTGTGTGTTGTGTGTTGGGGTGTGGGGTGCATTACAGGACACTTGAACTGCTGACTTCTATGGAGTGTGGACGGGGTGCAGTGGAAGGGGAAAGGGCAGAGGCACCACCTCCAGTACCTTTTGCCCCACCCAGCCCCAGGCTGCCTATCAATTTGGGGGTTCTCAATCCTCCTCTCCTGCTCCTGCTGGCTTTTGAGACTTGTTCTGCATGGCTGCCCCTTCCTAGAACTGGGAGGACCATCAGGATCCTTGGTAGTCATGAGAGCAGCTTACTGAGCACCCACCTTGAACCCTTAGAAGGCATTGTGCTGGCAGTCACAGCAATCCAGCTAGGTTGGCGCTATCATCCCACTTCCCAGATGAGAGACCTGAGGCACAAAGGGGTTACAGAAGGTCACACCATTAGCAAATGGCAGCTCTGGGGTATGAACCACAGTGCGTATGACTCTGGGTCTCCTCACAGAACTGCAGAACCACACGTAGCCCCAGTGTACAGTTGGAGATGGAAGACTCCCCTTCTAAAGAAGGAACACACTGAGACTGGAAAACCTGGCTGCCCCACATGACTCTGTGCCCACCTGGCATGCAGTAGACACTCAGCAATTGCTCAGGGCTCAAAGGGCTCATCAGGCAAACTGCTTAAATCGGAACTGCTCTGGTAGAAGCAAAGATGGGGTCCCATTGGCAAATTGCTCATAAACCTCTCTCCCAGCCTCTCATTTTCAGGTAATGAAATTGAAGTTGAAAGAGGGAAGGGACTCCCAGGGTCACTCATCAAGTTGGTGGCAGAGTCAAGACTAGAACTCATGTGGTGGGATGTCCCCAGGGGAGCAAGCCCGGAGAGGTCAGGAGCAGGTGGGAGGCTCTCTCCCCTCCCAGAGTGGGATGGGTCACGCCCCTGCCCCTTTCCTCAAGCTGAGCCAGAGAGACAGGGGAAGAGGCCTGGAGAGAGATGCGGCCTGGGCTGAGCCATCTGAGCACCCAATGGGCAAGTGCACTGGGCTCCATGGGCTCCCACCAGCCAGTGTCCTACATGGCCCTCTTGATGGCCTAGTCCAGGGACAGCCCGTGTGTGTGTAGTGCAGAGCCACCTCATTCCCCACTGTTGACACACCTGACTCCCTTATTCCATCGGCAAACACTAGGCCTGGAGAGACAGTCCAACTGGCTGGCAGTGTCCTCCTCCCAGCTCCCCTCCTTGCCTAAACAGACAGCTCTGTTTGTCCTCCCTGCCCAGCCACCAGGACTTCACTGTCACCCAGATCCCTGCCCTGTCAGCAGCTCGCCTCCTCTCACTCCCACAGAATCCCCGTGTCAGAGCTGGAGAGGCCCATGGGAAACTTTTAGGACAACCTCTAACCCCCTACTCAAGCAACACCACCTCCATCATTTTTTTTTTTTTTGAGACAGAGTCTCGCTCTGTTGCCCAGGTTAGAGTCCAGTGGAGTGATCTTGACTCACTGCAACCTCCACCTCCTGGGTTCAAGCGATTCTGCTGCCTCAGCCTCCCGAGTAACTGGGATTACAGGGGCATGTGCCACCACTCCCGGCTAATTTTTGTATTTTTAGTAGAGACGGGGTTTTGCCATGTTGGCCAGGCTGGTCTCGAACTCCTGACCTCAGGTGATCTGCCCGCCTCGGCCTCCCGACCTCAGGTGATCCACCCGCCTCGGCCTCCCAAAGTGCTGGGATTACTGGCATAAGCCACCATGCCTGGCTACCACCTCCACTTTTACAGATAAAAAAAACCAGAGGGGTGGCCAGAGCCATGTAGAACAGGAAGGCAGGCCTCGCATCCAACCACTCACTGCTGGGCGTGGCCTCTGTGTCCTGGCATGTGCTGTTTCTTCTGCTAGGACAGCCCTTCCTCGATGAAGCCTCAGCCCACTGAATGAATGACAACCTTGGCTGCACCTGCACGTCACCCGTGGCTGTCTCTATTGTGGCTCATGATGCCCAGCCCCCTTTCCATCACCCTACAAGCTTCTGAAGCCCCAGACTCAGGTTGGTTCATTGCAGAGCCCCCAGCTGTCAGCCCAAGGTGCCCAGGGAGAGATGCTGAAAAAGGCTTGGACATGAATGAATCAGTAGGCTTGAGCCAGAACAAATTCTCTCAATCCTGGCCCAGCTTGGACCCCCACATCCCAATCCCTGTTCTCCTAGGCCAAAGCTATTCTGAGAGGTCTTTCAGGCCCCTATTTCCAGATCCCAGTGGGCTTTGAAGACATGGTCTCCCTTGCTTCCCCTGGGCCTCGGCCCCGCCTGGGCAGAGCCTTCTCTCAGTTGTTGTGGGTGAATCACTGGCAGGCTGTAAACAGCTCTATGGAGCACTGGCTGTACCACCAAGGCCCTGGCACTCATCCTAGCCGCGCCAGGGGGATCTAAAAGAAGACATGGCTCCCACGCACCCACGATGGAAAGGAGAAGGTGGAATAGAAACAGGGGGGAGGCTTCCAGATTTGCATACCAACACGTGCACAGGAGTCTGTAATGCAGCCCAGCCTAGGAGGGGACAAAACAGAACCTGGAGAATGAGAAGGGGATGAATCAGAAACCCTTCCAAGAGGAAGGGACCTGCAGCGAGGAGGTTGGGTGGCTTCTGGGAGTTTAAAAACCACCAGTATTTACTGAGCACCTACTATGCAACAGGGACTGCTCCAGGGCTGCAGGTACTGCCATGAACAAAACAAAGACCCCATGCCGCGCAGGACAGAAAAGCAGAGCAGGGCCAGGGAGGGTGTGGGCAGCTGCCTTATGCATCATTCACAAGATTCTGAAGAAGGACGAGCTTGGAGACCTTTCCAGCCACTTAACAGATGGGGAAACTGAGGCCCAGAAAGGGCTGAGGAGTTGCCTGGAGTCGCACAGGAAGACGGGGCAGAGGCAGACCCCCAGGCCCTGTGGGTGGGCTCAGAGGTGAGGATGCCTCTTTGGACTTCAGAAAGGAGAGGCTTTGACCTTCAGTAAAGCCCTGAGCTCAGTCCCTCCCCATGTGGCCCAGGTGGGGACTCATTTCCAGGGTAGGTAGTTGGGGGCTGGCTCAGGGCAGGACCCCTCCCCTCCTGCCCCTCAGAGGAGGGATCCCAGGGCACTCAGAGAAACAGCAGAGGCTCGTGAGGAAAGCGAAAACAAGTCACTCAGCGGTGGGTTCCCCAGGGCTACGCCTCCTCCCCTCCCCGTCTGTAGATGGGCAGCTCTGACTCCGGGCTTTTGGCCTTTCCAAGACCAAAAATGTAGCTTCCTTTCCTCCCCCAGGAGCAGCCAGCTGGGGCCGCCAGTATGGTCTGGCGTCTGGAAACTCAGACTTCTTACAGCCCCACACCCCACCTACACCAGCCCCAGCGCAGAGCTTGATGTCTGCTGAGTGACTCGCTTTCTGTGGCTTCAACAGCCTCGGCCGCAGCAGGGACAGAGCGCGGGCACCGACTTTTCAGGCTGTCGCTCTGCTAAGTGAACATTAGACCCACATTACACAGCCGCTGAAATTTGTGGCTGCCTCCTACAAGCCATTTGATAAGCCCTTATTGTCACCTCCTCCTGGTTTGCGTGCATCCCCAGGGACTGGGGCAGCTTGTTCACTCAGAGCCAGGGCGCTGCCAGGGGGCAGAAGCGGGGCATGGGTGGCACAGAGCCCTGGCTGGGAGCTGTGGCCCACTTGTGTTGCCTTGAGCATGACGCTTGCCCTTTCTGGTTTCACCTGGAAATGGCTCTCCAGAACGTGACTCAGCTTCCCTGTTCAGCCGGCCCCCTCACTGGTCCATTCCTAGGCACAGTCCTGGGCTCTGGATAAAGCAGCCTCTTCTGAGGTCACTAAACCAGCCCCCAGCCCTAAACCTGCCCCAAACAATTTGTCATACCAAGACTCTTGGACCTCTTCCCAGAGCTTCCCAGTATCCCTACTCCAAAGCTATCTTTCCCTTCTCTAAGCTCACCTCGCCTTGTCCAGGCTCTGTCCAGAAGGCGTCCTGGGCCATTGCACAGGTGGGTACTGCAGGGGGGTGGGGGCCTCCTTTACATTGGACCCCCCTGCACAGGACTGACAAATAGTTGATCTTTATAGATGCCCATTCAGTCACTCACCAATTCAACAAACAGCTCTTTGGGCCAGCTTTGTATTCAGCTCCACACTGGGTCTGGGGATAGATATTAGAGGCTGACAAGGCACAGCCTTACCCTCAAAGAGCTCCCTGTCTGAGGAGGAGAAATACGACAAAGCAGGTGATTCATGCCCTAATGGGGGAAACCCTGGGAGCAGTGGGAGCACACAGCAGTGCTACCTAATCCTGGGGAAATAAGGGAAGGCTTCCTGGAAGAGGCAACATCTAAACTGAGACTTGAAGAACGAGTAAGAGTTAGCCAGATAGGGGAAGCAGTTCCAGAAAGTGGGAGCACCCAGGCAGAGTTCTGGAGTCTGGAGACAGCACATAGATTCTGGGAACTCGCAGGAGTCAGGCTGGCCTCTTTTCTTCTTCTATTGACTGCCTTTTCCCCACCCCACTAAGAAAGGAGGACAGATAGTTATCTCCCACTGGGTGGGCTTCCCAGACCCCTATTCCTGCCGGAAGAGGCCCGATAACTCCCAGATGGCTGGTCACTTACCACATGCACCTAACCTGCCCGTCACTTCTCTGCTCTGAGCCTCAGCCTCATCTGTCAAATGGGGTGGGGCACTTATGCTCCTATGTCATTCTTACGAGAGACCTGGAGGAGAGAAGAGAAGGCCCAGCCCTTCCCTTGCCTCGCTAGGGGTGCAGCCCGGATTGGGCCTGGGTCTGCAGGGGGAAGTGGGGTGGGGGAGACACTGAATGCTATTGCCCACCAATCTGAGCCCAGGCCAGCCGCAGACCCCTGGCTTCTCTCCCATCTCAGGAGACTTTCTCCCTCAGCCCCCTCACTCCCAGCCACGTTGGATGATGACAAAAAAAGAAAAGAAAGAAATGGTCCTCCCACTACCTGGCAGGCATGCCCACGATGAGAAATGCCTTTCCAGGGGAGCGTGGTCTCTGCAGAGCCCTTGCCAACCCCCAGCCCTACCTGTCGTGATCCTCTGGCTGCTCCCCTATATTTTCTCCCCCTACTCCCACCTCCACCTCACTGGCTGGAGGGGAACGGGGAAAGAAAACAGCCTTCATGGTGGGGCTGAGGACTCAGAGACTAGGCATGGGGAAATGGGGGGCAGAGGGTGGGAGGGGAACCCCAGGACCAGCTTGAAGCAAGTCATTCTTCCCTTCCTGGTTTATAGGGAGGCGGAGGTGAGGAGTGGGAGTGGAGTACCTGACCATCAGACACTCTAGGCCAAATTCAATGCCCGGAAAGGGCTGGGCCCCAGTGAAGGGCTCAACAAGCTTATGGGATTAGATCAGAGAGCCAGGGGGACATCAGGAATGGTCTTATCCAGCAAAGGTGCAAACTGAGGTCCAGAGAGGGGCCAAGACTTCCCCAATCACACAGCAAGTTAGAGGAGGCCGAGGCAGGACTAGAACAGGGCCTTCTGTATCCAGTCCCAGTGGTGGGAACGGAATGCAGGATAACTTAAAGGACCGTGACAAAGCCAGGCCAGGCTGCCATGGAGGTCGCGGTCCAAGCCTGACCACAGCTTTTATTCCTCCCCTACACGCTGGGCTCCTGTCCCACCAACTTGGATGCACTCACAGGGAGAAGAGACATTCTTGCCTGGATCTTCCGGGGAGCCAGATTTCCAGGTCTTTCAATTTCCAGAATTGCAGAAATGCTGGAAGGAACCGCCTGGATCACCTACTCATGAGAGAACTCAGGCCAAGGAGAGGAAGGGCATGCCAAAGGTCACCCCAGTGAGTGACCCATGCATGTCTCAGGCTCCCAGACCAGGGCTCTTTCTGGTGTATCACAGTGGTTAGGAGGCCAGGCTATGGATGGGTCTGACATACCTGGGTTCGAATCCCTGCTCTGCCATTCACTGGCTATGGGACCTCACTTTACTTCTTAGTCATTTATCTGAGCCTCAGTTTCTCCACCTGTAAAATGGAGATGGCAGCACTTACCACATAGGGTGTTACAAGAATTTAATGCAACAACATTAGCTCCAAGGGGACAGACTCTGTCTCATTCACCACTGTCTTCTTAGCATCTAGAACACTGCTCAGCACATAGTAGGTCCTCAACAAAATGGAACAGTCATTATCACGCTATACTATGCTGCTCTGGCTTGACATCAGTAGCAGGGGCAGAAAGGGGATGACCTCTTTTATTCCACTGGCCCCTGAAGAGAAGCCAGAGTCTGCCTGTTGCAGAAGGAGGCCACCAGCCATGTTAGAAAGAATGGCTGTGCAGCCTTAGACAAGTCCACTGCCCTTTCTGTTTGGTTTCCCCCACGGCACAAGAAGGGCATTGCTAAGTGATGACTTAAGTCTCCCAGCTTGAAGACTGCTCCTGGACCCTGTGCCATGACCCTACCTGAGATACTTAAATTTTCTCTTCTGGGATGCCCAGAGGGAGGGGCTGAGGGGCAGGGCTGGGCATCCCAGATGAGAAAAGGGGTGGGGACGGGGCAGTGGCCAGGCTCTGCCAGGCTCCTGAGATCCTGTGCTCTATTAGCCAGTCAGCTTATAGGACACAGGAGTGATCAGGGCAGCCAGGCGTCAGTGCAGGCACCAACCTCCACTGGGGCCTGAGAACGAAGCTTCTGGTGGTTGCTGGCTGGTTCATTAAGGGGATGAAGGGCAAGGCTGGAGACTTGCTGAGCACTTCATCTGCCCCTACCACCAGCCCAGCCTCACACTATGTGGCACTTAGTGGTTCCCTCCCCAGCAGGCACAGAGGAATGGTGAGGAACCTTGAAGCTCTCATAACAGTCTCCAGTGCCCGCTCTGCCCATTAGCTCCTGCTCCTTGTGGCTCTTTATTGTGAGGGAGGCTTTATTGCTACCTCCGGGTTGTAGGGTGGAGGGTAAAGTTTTAGGAGCAAGAGGCCCTGGCTGGGCATGACAGAGCAGGTTCCCTGCAGGACTGTGAGCCCCCTCCCAGGGCTGCCAGCTCCCAACCTGTGGTCTTGCCGTGGTTTGTTGCCAGCCAAGCCACATTTGTCCCCATGAATGCTCTTGTCCCCTACACACACACACACACACACACACACACACACACACACACACACACACGCTGACCACACCCTCAGCAGAGCCCCACCCCACTCCTGGCATCAGGGCCTCTGGGGCGGTGCTAGACAGCAAGTCTATTTTCCAGGGGGTTTCAAAGGCCCAGATCCCGAGGTTCATGAGTCCAGAAAGCTCTGGGCTCAGGAGAAAACAAAGCAACACCTTTCCCTGACTCCTTGGAGGAAATGGCCTCCAGGGGCCAGGGAGGAAAAACAGGAAGGGCCAGGCTGAGGAGGATGTCCTGAGGGGGGGGTTGGGGAAGAGGGCCAACCTATCCCTGTCTTCCTCCCTACACTAGTGGGCTCTGGGGAGGGAGTGGCCAGTGTGGTCCTGGCCTTGGGCTGTGCTAGGGACTGTCCTGGGCTGCACTGGGAGGTCTGTTCTCAGCTGGTGGCCGCCCACCTGAGAGCTTCCTCAGGGATCCCAGTTCACGTGATGGGAGCTGAGCCCTGGGGTTAAAGAGTCGGAGTCGTCCGTGCGCAGGGGCAGAGCTGTGACACCTGCCCTCCTCTGCCCACTCCTTGGCATGTGGGGGCCCAAAGCAAACTCCCCTCCCCTCATTCACCCTTCACTCTGCATTCACTGAGCCCTCCTCAGTACAAACTAGCAACAACAGAGTAGAGGATAGCAATAACACAGAGTGCTTCCTCCTACTTCCGCCCCTACTTTACAGATGAGAAGACTGAGGCATGCGGACAATTAACGAAAACAAACAAAAACTTTGCCCAGGTTACACAGCCAGTGAGCACGGGAGGAGAATTCAAATGCTGGCTGCCTGACTGCACGGGGTTTGCTGGTAACCCTTTCCTACAGCAGTAAAGGCTTAAACCTCAGTGGGGTCAGGGAGCCCCGGGAGCCCGGAGGTGGGCAGCTGACCCCAGCCCGAGTGGGGCAGAAAGGCTCACGGCTGGCGATTCTTCACACTTACCACTGAGTCTGTTCACCCTCCCTTGTTCGTGGGCGATTCATGCTTTCTCACGATCTCCTCTCCTCAAACCCCACCCCACCCTCCCCCGTCCTCACTCTCAGCTGTTGACCTTGTTTCTCACTCCCTGAAGACAATCCAGTCTCTCAGAAGTACTTCCAGATTTACACGGACACATCCGCCCCCACCAGCCTCTGCACCCACACATTGTCTCCCCGAGTCCTAGGAGAGATGACTGCCCACGCCTGCCCTCACCCACCACCCCAGGCGGGCACCAGAGCCCAGTCCCTCTGATCAGCAAGTCATCCCGTCCCTCTTCACCGGACCATTCCTGTCAGTGGCTGTTTTTCCTCCCATCTTACACATACCTGCTCTTGATCCTGCTTCCCCTGCAGCTGCCACCTAATTCCTTGTTCCCCTTTGCAACAAAATTCCTCCCAGAGTTGTCTCTATCCACTATCATCAGTTCTTCTCCTCCTGTTCTCTCTTAAACCCACTCCAATCTGGCTTTCATCCCCACCACTCTATCAAAAATACTCCTATGGGCCAGGCATGTTGGCTGATACCTGTAAGCCCAACGATTTGGGAGGCCGAGGCAGGAGGATTGGAAGCCTGGAGTCCGAGACCAGCCTGGGCAACACAGTGAGACCCTGTCTCTACAAAAAAAATTGTTAAGGCTGGGCGCGGTGGCTCACGTCTGTAATCCCAGCACTTTGGGAGGCTGAGGCGGGCGGATCACGAGGTCAGCAGATCAAGACCATCCTGGCTAACACTGTGAAACCCCGTCTCTACTAAAAATACAAAAAATTAGCTGGGTGTGGTGGCACATGCCTGTAGGCCCAGTTACTCGGGAGGCTGAGGCAGGAGAATTGCTTGAACCTGGGAGGCGGAGGTTGCAGTGAGCCCAGATCACACCATTGCACTCCAGCCTGGGTGACAGAGCGAGACTCTGTCTCAAAAAAAAAAAAAAAAATTAAAATTTAGCCAGGCTTGGCGGCACACATCTGAAATCTCAGCTACTCAGGAGGCTAAGGCGGGAGGTGGGAGGATAGCTCAAGCCCAGGACGTTAAGACTGCAGTGAGCTAGGACCATACCACTGCCCTCCAGCCTGGGTGACAGAGTGAGACCCCATCTCAAAAATAAATAACTAAATAAAATACTCCTATCAAGATCTCCAGGGGCCTCCCCATGGCTAAACTCAGCTGTGGGTTCTCAGTCTTTCTGCCACTTGCCCCCGACCCCATGACATTTGGCAGTGTAGCCCTCCCTCTTCCCTGAAACACTCTTTCCACTGGGCTTCTAGGCCACCTGCTGTACTCACTTGGTTTTCTGTTACCTCTCTCACCTTTCCCTCTCTGTCTCCTTTGCTGTTTTTTTCTCTTCTTCCAGACAGCCCAACATGGGGTGCCCCAAGCCCAGACTTTGGTCCTGATCTCATTCCTCATTCCTCTGGTGAGCTCACCCAGTCTCATGGCAACAGCATATATACACCAATGACTTTCACATCCATACCTCTAGTCTGGACCTCACATGTTCCACTGTCCACTCAGCGTCCCCTCCCTGCACTAGATAGCTCAGGTCCAACATGTGCCAAGCTGAGCACCTGTTCTCCCTTACAAAACTCGCTCCAACACATGCCTTCTCCACAGGATGCCACCTTCCCCAGTGGGCAAAAATTGGTTCTTGGGGGGACAGAAAAATATTGATATTACAATGGTTTGTAATTTTCCAAAGGGCCAAAGTATATGAACATGTATACATTATAGCTATGGTGGTAAAATTCCATTGTGGGCCAGGCACGGTGGCTCACGCCTGTAATCCTAGCACTTTGGGAGGCTGAGGTGGGTGGATCACCTGAAGTCAGGAGTTCAAAACCAGCCTGGGCCACACAATGAAACCCCATCTCTACTAAAAATACAAAAATTAGCCAGGCATGGTGGTGCGCACCTGTAATCCCAGCTACTCGGGAGGCTGAGGCAGGAGAATCGCTTGAAACCAGGAGGTGGAGATTGCAGTGAGCCCGTAGCCCATATCACGCCACTGCACTCCAGACTGGGCTACAGAGCAAGACTCCATCAAAAAAAAAAAAAAAAAAAAAAATCCGCCACAGGGAGAAGTGATTAGAGAAAAACGTCTTAAAAGGCTCCTGAGGGTGGGTGATAGTGAAAAACTGATTGAGAAAGGGCGCTGCTCCAACACAAACCCCATTTCAGCCAATGGCAATCCAAGCCTTCCATGGCTCAGGCCAGAGCCTTGGACGCGATGATCTCGGCTCCTCCCTTTTTGAAACAACCCACGTCCAATCCATCAAGAAATCCAGTTGGTTCTGCCTTCAAAATAGATCCAGAATCCAAGCCCTCCCAACCACCCCCACAGCATCTACCCTGATTCCAACCACCATCACGTCTTGCCCGGATTAGTGCAGCAGTCCCCTGACTGGTCTCCCTGCAGCTATCCCCACTCCCTACACACACACACACACACACCCAGAGTGATCTTTTTACAATATAAACCAGCTCATGTCCTTCCTCTTACAAAAAACACTCCAGTTGCTTCCCATCTCCCTAAGTTTTCACAGTGACCTGTCCTCGCCTCTCCCCTGACACTCTCCTGACCACCTCCATCCTCCCTCTGCTCCAGCCCCACAAGCCCCCTTGCTTTCCTCCAACAAACCAGGCATTATCCCACCCTACAGCCTTTGCACTGGCTGTTCCCTCTCCCTCGTACACTGTTATCCAGACAACTGCAGGGCTAAATCCCTCTCCTCCCTCAAGTCTTTGCTCAGATGCCACCTTCTCAGTGAAGCCTGTCCTCACCACCCTGTCTCAACATTGCAATCCACCCCCAGATAACCCTCACTTCTCTCCACCTTTTCTTTTTCCACAACACTCATCACCTTCTAACACACTATAACATTTCCTTCTTTTGCTCATTGCTGATTGCCACCTTCCTCTGCTAAATGCCAGCTCCTGAGGGCAGGGATGTTTGTTTTGGTCACTGCTGCATCTTCAGCATGAGAACAGAGCCTGGAACACACTAGGTGTACCTAATACACCCTGGACACTCACTCCAGCCTCCTGCCATATCTGCTTTCTGATTTTTCCCAGATGGGAGGTTCCATCATATCTCCCCACCTTTGAAATCACATTTCCCTGTCCCTGAAATGCTCCCCACGCCCCCATCCCTTAGTGAGCTTTTTCTCAGCCTCAGAACTCTCTCAAAGATGACTTTGCCTCTCTGGTTAGGTCAGGAAGGGCCCTGCCTGCCAGACAGGGAATCTGAGCTTTTTCCTAAGAGCAGTTAAGGATCCATGGAAGGGCTTTGAGCTGGAGAGAAACCTCGTCACACTTGCGCTTTGCTGCCCTTAGGAGAGTGGACGGGAAGGGAGCCAGGTTGGAGGCAGAGGAGGAGGCCCAAGGAGGAGGTCGATGCAAGTTGGGAGGACCGGGGCTAGGGCCATGAATGAGGGGCAGGGGAGGCTGGAAAGGACTGGAGCCAGGAAGGAAAAAGACCAGGACTCACCACCAATGAAATGTGCCAGGTAAGGAAAAGAGGGAAAGTAGGGACATGGCCAAGGTCTCTGCTTTCAGGGTCAGGGTTGTGGTGGTGCCTCAGCTAAGGACAGGTCATGGGGGAGCATGCATCAGAGTCCTGTGTGAGAAGCTTCTCTCTCACTACAGCTTCCATCCCCTTTCACTGAAGCATCTTGCACCCCAACATTTCTGGCCATAAAGGAAGAGGTCAATGGGGATTTGGAGAGGGATGGGCCTTCCCCAGGGGAATCCAGACCTCAGACCTGGAGTGGAGGGAGGGGGCTCACACAGAGGTCTTTTTCAGAAAACAGGCCTTAAGGCTGTTCCCCAGAAATTAGAGAGGAACTTCCGGCCGAGAAGCCCACACTTGCCTCATGTTCTGCATGGCCTTGTTTGACCAGAAAGACAAACAGGACAGGGAGTGGCCTTTGTGACATTATGAGGACTCCCCAACTCAGCCCAGGATGTGGCAGTCAAGAGAGGACCAAAGGCATCCCCTAGTCAGACACAGCTGTCCCTGGAGCATCTCCCTGGAGGAGCCAGAGACCCTCAAAATCATCTCATGGTATGTCCTCATGTTGCAGATGGGGAAACTGAGGCCCAGAGAGAGAAGCAAATTGCCACAGGGCACAGCTGATATTACCATGAGGGAACTGAGGCCACAAGGAGAGGACTTATCTGGTCTGATGGGGATGGACTAATAATAGCCCCGATATTTGTACAGTTATTTTCTTCCCAGGTGTTCAGAGCACTGCACGTCCATGATCTCATTTGTCCACAAGACATCCCTCTGGGATGGGTGACAAAGCGACTTCATGAAGATGTGAAAATGCTCTGTCATCCCCCACCACCTGGCCCCAATAACCTTAATTTTCTTTTTCAGTCTCTATTATGTCCCCTTTCTTCCTGTAACCAATTTAATTCAGCAAAGATTTACGAGGCTACTGCTTGGTGCAAGGTGCTGGGCATTTGGGAAGCTTCAGGATTTCCCCAGGGCCAAGGTCATTGCTCTGCTTTCTGTGGTCCCAAAGCACTGTGTTCAGACCTGCCTTTGTACACATCCTATTGTTTTTATACAGCTACCATCCTGGAGGGCAGGGCTTGGTCTTGTTTAAGCTTGCATGCCCGAATGGTGCTCAGGCCATGGCCTGGCGTTCGGGAGCCTGGAGAAATCCTTGCCCAGGGCCATGTTTCCCTGAATCCACCTGTTAATGCACTTGTCGCACTGTATGACAATTACCCAGAGAAGGAGCAGGATTCTGTATATGCAGTGCCTAGCACATAGCAGCTACGTCATTAATGTTTGCTGAATGGATCAATAAAAAACCTGAGAGGAGGAAGATAAAGATGGATAGTAAACGGGCGATCCTTGCCCAGAAAGAGCTCCCAGTCCATTGCAGGGGTGGAGGAGGTGGACAGAAAGCAGGATTGAAGAGCTGTATAAATGCTATCAGCGTAGACAACTCCATCACCGAAATGCTGAGAAGTGCCATGGGGCTACAGAAGAGGAGCATTCAGACTCACCTGGGAGAATCAGGGATGGCTCCCTGGACAAAGTGACAGTGAAGATGGGCTTTGAAAGGTGGAAACCCATAGGGAGAAACTCAGTTTTTAGCTGAAGGCAGGGCACTGGGCAAGACGAGGAAGTCAAAAGTCATCCTGGGGCAGACTCCATCTCAGGCTAACCTGCTCCTTCTGCAGGCATGGGGAGCCATCGAAGGCCCGGGGGCTGAGAAGCCAGCAGAGCAATTGGATCTTGTGTCTCAGAAAACCACAGGGAGGCCGGGCGAGGTGGTTCATGCCTGTAATCCCAACACTTTGGGAGGCCCAAGATGGGCGGATCATTTGGGCTCTAGACCAGCCTGGCCAAGATGGCGAAACTCTGTATTTACTAAAAACACAAAAATTAGCCAGGCATGATGGCAGGCGCCTGTAATCCCAGCTACTCAGGCTCAAGGCACGAGAATGTCTTGAGCCTGGGAGATGGAGGTTGCAGTGAGCTGAGATCCTGCCACTGCACTCCAGCCTGAGTGACAGAGCAAGACTCTGTCTCAAAAAAAAAAAAAAAAAAAAAAAGAAAAGAAAGAAAAGAGAAAAGAAAACCACGAGGAGGGAGGGCACTGGATGGAAAAGACTGGGGGAGGCAAGCGACTGGGCAGGAGCCAGGTGAGGCGGAGGCTGATCGGCTTGAGTGTCTGACTTAGGGAGGTGGCTCAGGAGTCTGAGAACAGGGTGTGAGAGGCTGGGAAGAGAAAAGGGTCTGAAGGATATGGACAGTAATTAGGTGTGGGGGAAGAGCAGTGGGAGGATTTGGGGAACCGATGTGGAGCTTGAGAGAGTGATGGGGCCTTAGCAGCTGTGGGGTGACCCCAGGGAGGTGATGTTTCCTCCACCTGGTGGAGAGGCTTCACTAAGTACACAGCTGCGGAGCTTGGGAGGGAGGTCAGGGCCCCAGAGACAGTGCTGGGAATGGGGATGAAGCAAAAGCTGAGGCCGTGGGCGTGGATGAGGTCACGAAGAGAGTGGGTGAGAAAGAAGAGGGAAGAGAGGACGGAGCCTTGGGGTACGCCCACCGTTGGGAGGGGTGGGAGCAGGAAGAGAGCAGGAAATGAAGCAGCCACGGAGCTGGGGGTCCCTCATTCTTCCTCCTTTCCAGGGCGCCCGGCCTCTGCGCCCCCTCACCTCCCACGGGCCACATCCAGCTGAGGAGCAGGCTCTGTTGCCTGCTCAGCCTCCAGGAGAGCTCCGAGGACTCGAAGGCAGGAAAGCTCAGGGGTTGAAGGTTTGGGTTCTAGACCTGGTTGGAGCTGGCGTGACTCCCACCTGTCCCTCCACCCTGCCGGCTGCCCGTCCTCTGGCAGGCCACGCCCCAGGCAAGCCACGCCCCTGACAAGCCACGCCCCTCGCCTCAACCCTCTCACCTTCCTAAGGGGATCACAACGGGACTTCTGTGACTATTAAGCGGGATAATGCGTGTTATGCACTTGGCACCCGGGCCTGGCAGTCCCTCGGAGCTCAGTAAGTGCTGCCGGCTGCTCTGATGATTATTATAGAGCAGGATTGGATTCTGGCGCTCAGGCTGGCAGAACCAAGGAGCCCAGCAGCTCCCCCAGAGGCCTTGGTGAGGGAGAGGGCCTGGCCACCTGAACTCGCCCAGCTCTCGGAGTGCTGGGGCCCCTCCCGTCATCCTCCTGAGCCCAGAGCCAGGGATCGCGGAACCGGGACAGTCACAGCTCTCCCGGTGCAGATCACCCTTCCACCTGCGAGGGATAGGCCCCACCCCCACTAAGGTCTTCAACTCCAGTTAGGGCAGAGGGTGGGGCCTCAATCCTGGGGTTGGGGATCCCTCAGAGAGTCATGTCCCCCGCCCCCCCATCTGTGTACCGTCCCCCTCCTCCCTCTGGGCCGGCGTGGACGGGTCCTCTCAGGTCCGCGGTAATTTGTCTGCTCACGCGGGCTCCGCGGCACCCCCTCCGCGCACGCGCATCTCTGCCCCGGGCCGGATACTCGGGGCGCTCGGGGTGGGTCCGTCCAAGTTGCAGAGAAAGACTTCAATGTTGGGGGCGCCCGTCGCTGGAGGGGCAGGCCTCGAGCCCAGGCCGGGCGTTTGCGGGCGCTCAGCTATTAAGAGCGGAGACGCCTCGTCCCCCGCCCCCCAGGAATTCTGCAGCTGGGACTCAGCCCAGGCGCGCCTTCTGCGCGGCCCTGGAGGACCAGGAGCGCGGGCGGCGAGTGGTGCTGGCTGGGGTGGGGCTGCTGGAGCAGGTCTTGGGTTGGTGGATTCTGGCTCCTGCCCTCTCACACACCAAGGCCTGAACCCTGGACTTCTCAGAGCCTCAGTTTCCCCTTCTCAGCCTCAGCCTCAGACCTGGAAACAGGTCAATTGCTATCATCGTGGGCCTGCATGCCTGTCTGTGCAGCCTCAGCTGGGCGGGAAGAAGAGTAACGGCCCGCTGAAGGCTGGGGAACAGGTCCCCCACCCCACACTACCAGACTCGGCCTGGGCTCCCTGAGAGGAGCGGGGCTTGACCGCTCTACCAGCTGGGCTCGGGTCTGGGGTTCCAACTCAGGCCAGAGTCGTTCAGCGCTGGGAGGCCCCCATTAACTAGGCCACCCCTGGGTATGGGTGGTGGAGGCTGGAGCTGACTGGCCTGAGTCCCCGGGGGAGGTGGCTGAAAGGCCCAGGGCTTTGAACAAACCACAGAAGGTTTCTGCAATATCAAAAGAGCTCTTAGAGACTAATCATGTGGGGGGAGGGGGGACAGTTGGCGAAAGAGCTTCTGCTTGGTTCCCATCAGCGGAGGATCAAAAAGCATTTGGTCAAAGAACCTTTAAATACCTTGAAAGGCAGGTGAAGCCAGTTCAGTGGGTTCCAAGAGGGATTGAAATGCTGGTCTGAGCTGCAGACAAGCTGGCACCAGCCACAGGAAATGCTGGGGGAGGGGCCCACTGAGGCAGGAGGGAGAAAAGGTGTGGATAGACCAGCAACCCACCTCCCTAACTGTCCCCTCTTCCCCCACACCCAAAAGTCACTGCGGAGAGGATGGGGAGGGCAGAGAACTGGGTTCAGACTGACAGCTGGAAGCAGTCTTGCAGGCTTCTGGGCCAGGGGCTTTTCATCTGGAACCCGAAGGACCCCCACCCCAAACACACACCCAATTATGGGCAAAATGTTGTGTCTGTGTTTGTATATGCACTTTTCTAGGGAGGAGAGGTCCACTGACTTCATTAGATTTTCACAGGGGTCCAAGACCCAGTCAAGATTAAAAAACAACATCCTATGGTACAGACTGGTAAAATGAGGCTCAGAAGGACTGAGGGGCTGACCCCGGGTCACTCACCTAGTAATCAGCAAACTGAGGTGCTTCCACAGTGCATCCCAGGAAGGGGATCTCAGTAGCCCCCATGGCCCTCAGTCAGTCTCAGGGGTCCCAGAGCTGCCCAAGGGGTAGGGAATGTCTCAGAGCAGAGGCCCAAGGCCAAACTTCTGCCCAAGCCTGGGGCTGTCCCAAGGCAGAAGAAGGAATACCAACTTCAATCTTTTAAGGGTGGTGAGGGATTTGAGGGGCTGAGCCAAACACTTGGGGAGTGTCAGGGTGACCATGGAGAAGAGAGAGACTGAGAGCCAGAATCTGGATGAAGAGGTTACAGGGTGAAGGGGTGTGGGAGGACAGATAGGGTGAGGGTGAGGTGGGAATATGGTTTCTGGCCCTGTAACATGGCCTGAGAGACCCTTGGGGGCCTATAGCTATGGAAAGTCAGCTTGCAGCAGGGTCTTTGGTGCCTGGGGTTACCCCTAGGGAACCAGGAAAGACAGCCAGCCCTTGCCATCTCCCCAGGGTATTCTCACATCTTTGTGTGGAGCAATTCTTAGCCTTATTTTACAGATGAGAAAACTGAGGCCCAGAGATGTCAAGTAACCAGCCAAAGCCAAACAGAGAAACAGGCAGAGGTAGGACCCGAGTTCGAGTCTCAGATTCTTCCCTTGATGCTGGGGTCCAAACCCTGTCTTTTAGCACCAGGGCCCCAAAGCAGAACCTGGCAGAAGTGTGACAAGCATAGACTCTGGGTGGGCCTCTGAGATCTGGTAGTTACTGGGTCTGGCGAGAGGAGGCAATAGATCAGCAAGTATTGATGGTGATGAGGTGGGTATAGAGATGGCTGCAGCTGCCTCCTAGTAGTTTGCTCTCATGTCCTTTCTGGGGTGGAGATATCTGTTAACTTTATACTTTTATCTTCTCCAGACTCTTGTCCTCTGCAGAGGAGGAAGGGGAAGTCTAGGGGGTAGGAGAAGGTACAGGATGACAGAACAAGTCCTCACTCCTGGCCGGTCACCACCAGTGGGCTTTGCTGTTGCCCTGCACAGCCAACTTCCAGCTGGTCTAAGCCTGTCCCTCCTGAATCAGGCGAATGCTCAGCCTGAGTCTCTTGCCACATGGATGATGGCAAGGAGAGAGGTGTGTTTGTTCTGTCACGTGAGCTGCACAAACAGCTTCCTCAGCATTTTTATTAATAATTCAGCCCATAGCCAAGGGGGTGGGGGTAGGGGGAAAGGACTGTGGGGAGACAGCAACAATGAAGACCATGCCAGGTAGAGGCCAGAGGGGAACTCAGGAGCCCTGCCTCCTAGCCATGGCCTAGCAACAGAGCCAGGCAGCATCAGGGGCCCTGTTTGGGAGAGTGCAGGCCCAGCATCTGCTCCTGAGGGACAGAATGTCCCTCCCTGAAGCCGACCCAGGACTCCTGGCCCTGAGGATGGTGCCAGATCGGAAACAGGCCTGAAGGGTCTGCAGCACACAGCAGGGCAGTCCTTGGGGAATCAGGTGCTGCCCGCATTTCCTGCCACGTCATGGAACCCAGGACAGGGGACCAGCAACGAAACAGAATGAGAGGGCCTCTTTGGGCCCCCCTTCTGTAGGGGCTGGAAGGGGAGAAGCTGAATGCCCAGAGGCTCAGGCCCTCCCCAATGAGATACAAGACCCAAGGGCAGGGCAGGGGTGATTCACAGCCTCTGATCTTTTTCCTCAGAGGACCTGCTCACTCCTGCAGGCTCCATTTACTGCCTCTACCCAGTTCTCCGTGAGTACTCAGAAAAGAATTGGGATTGGATTCTGGCGCTCAGGCTGGCAGGGTCAAGGAGCCCAGCAGCTCCTAGAAGCTCACAGTTGGCTCGGCTCTCATCGATATTCCAGCAGGAGAGATTAGCCTTCTAATGCAGCAGAATGGTTCATGGTTAGACATCTGGAAGAACTTTCCTGACAGGCAACACATGGGAATGGGGAGTATGTGTCGTCTCTGTTAAGGGTAAACAAATAGCAACAACAATAATAATAAAGGCATTCAAAAAGTATAAGGAATAAATTATATGTTCCAAGTATCTTTTTTTTTCCTTTTTTTTTTTTTGAGACGGAGTCTCATTCTGTCACCCAGGCTGGAGTGCAGTGGCACAATCTCAGCTCACTGCAACCTCCACCTCCCGGGTTCAAGCGATTCTCCTGCCTCAGCCTCCTGAGTAGCTAGGATTACAGGCGCATGCCACCACGCCCGGCTAATTTTTGTATTTTTTTTTTTTAGTAGAGATGGAGTTTCACCATGTTGGTCAGGCTAGTCTCGAACTCCTGGCCTTGTGAACTGCCCGCCTCGGCCTCCCAAAGTGCTGGGATTACAGGCGTGAGCCACCGCGCCCAGTCCCCCAAGTATCATTTTAAGTGATTTGATTTTTTCACCATGCTTAAACTTAACAATAGTCAAAGGAAATAGGTGTTATTATTCCCATTGTAGAGACAAGGAAACTGAGGCCCAGAGGTGTCTGCCCAGGGTAAACACAGCAATGATGGCAGCGCCACATAAATCTGTATTCTTTCCTCTTTCCCATGACTCTGCGTCCCCTAAACAAAGTGACTGAGGCCCAGAGAAGGGGTGTCTTCAAAGCTTTTTCTGTGTCAATGCTGCAGGCAGGAATTTAAAAACTACCCAAGATTCCCAATGCCCCAGAGCCGCAGTTTGCACAACTATATCTCATGGCGTTTCTCTTGTGTGTCTGAGGAGCTGTCCAGCTCTGACATCCTGGAACAAGGACCGTCTAATGCCCGTGAGGAGAGGATGAGACTGGGCTTCGTATTCTTGTAAGAAACAGGCTATAAGCCCTCAGATGGGAGCAAGCACTGGGTCTCCTCATGAATCCCACAGTGGTTAGCAAAGGGCTGGGAGTCTCAACCAGAGTGATTCTTACTCCAGGTTCTCTCACCAGCTCCCCAGGGTGCTGGCTCCGGGGCCTTTAGCTCCCTGGGTCAGTTCCTTCTCTTCTAGAGGCCTTGCCTTCATCACCTGACACTTGCAAGGGGCAGCCTGGGGCATCTCTCAGATGTCCTCTCTGTCAACTCTGAAAAACTTTAGATGCTTAGTAAAGACCTGTTGAGTGGTGGTGATGAGGAATTCTGCTCTCCCTCTCTGGACTTTCAGATTGATGGGTGGAGGGATCTGGAGTGGGGAGATTCCTCAGCAGGGAACCTGTCTGTGTGCCCATCTGTTGTGGGAGGGTGAGGGGTGCCCTATTTGCTCTTTTTTTTTTTGAGACCGGGCTCACTCTGTTGCCCGGGTTGGAGGGCAGTGGTGCAATCATGGCTCACTGCAGCCTCAAACTACTGGGTTTAAGCCATCCTCCCGTCGCAGCCTCCCGAGTAGCTGAGACCCCAGGGGCGCACCACTACACTGGGCTAATTTTTTTTTTCTTTGTAGATATGGGGTCTCACCATGTTGCTCAGGCTGGTCTCAACTCCTGGGCTCAAGTGATCTTCCCGCCCCGTCATCCCAAAGTGCTGGGCTTACAGGTGTGAGCTACCATACCCAGCCCCTGTTTACTCTTTACTAGGGTAATGAGAGAGGCAGCTGGGGTGGGTGGGGGAATGAGCCAAGGTTGCAGACCTTGCAGTCCCAGCCTGTTGGCTTAGCTTTCTGGGGTTTGCCAGGTCCCAAAGCAGAGTGTAGATAACTCCTGGGTTCTTGGCTGTACTTGGGTGAGTGGGGGGAAGACAGCTGTGAGGTGTATGGAATAGGATGGCCCTTCCCCAGAGGGTGAGGGCTGAGATTTCTGGCCACTGAGGAATTGTGGCCTTAACCTACGATGCCTTTTTTCCTTCCATTTTTATGTAGAACATTCATTCCCAGGAAATCTGCTCTCCACTGGAACAGTCTTCATGGAGGTTTGCTGGGGGAACTTCCTTATCTTTTTCTCAACCGGAAAAGCTGTAGGTGGAGGTGAATGTGTATGTGTGTATGTGTGTGTGTGGTGGTTGTTGGGGATAGCCTCCATGTGATTTCAAGGGGATGGGGTCTGTTTGTGTGTGTGTCGGGGAGACTTGAGATAGAGGGTTGTTCCTGGCTGCCTTCCACACTGTGGGCAGGTGGAGGTGTGGCTGGGCATGAGTAGTGCAGTATAAAGCCAGCAAAAGTGGATTTCTCAGGGTGGAAATAATAATCCTTGACTCTAGGAAGCCTGGCTCACCTGCAAACTGCATTCTCAGCACAGGGGAGGGCAGGATGCTGCCACAGACCCAGGGATTTTGCCCTCTTACCTGACCCATCAGTGAAGGGTAGGGGCAGCACCTGTATTGTGGGGAGCGTCAGTGTATGTGTCTCTTTGTGTGGGCAGCATGTCTGTGTGGGTGT
This sequence comes from Homo sapiens, assembly GCF_000001405.40. NCBI lineage: Eukaryota > Metazoa > Chordata > Mammalia > Primates > Hominidae > Homo > Homo sapiens. The sequence goes on along the minus strand of NC_000011.10, from coordinate 61,582,129 downwards.
GTGTGTGGGGGGCATCATGTCTGTGTGTGTGTGTGTGTGTGTGTATGTAGGTGATTACGTGTGTAGGTGTGTGCAGGGAGGTCTCTGTGCCTACCATACCACTAATGGTTCATTTCTGGGTTTTTCTTATCCTTAGGAGACAGGTCTCTTCTCCTCCCTGCCCCAGAATCAAATCATCCAAATTCTGTAGAGAAATGAGTGTTCACCTGATTTAGACTGTGCTGAGCCGGCAGAGAGGCAGAGGGGACCAAGAGAGGTCCAGGGTTGGAAGGAGAAGGAGGGATTTCCTTCCTACCCTCCGAAGTGCTAGGGTCAAGGAATAGAGGGGAGGATCAGAGGAGGAGCTGCTGCTATAGAGGGATAGCCAGAGGCTGAAAAGTCTATTTTCTTCTTTCGTGGGGCTGGGTTAGGTGAGGAGGGTCACTAGGCCAAACCTCCTACCGAGGGCAGGGATCTTAGCCCTTTCGGCTCCACCTGTGTGCGAGCTTGCAGAAAGACCGGACTGGCGGACCCAGGCTCAGCGCTGCCAAAAATTCCACTCCTGGTTTTTGCACACACCAGTCCGTCTGCCCCGGACCGCCGCGGTGTTGAGTCCGGAGCTGACGCCCTCGAGCCGCCAGCAAGCGGAAAACCCGGAGTGGATCTCCACGCCTTTTGGATCGGAGCCAAAGGGCACCTCGGAGGAGGTGGCCGGCTCTGCGGCCCTGCCCGGTGCCAGGCCGCGGCCATCGGGGGAGCACGGGCTGGGGGTGGGTCGCGCAGCGGAGCCGGATCCCCTGGCCGGACGAGCCCGGCCGTGGGGCTCGGCGGCCCTCCCCGCGGGGACTGCGAGGCGGGCGGGGCGCGGGGCGGCGGCCGTGCCCTCGGGGCGGCTTCGGGCGGCGGCGGGCGCGGGTGCAGTGCGGCGCGCGGCCGGCAGCGGGCGCAGGCGGTGGCTGTGGCCGCGGCGTTCGGCGGCTGGCGGGCGGCGCCGGCGGTGCCCCGGGCGCGCTCACACACGCGCTCACACACACACATACACACGGCCTCGTACACACACACACGCTCCGGCGCGCACACGCGGCGCGCAGGCCGGAGGGAGGCGGCTCGGCGCTGTTCGGCGGCGGCGGCAGCGTGCTCCGCGGGCGGGCGGGAGGGCTGGCGGGCGGCCCCCGCTCCCCGGCTCCGCGGCTAGGTGCAGCCCGCTCGGCCCCCGCCCTCGGACCCGCCCCCGGGGGTCGCCCGGCCCCATGCCCAGCGGCGGCGGCGGAGCAGCGCGCGGCCGCGGGCGGCTCTGAGGAGCCCGGAGGGAACCGGCGACGAGGGGACCATGTACCGGGACCCGGAGGCGGCCAGCCCAGGTAAGCGCGGCCCCGGCGGGCTGGGGCGCCCCGCACCGGCGGGCAGGACAGCGGCAGCGCCGGACGCCGTCTCGGAGCCCCAGCCTGGGGCTGTTGTCCGCCCGGAGCCGCACGGGCTCCCCCAGGGGTCATCCCAGCCCCGGGGGCGCGGGATCGAGCGGCAGCGGCTCGGACCCCGGTCCCCCGCAGTCTGGACACTGCCAGGCTGGATGTCTGGGACCGGCTTCGCAGTGTCCCCACAAGGACCTCTCCCCCACCCCTCAACAGCCCAAGGACAACGTGTGTGGCGGAGCGAGGAGCCGCTGCCCCTGTGGGAGCCGGGCAGTGCCCTCAGAGGCACCCGAGGCTCCCCAGCACCGGTGCCCCGGGGGTGCCAGCGCTGGCGGACCCCAGGGCGAGGATCCCGGCAGCTCTTGGCCAAGGTTGCGGGCACAGGGGAGCGGAGTGGCATCGCAGTGCCAACTGTGAATTGAGAGGGTGCCAGGGGGCAAGTGGGAATCTGGTGCGGCAGCTGGGCAGGGAGGTTCTGGGGGGTGGGGAACTGCAGGGGCGTTGATGGGTGAGACGGGGGTGCCTGAAGGGAAAGAGAGCAGGGGCTCATGAGAATGGGGGTGCCAAGAGAATGTTCTCCTAGGTTTGGGGAGGGGGAAGCAAACAACCCCAAACTCTCTCCCGTCCTGGGGTGGGGGAGGGCCGAACTCCTTTGCCTTCTGCTTCGCCCGCCAGGGGAGTGGCCTGGGAGCCCACTGTCTGCTTGGTATCCTCTAAGCCAAAGCCGAAGAATCTTCCCGTCTTCCTCGGAAATTGCTCTGCCATTTCCTCCTTGGCTCCTGATGCCTCCTCACCCAGTGCCCACCTGTAGGCAGGTCCCCTGCAGCTCCTGCCCAGGCTCCATCCCCGCTCCCACCTGGGGTGCTCCACCCAGTCCCAGCACCCCCAGTCTGCCAGTTCTGGCATCAGGGTCTGTTTCTGGGCTTCTCTCTGATGCTAAAAGCACGACTCCCCAGCCCAGGATGTGCTCCCAAACGAAGAGCCTCCAGGCTCCCTCCTGCCAGCCTCCTGGGGGCGGCGGTGCTGTAGGGAAGGAAGGGCTCTAAGACCCTGCACAGAAGGAGCCTGCAGCCCTGAGGCTCCTGAAGGCAGTCCAGTGGGTGCTGGCTTTGCCCACTGTTGCCCTAGCCCCACATTTGCTCTTTCCCCTCTAGGGGCAGCCTCAGCCTGTCCCTGCCTCCTGAGGAATCGGCTCCCACCCCCCATCGATTCTTTTCAGTCCAGTCGATATTGAGGACGACCCACTGGGCGCCAGGCACTGCCCTCACTCAGCACTTGGATATGAGGGTGAGAGATTCAGTCTCCTTCTCTGGAACCTTGCGCCCTTCTCTGAATGTCCTCTAGGTGAGGGCTGAAGGGGCATTGCCTGTGGAGAGCCCTCCCCTCATCTGTCTGGACCTAGGTCACCTACCCTGGCATCTTCGTCGAAGAGGCCGCCGGCTTCCAGCCCATGGCCCGTGGCAGGAGTATTCTCTTGCTCTGCTCACCTTCTTAGAAGCCAGTAGCTTAGTTCAGAAGCCAGCTCTGGGGTATGAGGATGGAAGGTAGGGAAGAAATAAGGACACTATCCATCCCCTCGCCCACCAGGCTGGCAGCCTCCCCTCTGGCCTGTTAGGCCACTGGCCTGGGGCTGTGCCCTCTCCCCTCTCCCTCCCTCCTCTTTCCTCCCATGCCTGGGCACCATGACATCACCACTCCTCCAAGCACCTCTGCCCTCACCACGGAGGCCAGCTTGACGTGCTTGGCATCTTCTAGGCAAAGGGTCTGGAGTCCAGTACCATCCCTGGTGTGCTGGCAGCCCTCAACTCTTCCCTCACCCCCTCCTTGAATGGGCCTCTCTGGCTGCAGTTGGGACCTGTCTTGCCCACCCCAGTTGCAGCTGCGGGACCCACCAGTGCCTGTGGTAGGGCAGCTGTGACTGGGAAAGGGGCTGGCCTGAGGCTGACTCCTCTCCGGTGTGGGCATTGGGCTGGGTGGGGTCAGACATAGGCTGGAGAGGGCACAGTCTGCCTTTGAGCCTAGTCATCTGGGGTCCTTGAGGAGTCAAAGATCTCATTCTGGCCTCTGCCCTCTGGCATCCCTGCCCACCTTTGTAGGCTCTATAGTTCCAGGTCAGATTTCCCTTCCCCCCAGCTCCCCCAAGGCTCCCTAGACTCAGCTCCCCAAGCCAGGGCTCTGTGTCCCCCATTTCTGCCTCCCCATCTCCCCTTGGCTGGTACTGGTTGGTACTGAGATATGCAAATTGATTTATGTGTAACTCAGGCCACCCCTCCCCTCCCCTCTGGTCTCCCAGGGGCCAGTGCCTTTTATATCCTGATCCTCTCATCCCACTCTCAGGAACACCTGCGGCCCAATCCTTAAAAAAAAAAAAATCTGTCCTCTCCTGCTCCCCTTTGCCTCATGCTGGTTCCAGAAGATCCCTGTGGTACTCCCTCCCTCATCCCACTTACTATGCAGGTCCCTAAGGGCTCAGCTACTGTGAGGACCTTACCTGACAGGTGTGGTTCTCTCCCTACTTGGGCCTCAGGCCCCCAGGCCCTTGGTTCCCTGATCTATTGTGAATGAAGAAAAGGACTGTGGGAAATAATCGGAGTCCAGTGAAGAACCCAGACCAGCCCCCTCCCATGCACACCCAGGCTCCAGCTCCACACTCTGTCCAGCCTCCCTAGACCAGACCTGCAGCCTCCCTTCTGCCCCCTCCCAGACTTCACGGCCTCTTCCTGCCCTCAGCCTTCACCCTCTGGTTCATCCTGAAGTCCCTGTTTCTCTCGGACTGCTTGTCCCCAGGCCAGGCAGGCCCCAGCAGGCCTGCAGGGGTCAGCGTTGCAGTGGGCAGGCAGGACAGCGGCAGGAAAAGAGAGAGGGAGGGAGAGGTGACCTTGCAGTGAGCTGGTAAGCAAGGCCAGAGAGGGAACCACTGGGACAGAGGTTAGGTCCTGAAGGCTGCCTGCCCTGCCCCCAGCCCTCTGTGAGCTTGTCCCTGGGAGTAGTAGTGCTTGAAGCCTTCTTTTGTCCCACCTGTTAGTGGGCTCTGTTCCCTACAGACACTCCACTAGGCAGGTCGTGACTTGGGAGCATGCAGGGCAGGGGGCCTTGGCACAGCGGGCCTCTTCTCTCAAGGTGAAGGATCCACTAGATTGTCCAGGCCAACCCTCCAGTCACTGGGCACAAGTTAGGGGAAGAGGCTGATGGCGGGTGAGGGAGGTGCAGAAGTTAGGGGTGTGGCTGAAAGGGCAGATCAAGGGTATGCCCTGAGGAACACCTGGGTTAGAGGCCAGGGCTGGAGTGTGGGAAGGTCCAAGGAGGCCTGACTGTGTCCACCCATTTCACCAACAACCTCTCTCCTCCCACCTACCTCCCCAAAGCCTGCCCCATCGGCACATGCCCGGGCCTCCCTGGCCTGCATCCTGGGCTTGAGTTAGAGTCCGGACTGAAGATCGAATGATCTCCCCACAGGCCAGGACACAGTGGAGGACCTGAGGCTGGGCAAGTCTAAAACCCAGAGGGGGTGAGGATGATTTCAATGGGGCATGGGCCAGGGTAGCCAGTGCCCCCAAGCTGTTGTGTTACCATGGAGACAGGCCCCCTCCAGGGCCCTGGTTCACACTGTTCTGTGGCCTTGCAGGGAAGCTTGATCAACAAGCTGCCCGCTTGAGGGCTGGGGCATAGTGGGGAGGGAGATAGCCCCAAAGCCCCTCCTCATACTGGGGAGGGGGTTAGAGCAGGCCGGATTGAGGTGGGAACGTACAGGCCAGTAGGTGACAGGTAAGGGGACAGCTGGAAGGCAGGTCAATAGGTGGGTGCTGGGTGAGCAAAGACAGGCCCTGGGCAGCTGGGTTCTGCTCCTGGCTGACCCCAAGCTCAGGCTTAAGGGGCATTGAGGGCAACATGGAGTGCCAGTGGGGGCTGTCTCCTTGTTACACCCTCTAGCCCGGCCATTGCAGGATGTTGTGTGGAACAGGCAGAGGAGCCGTATATGGTTCCCTCCCCCTCCTGCCCCTCCTGAGTCCCCCCATCCTACTCCCCACCCACCCCCTATTCTCTCACGGACTTTGAATCCTTATTGAATCTGATGGACCGTTTTCGTTTTCAATAACTGGTTCCCCCAGGGGAGTGAGGCCAAGAACAGAAGAACAGCAGGGAGAAGAGCTGGGAGGGGTCACGTGGGGGCGGGAGGCCCAGTCCGGAGCTGATGACCCCCAGCTGGAGAATGAGTTGGCTTGATGGCTCCTCAGAGCACTGTGGCATCACAGGTGGGCATGGGCAGCCCTGTATAGAGCTGGTCCTCTGCTCCACAGACAGTGCCCGGCAGGTGGCATATGTGGCCGAGAGGTCAACTTTCTCTCGTCGGGGCAGTCACTGGTCTGGCCAGGTGCCGGCACCAGCCTGTGCCAGGCCCAGCCCGGGTGCCTGCCTGCCTTGCCAGGGAACCCCAGCTGGTGATGCCAGGTGAATTCTGCCAGTTCCGTGGGCATGGAGGTCCCTGACCTTCCAGGCAGCAGGGGCAGCCCTGCTGGGCCCTGTCCAACTAGTGTCTGCAGGGCAGGGCTTTGGTCTCACCCAGCAGAATTCCCCAAGGGCTGGAACAGAGTTGGCAGACAGCATGGGACTTGTGGAAAGGGCTGGACTGTGCCCAGAGCTTTGGCCTGGAATTCCAGGTCCAGTTGGTTGGAAGGCGGGCAGGTGCATCCGGCCTGCTCTGGGGAGTCTCTGCAGCCTCCACCTGGAAGGACCCCTTGGGATAGAATGGACCGGGAGCTGAGGTATTGTGAGCTGGAACCCCTGCAAAGCTGCATGTTTGGGGAATTGGTATCTTCATGTGATTGAGCCCACGGGTGGAAGGGGAGGGCGGAGGCAGGGGGAGAGGCACTGTCTGTATGTGTACCTAGTGTGTGTGCGGGTGGCAGCTGGATGGCCATAATATCTGTGCTTATCGAAGTGCCAGGACCGCTGTAAACAGCAGCTAATGAGTGTATTTGTAGCGAGGCGCGTTGAGGTGCGTGGGGAGCTATGACGGAAAGCTTTAGGGGAGGGCCCCTCCCCCGGCCCTGTACCTGGCCAGGCAGGGCCTGTGTGCCAGGGACCCTGCCTACCCCCTGCCACACCCTCCCACCTGCTGGCATGGCCATGAAGGCCTCGTCTGCTCGGAGCAGGGCCTTACCTGGCTGTGTGGCATACATGGGTGTGGACGGGGGTGATCATGGGAGCTTTCATGTGTAAGATACAAGCATTTCCATGACGGTGTGGGGCTGTTAGTATGTGTGTATGTGTCTGGGTCAAACTGATCTCGCCTGTGTGTTTGTGACTAGGTCTGGTCTGTGCATGTGTGTATGCACTGCTTCCCCAGGCCCTAAGAGGAGGGCTGCCTATCATCTCTGTAGTGACCCTGATAGTGACAAACCCTAATAGTGACAAAACCAAAGATGCTGGTAAAACAGGCATATGCTGCTGGCCCTGCTCCTTCGGTGTCCTTCCTGGAGTGCAGAAGGCTGGTGGCTTCCATGGCTGACTGAAGGAGAAAGGGGGGTGACTGTTCTGCCCATTGTAGGAGACGGGAGGGAGAGGTCTGAACTCTAGCCCCAGTGGGCTGCCATAGTTGCTGCTTGCATCAGAGATTGGGGAGAACCTGGGACCTAGAGAGCCCTCTGGTTCTAGAGCCCCCAGGAGCCCCAGGAATGAGAGAGGAACGGTGCCTACCTGTTAGTCCTAGCTGGTTGGTGGAGCATGCACCCTGCCACCAGCCAGGGCAGGGTGGCATGAGGGGTGGGAGGCAGAAGGGGCGCCTGCATGAGGCTCTGCACGAGGGGAGTGGAGGAGAGAGCATGCAGCTAATGTGTCCAATTAAATTACTTCAAACCCTGCCGCGGCAGCTGCTCCCGGCGGGGCCCTGGGTACAAATTGGATCCGTCTCATTACCATGGGGTGGTGTCAGCGAGGCCAGAGAGCGGCGGCCAGCATGGCTGGCACATAGCAGGCTCTCTCCCGCTCTGCCAGGCCTGGGCCCGGGAGGGCCCCCTCAAGCATTTGCTTGCTCCAGCACCCCTCAGAGGAAGTGCCCCGCGTCCAGATACTGGGACTCCCTGCACACCTCCTTACCATCCCTGACCCCCATCCAAGGATGGGGGTCAGGGATGGCAGCCAAGGGACCCTTGGAAACACTTTCTCCAGGAATGGGGGTTTTGTGCTTTGCAGAGGGACCAGCTTAAGGAATCCCGTCTCAGGTCACCAAACACATCCTGTGTCCTCCCCTGATAATAACAATAGTATGATAATAGCAAGCCTTGTGGAGCACTCAGTATGTGCTGAGCACTTTACATATGTGCCTCCAGGGACAGCTTGCTTGAGCTAGGGCTCTAGTGTCAAACAGCTATTGATTTGAATCCTGGCAGAGACACTTGCTGCTCTGTCTCTGGAGCAGGTCAGCCCACCTCTCTGGCCTTGGGTTTCCTCTTCTGTTAAATGGGTATGATGATGGTTCTTACCTCCCAGGCGGTTGGAAGATGAGGTGAGATAAGGCAGAAAAAGTATTTAGCAGAGAGCCAGCCCATAGTAAACACTCAGCCAGCGGTAGCTGTTCTCAACATTGTCCTGTACCAAGCAATTGATGTGTGGGATGAGGGTTCTGGATCCTCCAAGGAGAACATGCCTGCTACCTCCATGGTGGAGGAGTTGGGGAGGGCTTCATGGAGGCAGTGTCAGTTAGGTTACCATCAGAATAGCAGAGACATGTTGTGTGCTCACTATGTGCCAGGTGCTGTTCTAAGCACATAACATGCGTTAGCGCCTCCATCCTCAGAACCACCTTGGGAAGTGCGAACTTGCAGTTAGAAGTAGGTCTGGGATTCCAGCCACGCTGCCAGACCTAAGGGTGTGAGCTTCAGATACAGGGCCTTGAGTCCTGAAGGAAGAATAAGAGCTTTGCCATGTGAGCGAGCAGAGGTGAGGCAGTTGGTGAGGTGGGGACAGCACATGCAGTGGCTCAGAGGTTCGAGGGATCTTGGCCGGTTGAGGCAGCAGGGAGTGCTTGAGCATGGCCAGAAGGGAGACCTTTGGGGCACAGTAGCAGGAAGTGAGGCTTGGGAAGGTAGGTTGGGCCAGATTATGAAGGAGTTGGCATTTTGAAATAGGAAAACTGAAATTCTTTTAAAAAGTAAGGCATGGAGTGCCATGGATGGCTTTTGAGCAGATCTCTATAAAGAACTTTGACAGCACGGTAGTGTGGAGGGTGGGAAGTCAGGAGGCAGGTGGGTAGATGGAGCTAGAATCTCAGCCATTAACATATCTGTCCCTACCTCTGCCAGGAGATCTGCAGTGTCCAGCCAGCCTGGACCCCTGCCCTTGGAAAGCTTGCAGCAGATTATAGGCAGTAAGGGGGTAGCCGGATGCAGGTGGGCATGAATGAACACCCTGAGGGGGCTTCCCAGGTGCCTGGGGTATCAGAGAAAGCCTCCCTAGTGAGGGATATAGAGCCAAGATGGGCAGGCCCAGGGCCCTGTGGACACAGTTAGTCCTTTTGAGGATTTGTTCTGTACCCACATAACCCCCCCAGGCATCAGGGCCAGGCCCAGGAGGGGCCACACAGCTCCTGCTCCAGCTGCCAGGCCTGAGCTCCAGAGCCCCACCAAAGCCAACCTGTCTCCATGGCAACTAGACGGGCCACCCCCCCTCTCCATGCCCACGGCCACTGGCACAGGGACCCATTCACAGCGGGGCCTGGTTATGTCTTCCCACTTCCCTTGGGGGTCATCCCAAGGCAAACGCCCTCACACTGAGGCGCTGGCAGCACACATGCATGTTGGCATTTGGGTATGTATGCACACATGATGTGTATGTGTGTGTGTCCTGCAGCAGGAAGCAGGGAGGTGGGGACCATCTGTGTTGACTACCCACCTTAGTTGGAAATTTGTTACCCCTGAGTGGGGGTCAGATGGGTGCCAAGGGCCCTGACGCCAGGATGAACTGTGGGCTCCTGTCTTGGAGATTGCAGTGAGAAAGCCAGCCCAGAGAAGGGGCAGCTAGGAGAAATGGAAGGTCAGGGAAAGCTGCAAGGGAGAGGCTCCCAGTGGTGCCTGGTGGGTCCACAGACCACCTTGTTCTTTCCATTCATCATGTTATGTCATCTTCACAGCAGTCTTGCAAGGGAGATATCCAATTCACTGCAGTGCAAATGAGGAAACGGAGACTCAGAGAGGTTGAGTGTCTTGCCCGGGTCACTCAGTAGAGCAGGAATAAGATTGCAAGTCGGCCTCACTCCAAAGCCTGGGTCTTAACCACTGGGCTACGTTGCCTGGTGCCTCCTTATCCTACTAGGCTCTAAGCCAGCCCGTCTCTCAGCCCGTCTCTCAGAAGGGAGCACTACGAGTTGGTACTGGCTGCAGAGCTGGACTCAAAGGGTGTCCCAGTGCCTCTTCTAATTCTAGGGTATCCCCTAAAGCCTTTGTTCTTCCTGGAGTGGAGGGGAGTCTCCTTCCTACCCTGTCTCCATTCTCTCTACTGGCAAGGTGGAGGGATCCTCTCACTCATGGGGGAGGCTCTCAGGAGAAGGGGAGGAACCCCTCTCTCCCTCCTTGGCACCTGCCAGCCCTGGAGGAGCCTGATGAATTGTCTGTGTGCCCCCCCCCCAACCTCATTCCTCCCTCTCCAGCCCCCGCCTGGTTGGGGAGGTGCGAAGGGAGTGATTTCACAGCCTGTCAGCTGAGGCCTAAAAATACCCAGAACTCTAAGATGCTTGGGCAGGGGGAGGAGAGAGCAGGGACCGGGGATAGGGTGGTGAAGGGTGCAATGGTAACTTGGTCAGAGGAGCCCAGGTGGCAACACAGTCCTGCTCAGGAATGATGGGAGACCCTCTGTCCCCAGGGTCCCCATCTGACCCCATACCTGGCAATGACAGAGAGGGCCAGTGTCTCGAGGGTCTTGAGAGCTCAGCTCTGGCACTCAGACCTAAGGGAGGGCTTAGTCTCAGATAGGAGCCATTGTGGACCCCAGGCCCCCTGGAGCCTCCAGTTGATGCCTTTCTCTCCCTCTCCACCCCCAGGTTGGCTGGCATCTTTGGGCCGTGGGAGCCAGGCTGTGCCTGAGTCTGCTTCCTTCCTGGAGAAGGTGCCCGCTTCTGCTAGGGGAGAGGCGTGAGGAAGGCAGTGTGGATGGGGGTGCCGGCAGGTGCGGGATGTGACGTGCCAGCCACCCAGGCACTAGAAGGAAGCAGAGGAGAAGGGGTGTGGTGGCCCACGTCACTGCCACATGGCTGTGTGCTGCAGCATGGCACATGGCCCCCACAAGTCAACCACTGCTCAGAGACGGGAACACGTGTATATGTGTGTGTGTGCATGGACCTGCTAGAGTCAGCTTGTTCTGGTGCTGGGATGCTTGTGGACATATGTGACCCAGCCTGGCTACTTCAGGTAGAAATTGGGTGGAGGCACAGGAGTGGGTGTGGGAGCATGAGCTAACACACCTCACTTCATGCAGATGCATGACTGTGTGTGTGCTTCCCATGTGGAAACACGATGGTAGGTGTGTCTGTGCAGAGGCACATGGGCACACATCGCTGGGGCGCCAAGCAGGGGCTGAGAGGGTTCTTAGGGAAAGAATGCAGAGTGGTGGCCAGGGCACAGGGGCTCTGGATCAAAAGTAATGAGGCTCAAATCCCAGATGTGCCTTGTGCTGACTTGCTTTGTGGCCTTGGGCAACTGACTTAACCTTTCAGTGCTTCATTTCCCACCTGTAAAATGGAGGGAATAATAGCACCGTCATGGGGCTGTTGGGAAAATTCGATGAGTTAATATCTGTAAACCACCTAGAACTGTGCCTGTCACAGTTATCACTATGTACGTAGTAGTTCTTCTTATCTGGTCCTACCCTTTGATGGTACAGGTGGGAACATGAAGGCCCAGAGAGGAACAGTGACCTGTCCAAAGTTACACAGTAAGTTAGTGGCTGAACCAAGACTAAAAACCAGACTCTAACGCCATAAGACAGGGCTTGTTCAAGTCTTGGACCTCATGGATTGCAGTCCTACTGGAGTTTGGGGCTTAGATTGTGCCAGGGCTGTTCTGGGACCTTGGGAACTCAGGGACCTGCACATCTTCAGATAATGTTGAGGGGTCTTCAGGGCAGTGGCCTCAAAATGACCAGTTGCATGAGTCAGAACCATGCCTCTGGCTAGCTGTGTGGACTTGGCCAGGTCACCCAACCCTCCTGAGTCTCAGTTTTTTCCCTATAATGGAATAATAGTGACACATACTTTTAGGGTTGTTGGGATCAAATGAGATCCTGCATGTAATGTCTTAAGTGGCTGGCACACTGTATCTAGTAAGTGTTCAGTAATGTTTGTTACAATTATAACCCTTGCAGAACCCTCTCACCCTGTGCTCCACAAACGTGAGTTCCTTTGGTTCCCTTCCAGCCTCTGGCCACCCTCACTCCCTTCTGCCTGCCACCCCACACTCCAGAGGGCTTTGATCAGGACTGACTTGCTGGCAGCCATGACTTGTCTTTGTCTCCTGTTGTTGCCCATCGCCCAGAAGGGAACAGGACCCACCAGTAGGACTTAGCCCCTGAGCCCTCTGCATCTGGCCTCATCACTCACTTGACCTTGGACAGGCACTGTTTCCTCTCTGTGCCTTGATCCTCCCTCTGAAAAGTGGAGAGGCTGGACACAGCCCCAGAAGTTCCTGGTCGTGTTGCTGTGTGGCCCAGGAGGGCCCCTGGCTCAGCCTACTCGAGGGGGTGGCAGGTTGGCAGGGAGGGAGGTCAGCTGGCTGCCCCGGGTGAGTGGAGCATCTGGGGCCTGAGCCGGCTGGTGGCCTGCCATCATGCCCGCCCGCACCTGTGGCTGCGTAGGAGGGTGTGCAGGCCCAGCTGGCTGGGCACTGACATTGGGGGAAGCTCAAGGACAATGACGTAGAGAAAGCCCTTCTTGGGGCTCTGGGAGCTGCCACTCCAAGCCGTCCTCCCCCGCTCTCCTCCCCCTTCTCCCTGGGGTTTTCCTTCAGCAATTCCTCCTTCCTCCCTGTCCTTCCTCTCCCCTTCCCTTTCCTGGAGTCTTCCAGTATCTGTCTCTCTGCCTCTGCCCCTTCTGTAATCTTGACCGTTTTCTGGGGCACCTTCTCACTTCCTCTCTCTCCATAGAGGGGAGATTCCTACCCCTTCCTGTCTCTCTGGCTCCTGAGATTCCTCCTTTCTTCCTGCGATGTGTCCCTGTTTTTCTGGCTCCTCCTGGCTCCCTCTGCTGCCCCAGAGCCCAGGTCTCTCTCACTTACTCTGCATGGACATGTTCAGGCTCCTTCCAGCTTTTTGTCCCCTTGCTCTCTCCCACTTCAGAGTCCCTCCCTCCCCAGCATCCCTGCCTCCCTTCTTCCAGTTCTGTGGAGCTCTTTGCTCCTCCATCAGCATCCCCTGCCCTGACAGAACCCTGACCCAGGCAGTTTCTGTGGCTGGAGCTGCTACCCAGTACCTCCACAACCCCCCTGCCCTCTGTGGGTTGAGAAAAGGGTCAGTCCAGGGCCGAGGGACTGGCAGCCCTGCCTCCTAATTAGCAGGAGGTAATTGCCTGGAAAAAAAAATTCATTTAGAATGAGACTCCGAGACTCCAAGTTAAAGCTGAGCCAACCAATGGACCCCGGGGAGTAGGAGTGGGGAAGCAGCCCAGGTCATGGCCTCAGGAAGCCCCTCAGGAGATGAAAGCCCCTAGGACTCCCTGCCTGGCTTGTCCCCAGCACCCCAGCCTTGGGGAAGTGGGAAGAGTACACTGGACTGGGTGTCCCACCGTCTTTGCCTGAGTTCTGGTTCCACAGCTCACTGTGTGACTTGGGGCAAGCCATTTATTCCTTGGAGCCATACTTTGCTCTCCTACAAAATCAGAACAGGGCCATCCCTGCCCACTTCACCCCTCAAGATCATGAGGGTCAATTCAGACAGTGGCTCTGAAAGCACTTGGCAGGCTGTAAAGTGCTACAGAGTTCAAGGTGTTACTCTCTTCCTTCATGTGGCTCTCAGCCAAGAGGTGAGGATGGTGGGGGGCTGGAGTGGTCTTGGAGAAACCTGAGGCATAGTGTGGCCTCTAGAACATGGAAGGATGATGAGGTAGATCCAGCTGAATGGCAAGAGTAAGGGCAGATGGATACACTCTCCCATGCCCGTCTCAGCACTCGCTGGCTGCACCAGCCTGAGCGGTCACCTCCCTTTCTGATCCTCACTTTCCTCATGTGTAGGAGGCTGAGCATGATGCTCCCTCCTGGGGAGGCAGGGTGGCTGGAAGGCTAAATGAGATCATGTTTGCACAGCTCTTAGCACAGTGCTTGGCATACAGTAAGTGCTCAATAAATGATACATACCAGCTATGTCTACTGTAATTGAAGGCTATTATCTTGACTCCCTTGACTCCAGAGAAGCTGTGGTTTTGGGTGCTGGCTTTTCACGTGGTATTATTTGTTTTGCTTTTTGTTTTTGGAAGGGGGAGAATCTCTACAACCCAGTAAGGTTCATATCAAGCAGCCCCTAGAAACACCAAGCAGATCTGCCTTTCAAAGAGCCCCACCTGTAGGGTGGGGGAACAGGAGTGGGCTGCAGTTATGGCATTCTCCTGCAACCCCTCACTTTTTCCTGGGGCGGGTATGGGCAAAGTTCTTGTTTGGGTGGGGGAGAGGTGTGGAGCCTCTGCCCTGGGGGAGGCCTTTGTGTTCATCTTGGCGGGACTGGCCCTGCCACAGAGGAAAGGTTGGTGTTTGTTTAAACAAGCCTTCCCCACCCACCTTGGAGGAGGGAGCAGGAAGTTTTGCCTGCCCCAGGTCTGGCCAGCTGGGTTGAGGCTGCACTGTGACCCAGGCAGCCCCAAAGCGGCCAGGATGCAGTCAGACAGGCTGGAGTGTGCGGGTGTCGGGCAACGCCGCAAGCTCTGAGCGCCAGATTGCCCCGGGAGCGGTGAGGGGGCGGCGGGGGCCGGAGAACCGTCTGCCGCTGCTTCGCCGCTGGCCCAGGCCGCCGCTGGGGACCGTCTGTGCGCCCGCCGGGGTGCAGTGCCCGCGCCAGCCACCAGGAGGCAGTGCGGCGGGCCCCCGGGAGGGAATGGGGCGTGGTATTTACCACGTTCGCGGGGCGGCCCTTTTTGTCCTGAGTCAGGACTGGGGTCTTCAGCATCCGAGGACCTAACTCGAGGAAAGGGGGCTCTTGAGGTCACTGGGTGCTGCCATAGCTTCAGCTGAGGGTTGATCAGGGAGGCATTGGCAGAGGAAGGCGGAATCACTATGCACAGTCTCTCGGATCCTGCTCGCTGGGAGCTGCGCAAAGGGCGACCTGGAAGAGGGCGCAGCCCCAGGACTGAGTTCTGTTTCAGCACCAAGGACAAGGAGCCGCGTGGCCGACAGCTGTTTCAGCACCTTGGACAGCTCTGGGGGGCGGGGCGCTCAATGGCTCCATCCTAATATTTGCCGTGTAAATGATACCCCTGAATATGATAGAACGGCATCTCGTAGAGGGAATCTTAGACCCTGCATTCCAGCCAGGAGGCTTAGGACCAGAGAGTTGAGTGAGTAGCCTGAGGTCACACAACTGGAAGTGACAGAACAGGATTCAGATCCGCAGTGGTCTCTCTATCCATTTCTCCCGCCCCTGGATTCCCACTAGTTATCTCTGTCCTGAAACCTTTCTGGGAGCTTCACATTATGTTGCATCCCCAGGAGCCTTTGAGCTTGCAAAAATTAAATGCACTCCCCTCCCCAACCATAAGCCCTGGCCATGGATTTGAATCCCAGGATGGAAGATTTCTAGCTCTGGTGGCCTTCACGGCTCCAAGCCTCAGGTGGAAGGGCATTCGGGCAGGTGGCCCGTGAGGAAGCCTATGACTCGGGGAGATAAAGTTGAGTCATCAGCATGAGGAGCTTTTAAGTGCTCTGAGATCCTCAAATGAAACATAGCATACAGTTCCAACCCCAGCTTCTTTGCAGCGTGTATTATTAATAACAATAAGATGCTGATTTAGGCCAAGGCACAACAATGCATTATTCATAGGAGTAACTAGTGGTCAAGGCCCACACTTAATCATCACACGTCCCTGATCCTGCCTCTGCTCCGCATTCCCGGTGAAGAGCCCCCTCCCCATTCTGAGCCCCTCCTTTCTTGGGCTCCTGCTGCTCTGACAGACGTGATCATTTTCACAGCTGCTCAGGTGGCTCATCAGCTTTGGGATCAAGGTGGGTGGGGAGTGTGTCAGGTTCCGAGCTAACTCCTGGCTAGCCACTCTTCAGTCTGGGCTCCCAGCTCAGAGCTGGCACCTGGCCCTTTCCATCCTGAATGGCTTTGGCCTTGATGACTTCTGGGCTTAGCAGCTCTCTGGGGTCTACAGATGGCCAGTCTCCCCTTCCTCCTCTTTTGAGGCTGAATACTGAAGCCAGATGCACCAGGCCTCCCTAGGCCAGGAATTGTGGGAGGTAGGGGTGGCTGTGGTGAGGTGAGGTGAGGTGAGGTGAGGGGGTCACTGAGCAGAAGATACCATCACCTCCATTAAATTCAATAATGCATGTGAAACCCTCAGTAAACTGTGGAACACTTTATAAACTGCTCTGCACTGTACAGATGTGAGCCATTATTACCAAGGCCATGTCTCGACTGGAAGAGACAGCAGAGGTAGGGAAGGCATGGACAAGGTCCTCATAGCTCACCAGGTCTCGCTCTCTGATGAGGAGTAGGAGTGCTTGTGGATCCCGACATGTCCCTGTCCAATTTCTTGCCGGAACGGCTGCTGGCCCATCCAGATAATCCTTCATTCACTGTTTACTCACTTGGCATCTCCTCTGAATTCTAAACCGTCTGCATCTAGCCGGCCTCTGCGGCCCCAGCCAGCGCACTCTCCCTAGCTCACTCACACATTATCTGTTTTTATTACAGTCAAGGTTGAGGAAGCTTGCTCGTGCTGAGCCCCCATTTTCAGCTACTTGTAACTTTCCAAAACAATTCCCCTTGGGCTTCCTCTTTTGCTAGCCTAGTTCCCACCCTGGGTGAAGCCCAAGGGGTTGTGGGCACCTCCAGGGCTTTCCAAAGGACACTCAGAGAATGTCCGGAGGGCATGGGGTGGGGGTAGGTCCAAGGCCCAGCTTTTCTGGGAAATAGGTGCTGGGTGTTCTCCCTTCCTTATTCTTTTTTCCTTCTCGCCTATCTCAATTTGTTTTTCCTCTTGCAAGAGAAGAGCTGGCCCTGTTCCCCAGGTGGGTGGCCTGGAAGGGAGAGTCTTACAGTGGAAAGAGGTCAGGAAATTCTGCAAGATGGCAAGACCTGGAGCTTTGCCTGGTTGTCTGGGGTGCAGGGTTTAGCTCACTGGCTTTCTCTTCCTTTATCCCCAACTCTGCCTCTTTCTGGCTTTCTTGTGTGTTTTGGGTTGAGGGGAGGGAGGGAAGCAGGATAGGCACCAAAAATGTCCCCCTTTCCATGCCCAGATCACCCTGGAGCTGGTAAGCTCTGCCCACTTGTAAATGCCTGCCATCTTCCCCCATTTCCATCTGCTCAGCATGCGCATGGAGGGTGCTTCCTATGGAAACCTGTGACTCCAGCTTTCACTGTTTCCCACCTTGAACGTCATCGGGAGCCACCAAAAGATGGGGGTGGGGAAGTGCTGGGGCTTGACGTGTATTGCAGAATCAGGTGGGAGGAGGCAAGCTCAGGATGGGGACGTGCTGGCAGATGTAGCCCCAACCACCCCCAGCAGCACTCTGCTTTATCTCCGGAGTAGTGGTTGCACCCTGATCAGTACCAGAGATAGAGCCCTGGGCAAGTCCCTGGGACACCCCATTGTCCTCCTCTTCCCACTCCTAGACTGTCCAGTGCCAGATACCCAGCCCCCAACCTGTCCTGGGACCCTGAGGCCAGCTGAGACTCTATCTATTGAGGGTGCTTCTCTGAGGCCAATGCCTGGGCCAGTGGATGGGGGAAGGAGCCCCAGAAAAGGTGTGTGTGTCAGAGGAGTCTCTGAAGTACCTGGGGTAATTTGGGCATGGCTCTAACTGGTAAAATTCTTGGGAGGGTGGGAGCCCTTTCCGTAACTGTCGTTTGTGTCCACTCAGGTTCTTTCTTCTTTTCTGTCTATTCTCAGAGTGTCTGATTTCAAGGCGTGGCTCCCCTAGGGTGGAACAAGAGTAAGAGCCACAGGGTTTGAGGTCTTATAGACCTCCAGTCTAATCCTGGCTTTACTTCTCTTCT
Organism: Homo sapiens; assembly: GCF_000001405.40. Taxonomy (NCBI): domain Eukaryota; kingdom Metazoa; phylum Chordata; class Mammalia; order Primates; family Hominidae; genus Homo; species Homo sapiens. The sequence goes on along the minus strand of NC_000011.10, from coordinate 61,564,550 downwards.
GCTGCGTGTTCCTGGGCAGGCATTTAACCCTCCTGAGCCTCAGTTTCCTTCTTTGTAAAATGGGCATAAGAGTATTTACCCTCAGAGGGGTGCTGAAGTCTGCAGACATGATTCAATGCCAAGCATACATTCGTTACTGTAATGAAAGACACTTGGGAAGAAGAGCAGTGGCCTGGGACCTGTCAATGCCTGTGAGAGCCTCCAGGAGCAGAAGCAGTCTAGGTTGGGAGGGCTTGCGGGTGATGGAACAACTCTGGAAGGGCTGGGTGTGGGGAGTGTGCATGTCACCATCTGAGAGTGTGAGCACACATGCACACATGAATTCTGGGGGAAAGAGCCTATAGGCACAGATTCCCAGCATGTCCAGCAGCTTCTCTGTACCTTGACCTAGGCTACAGGCTGTGGGAGACCCTGAGCAATTGGGAGACAGGATATTATCCTGTTGCCCCTGCTTGTGGGGGTCAAGTCTATCCCCAAGAAAAGGGGGTTGACAAATGGATCCATTAATTCAAGTTTGGAGAAGGAAGAGACTGCTATGAGTGCCTGTCATTGGGGAGGGCTTCTTGGGGGAGGTGGGCTTATCTGAGACCTTGAATGATTTCATGAATTTGTTTAGCAATTACTTCTCCAACCTCTCCTGTGTACCAGACTTTGGTCTTCAAAGCTGAGTGAGCTGGGGGTCTCAATCCTCTAGGTGCTCCCAGTTGGGGAAGGACACAGAAAGAGCTAATTATTAACCCAAAATAGTTAATTGTCATAGTTACTAGGGAGGCAGAAAGGATTGTAGGAGGGGAGACCATCTTTGTCTAGTTGCCTTGAAGATAGAGAAGGAAAGGCGTTCCAGGAAGAAGGAACAGCCTAGGCAAAGCATCATAGGTGTGACAAGGGTTGGCCTGCTTGTGGGAAAGAGGAAAGTGTGGCTAGGTTGTACAGTCTAGCACATTATAGAATGCCATCACATTCATCAGCTCAAAGGGAGGCCACTGTGGCTGGGCAGGAAAGGATGGGCTCAAGCACCTATTATTCCCCATGCCTTAGTTTCTTCTCCTGTGAAATGGAGATAATAATGGTCCGAGGTTGTGGAGATGGTGCATGTAAACTTCATGGCGCAGTATCTGCCACATTGTGTGCACTCAACTAATGTTAGCTATTATTTGATGGTGACCTCCCCAGCAGGGGAGGTTAGGGGTCATGATCATCATTTGAAGGTAAAGTGTTCAGGCCCAGCATGGGCCTTGCCCTGGGTAACGTAGTTGGCCAGGGGCAGGGCTGGGGCGTAAACCCAGGTCATCTGCCTCCATGTCTACAATATATCCCACTGCTCTGCCTCAGAAGGACAGACAGAATCTGAGTAGACAAGTGATGGCAAATTCATGGGGAGAGAATTCCAGGCTAGAGGAAATGCGTGAATGCCTAGAACTCATGAATGGCGGAGCTGGCTGGGCATCTGCTTGTGGCCACAGCCATGGGTGTGTGTGCATGGGTGTCTGTGCCAGGGTGAGTCTCTGTGGCTTGTGTCTGTGGCCTGTGTGCATGTGCCCACTGCTCCTGCGGCACCCCCTCCCGTTCCCCTCTGGGCAGCTGGTGAGCTTGCCCTCTGAAAGCCATTCCCTCTCCTGCAGCTCCCCAGGGCATCCCAGCAGCCAGCAGCCCTGTTTGATTCTGTTCATCCATAAATCATCTTGCTGAGGAGATGAGAAGGAGTTGGGAGTCGGGGCTGAGCCCTGGTAAGGGACCGGATTGGGTCGGCAGTTCACACCTGAGGCCCAGCCTGGCTTCCAGCTGTCACCCCTGATCCCATGTCCCCATGCCTTAGCCCTCCCTCTTCCATACTGTAGGTGCTCACTGATGCTTGCTTTGGTCAAGCCCTGCAGGTCCTGGGAGGGTTCAGGGGTGCACAAAATTGAGTAATATGTGACCTCTGACCTCTGCCATCCTGTGGAGAAAACTAGAGTGTATCCAATCCAGTATTTCATTTACCACCATTGAGTGCCAACTCCGTGCCCCAGATATCACTAATCCAGGGCACGATGTGATAATGCTATGATAATAGCTAGCATTTAGTGCCTACTTATTCCGTGTCAGGCACTGTGCTGAGTTCACTGTACATGCTAATTCCTTTAAACCTCACCATAGTCCTATGAGACTATACTATTATCAGCCCTCATTTACAGATGGGGAAACCAAGGCACACAGAGATTAGGTTACATGGCTTGGAAGAATCAGAGCCAGAATTTAAGCATGAGCAATCTGACTTCAGAGGCCTGGCACTAATCACTATTCTCTAAAAGAAGGATGTAGGCCCAGTATGCTGGGAACTCAGAGGCAGGAGAAATTAATTCCCACTGGGCAGACTAAGGGAGGCTTCCTGGAGGAGGTCTTTTCATCTGGGCCTAAAAAAATCAGGAGTTTGTCAGGCAAAGTTGAGCATGGGGAAAGAACAGAAGGGGTCCTAGTGTATGTGTGTGTGTGTACGTGCGTGCGTGTGTGTGTGTGTGTGTGCATATGTGTGTGCATGCATGTGTGTGTGCATGCGCGCACACACACTTGTAAAAGAGAGCTCTCAACTCATCACTGCAGCCTCTCCCATCTCATCACTGCAGCCTCTCCCATCTCTTCTCTTCCATCTTATTTGGGTGACAAATGAGATAACATATACAAGCATTGAACATTCAACAAATATTTGCTGAGCACCCCCCGTGTGTCAGACGCCGAGCTCGTCATAGAGTATACTGGAGTGAGCAAAGCAGATACAGCCCCTTTCTTTGTGGACCCTGTAGTGTGGCATATAGTAGGTGCTTAATAAATAGTAGCACCTATTATTATCTTTGTTCCTGGAGGCCTGGGATTCTTCCTCCTTCATTCTTTCAATAAGCATTTATTGAGCACCTATTAAATGCTCCACCGTTGGTGCTGGGAATACAGTGGTGAACAAGAGACCAAGCCCTGCCCAGATGCTAGAAGGGAAGGCTGTGCATGGACATCTTGTCCACCCTCAGAAGCAGGCCGCTTCCTGGGGTACACAGACCTGACCCTGAGATCTCCTTGGGGGGTGGCATGGCCAGGAGCATAGGCTGTGCCCACAGGACCCAGCAAAGCACACAGGACTCAGTTAGACCCTTCATCCTGAGCTGTAGTCAGCTGATATGCCTACCACAGGCCTGGGTAGAGGGGCAGCAGCCTGCCCCAGCTCATACCTCACTCCCAAGACATCCCGGCATTGGACCTAGGAGATCTGGCTCTGCCTAGCTCCTGGTTCACCCTGCCTTCCAGGTTTCCTGATGTTGCCTGTCTGCCCTTGTCTATGCTGTGCCTTACCCGCCGGGACCTAGGATGTCTCCTCTGCCTCAGGATAGGTTGTGGCACTCAACCCTGTCAAAAGGCTGACTAGGGCTCCAAATTTTCTTTCCCCCAGTGTTAATATGCTGACAGTAAGGGGACTTGAAACCATGCATGTCATCTGAGGAGGGGTTAGAGGGCTGGGGCGGCTTTGCCTGGAGAAGACTTGAAGGGGACATTAGAACTGTCGGCAAGGATTTGGAGGCCTGTCATGTGGTAGAGGCAGCCAGCTCGTTCCTGGCAGCTCTGGAGGGCAGGCTCAGGACCAGCAGGGAAAGTTCTGGGGAGACAGATTCGGCTCTGCGAGAGGTACAGCAGCCCTCCCTAACAATGCCCGTCCAGGAAGGACCTGCTTCCTGCCTTCTGCTCCCTGCAGAAGCTCCCTGTCACCAACAGGGCTGCCCATGGGCTTTGTGCATCCCTGGGGCCTGACTTCATGACTTTCAAGGTCCCTTCTAGCTGGAGACACAGTGACTCCATATGCAGGGAATGGTTCACTCTGGCTGGTAGGCGAGAACATGCTTGCACCCCTTGATGGCGACATCCCCCTTAGGATCTCCTTAGGATGTCGGCATGCTGGCCGAGGACATCATGTCACTATTATTCACAACATCAATGCAATTTGCAGTGGCAAGTGTTTGTTTCACCCTGCCTTTGAGGGCTGTCCGAGGGAGGCTGAAGGGTCTGGGAAATCTGTGGGGGCCGTACCAACTGCCTGGAAGATGACAGCAGCCACCCACACTGTAGGGGACCCTGGGGCCACTCATCCAGAAGAGTTCAACTTTCCTTAGCAACACAACCCCTTCTCCAAATGGAATATTCTGCAAAAGCTCAAGAACACAGACAGGAACAGTGCTACTGTGGCTGAAGAGGGCTTGAGGGATCACAGCCTTATCTGCTCAGCCTCCACTCCCCAGAGCCCCAGAGAGACTCCAGGCAACCCTAGGGGTTCCAAAGACTACCTCTTGAAAACTAACCACGTACCTCTAGTTGGTGTGATGTCAAAGCAAAGGGTATAGAATCTGAGCCGGATTGCCTGAGTTCAAACCCCGGCTTTCAACTTGGACATGGTATTTGACCCCTCTGTTCCTCAGTTTCCCCATCTGTAAAATGGGGACAACTCATAATGCTTATCTCTGTTGTCGTTGTGACTGCATGTGGAGCACCTGGAATACCTGGCTTGTCCTCTGAGTGGGGAAGGGTCAGGGTCAGCTCTTCCACAGATGAAGGCACTGATATCCAAGAGTCAAGTGTCTTGCTGGCCACATGGCTGGTTAGCAGCTGGACTAGGGTCTCAGCCTAGTTCTCCTAGACCCCAAACCTAGGGCTTATTCTGCTGTGCCCACAGAATGCTAATTGCTTAAGATGGGTGTTTTGTTGGGTTTCTGGGGACCTTTCAGAGTGTGCCCACTGGACTCTGGGATCGACAGGCTTCTGTCCCTAGGGACTCTCTGACCTGCAGCAGGGGTTGAGGATGGTTTTTGAGAAGGATCTTGTTTGACAAAAAAGGAGGGAGCTCCAGGAAGGTGACCTTTTGGAGAATTCCCAATGGCAAAGAGGTGTATGGGGGAGGGGGGAGTGTGGAGAGGGCATCAGAGCAGAGGAGCCCACCTGGAGTGTGGCTGTGACCTCCAGCTGCTTCCTACTGTAGCTACCAGATCATGAGCTTGTGAAACACCCCTCTGATCCCATCCTTCCCCTGCTCAAAAGCCTATCATGGCTCCCATGGTCTACAGAACAAAACAAACCCCTCAGCTGGATAGACAAGCCCCTTCCCCATCAGGCCGTCCTTTCCTTCCAGGCTGGTCTCCCTGAATTCACTCCCCATACCCTAAGTCCGGCTCCTCACGCCATGTGCCTGACACTTTTCCCACCTCCATGCCTTTCCCTCTGCCTGGAATATCCTACTTTCGCCTCACTTCCATCTTCAGACTACACCAAACACCGCCTCCTCAGGGTGGCCTTCCCAGATAGCTCCCTAGTCCCACAAGATTGATAAAGTCCTCATTTGTGCTCCCAGGGTCCTTTGTTTATGCCTGAGATAAAACAAACACCAACAACCATACTAATACTACCCATCTATTGAGTGCTAACAGCAACCCCGTGGGAGACACTGAGTGGTTAATACACTTGTCCAAAGTCACACAGCTGTTAAGAGGCAGAGGTGGGGCTGGGCACAGTGGCTCATGCCTGTAATCCTAGCACTTTGGGAGGCCAAGGTGGATGGATCACCTGAGGTCAGGAGTTCAAGACCAGCCTGGCCAATGTGGTAAAATCCCATATCTACTAAAAATACAAAAAATTAGCCGGGTGTGGTGTTGGGTGCCTGTTATCCCAGCTATTCGGGAGGCTGAGGCAGGAGAATTGCTTGAACCATGGAGGTGGAGGTTGCAGTGAGCCAAGATCATGCCACTGCACTCCAGCCTGGGTGAAAAGAGCAGAGCTCCGTCTCAACAAAAAAGAGGCAGAGGTGGTACTCACACTTGGGTCTTTTTTCTCAGGTCTTTTGGAGTCTGGGGCCCCCTGGCTGGGTGTCCTGCTGTTTGATGGTTCTGGGGCACCTAGCGTGCTAGGAGATAACTTAATTCTAACCTGTCTTCCCCACTGGAGTGGTAGTTCCTTGTGGGCAGGGCCTGTTCCCCAACAAACACACACCCTCATAATTTATATATATATGTGTGTGTGTGTGTGTGTGTGTGTGTGTGTATGTGTGTGTGTGTGTGTGTATATATATATTTTTTTGAAACAGAGTCTTGCTCTGTTGCCCAGGCTAGAGTGCTATGGTGCAATCTCAGCTCACTAAAACCTCCGCCCCCCTCCAACCCCCATGCCAGAGTTCAAGCCAAGCAATTCTCATGCCTCAGCCTCCCAAGTAGCTGGGAGTACAGGCACACGTCACCATGCCCAGCTAATTTTTTGTATTTTTAGTAGAGATGGGGTTTTGCCATGTTGGCCTCGAATTCCTGACCTTAAGTGATCTGCCTGCCTCTGGCTCCCAAAGTGCTGGGATTACAGGCATGAGCCACCATGCCCACTCATAATATATTCTTAATAGATAGTTGCCGAGGAAAGCTCAGCGTAAGAATGGCGTTTACTTTATTTCAAAGTGAGTTAAACAAAGGAAAGTGTGGGCTCATCTGCTTTCAGCCCACACAGCTCCCCTAGCCCTTCCAGTGGGGCTGGGCAGGTTCCATGGGGAGAGCTGGGAAACAGATCTCATGTCCAGAAAGCGCCTTTGCCCATCCCTTCCCTGGAGTCCTGGCCATGGGCCGTGGGGCTGTGGTGGAGTGCCCTGCTCCTATTCTCCCTTGGAAGCTTGGAGATCAAAGTCCTAGTTCTCCCATTTGGCCTGAGAACTTTGACAAATGTGGCCCCTCCAGCCTTGCAGAGCTGTGCTCCTCAGCCCAGGAGAGGGAGGGGCAGGACCTTGGTGATTGCAGGTTGTCCAGGTCAGAGCTCCTGGGTGCCGTGGCCCCTGAGGTTGAAAGTGAACTGGGTGCAGGGGCTTCCGGGGGGTTGAGGCTGCAGACTTGGTACAGGAGGAGGCTGAATTTGCCTGGCAGGTGGACAGGTGGGAGCCTCACAAGTGTGGTCTTTCCCCACAACTAGGAGGCTCAGGAAGTCAGGAAGGGAGAGGTGGGGCCCAAAGAGGGTTCTAGTAGAGCAGGTAGAGAAAGGGCTGCCCAGGGTGCTGGAGTGGAGGAGGGAGGGAGCCCAGAGGCCCCTGAGAGCTGATGAGAGTCATCCCTGAGGGTGACTGCTGGGCCTTCCTCAACCAGGCTCCATGGCCAAGCAAGAGAGACTGGGAGAGGAAGAAAGGCAGAAGCTAAAACCGCAGGAACCAGAACCAGACAGATACTGTCAACTCTTAATTACCATGATCACTGGCACCAAAAAGCCCACGCAGGCTCCTCTGTAAATAAACAGCATCTCCTTGGCTTTAGGATGCATCCCAGCACACACAACAGATTGATAGCGCATGTGTGATCTATGCGGGTCTCCACTCACTGCCCCACATGAGAATTTGTCCTCAAAGTTTTTGCCTTACTTACATTTGGTTTGGGCTAATGTTTACAATCACCCATGAGGAGGGCGGGGGAGGAGGTCTGATCTGCATTTACAGAGGAAGAAACCAAGTGCTTCTGTGACTGGCAGAAGCCACACAGCCGGGGAAGGGGTGGGATTCAGACAGAGGCCTGAGATTTTCCTCCCAGGACATCTTTGCCAAGGGTGCCAAGGTTTCCACTTCTGAAGTTTATGGCACCTCGGCACTTGGGATGAGAGCATTTAGGAATTACAGATGGGCTGCAGCCATGGTGTGGTGGGGGTGAGCTTGGGGGATAGGAATGTGCAGAGGCCAGTGGGTGGACTTCCAGACCAATGAAAGCTGGGCTAAAGGGGGCAACAGCTGGCCAGAGGGTTCCAGAGATTCCTTTGACTACACATATGGCTGGTGAGTCTTGGGAAGCAAGACGACCGGCTAGTGCCATGAGGCAGATGTCCTCAGAGGGGCTGTCAGAGCTAATAAGGACCCTTTGGACAAATTTCACTAGAGTTGCAACTCAGAGTGTGTGTGTCATCAGGGCAGTGGGTGGAAGAGTGCTGTGTGAAAAGGCCATCCAGGAGCAGTGGCCTGTGGAGGGATTTGATGGACGGGTGAAGTCTGGCTGAACTGAGGGGCACATTTGGCCTCTCCCTTTGAGGGTCTCAAGTTTGGAGGCCGGCACAGATCCCATGGACTCACACAGGGTCCGTGCAGGGAGAGACAGAGAAAGATGCCAACTGGCACAGTTTCCCCATTTTACAGATGAGGAAACTGAGGCACACAGAGAGGAAACTACCCAAGTTCATCCAGCAAGGCAGAACTGGGAGTAGAACCTGGGTTCAGAGCTCCCAGTGAAGGGGCCAGATGGAGGGTAGGGTGGTGGTTCTGGAGGGCTCTGGGCTGAGGGAGGGTGGCAGGCCCTGGCCAATGAGGGTGTGACCTGTACCTGTCCTCCCCAGGGGCGCCCTCGCGCGACGTCCTGCTGGTCTCTGCCATCATCACCGTCAGCCTTAGCGTCACTGTCGTCCTCTGCGGCCTCTGCCACTGGTGTCAGCGCAAACTGGTGAGGCTCCTGAGGGCCCCTTGGAGGGTGGTGCCTAGCCCTGCACACTGCCCCCCCTCCCCACACACACACACAATTACAGGCTTGGGAATTTTCCCAAGGGTGCACACAGGTGACTCACCTGTCCGCATAGTCAGGGGCACTTCCATAGAAATTCAGACCGCGTGCATACGCATGCATGCATGCACACCCTGCGTTTACCCGGGTCTCAGCCCTATACTTCTGTTTATATACCCAAAGCCATGCATCTAGGGACACATTCGGGGACAGACTTAGGACTCACAGGCATTCGCACGCGAGCAGCTACACACACGCGCACACACACACACACGCCCTGCCTCCCGCATAAAGCACCGCAGGCACACACGCGCAGACTGAGAATAGAGCCCCCACTCTAAGCACCGCGCCCCCTCCCCTCTGCCCGCTCCCCTCCATGGGCGTGGCTGAGCCGGTGGCCAATGCGGAGGCGCCGCCCGCCCCACCCCCGCACATCCATCCTGGCTCTTGGGTTTGTACAAGCACAAACGGCTCCTTTTCATTTTTAACGAGGGCTGGGGAATTAACGAGCAGGATTAGTCCATCAATAAGTAAAGAGACCGTCAGGAGGGACATTCATCCCCTGAGGGCGCCGGTAGGGGGAGCGGGGCTGAGCCGCCCGCCCCGCATCGCGCCGCCCCGCCCAGCCCGCAGCCCACAGCTCCCCGAGCCGCTGCTCCGCAAGACCTCCACTCCCGTCCCCACTCCTGCCGCCCGGCCCAGAAGTGTGGTGGGACTTTGGGGGCAGCAGGGGGCGAGGGGGGCGACGGTGGGCCCGGGGGTGTCCGAGGTGCTACGCCTTTGGCGGAGTCAGGTGAAGGAGGGTCACTAGCAAGCATCCCCCATCTCCCCGGGCCGAGAATGGTGGGAGTGGGAGCAGGGCACCACCTCTGGGAACCCCATTCTCTTCCTGCGCAGCCAAAGGGGGGCCTTAAGGACAAGGGGGGAGCACTGTGGCTGTGGGCACTGGGTGGGTAGAGGCTTCATGCCCCACTCCTCTGGAGGAAGAAAAGGGGCAGATACCCCTGGGAAAAGGTTTTGGGGTCTTGTGAGAGACCTGCGGGAAAGACCTGAGAGTCCCAGAACCCAACATGCCTCCTTCAAGAAAGGCAAACTGAGGACTTGGGAGCATGCGGCTCCATCCTGGGTGTTGAACTTCAGGCAGCTCCGACCCCTGGGGAGGAGCCATAGTGGAGGCCAGCTCTGCTCCCTGTGCGAGTGTGTGTGCATGTGTGCAAGTGTGTGCATGACCCGATCCCCCTCTGCCTGCAGATGTGTGGAACCGGGCTGGCTGCCCTGCTTTGTTCCTGGGTCCCCTGTGTCTGCGTCTGTCTCAGAATTTCAGGAAAGGTGGTGGAGGAGGCTGGGCCATGTGCCTCTGTGTGTGAGTGTCCTCGGAGGCTGGGGGAGTGGCTGAGCGTACCTGCAGCCCGGAGCATCTTGTTGCAGGGCCCCTTAGGCTGTCTTGCTGTCTGTCTGGATTTGAAGGCTAGGGAAGAAGGCTGCATGAGCAGGCGCTGATGGCGACCTTGTGTGTGTGTTCCATGTGGAGTCTGTGCTGAATGTGTTGACTTTGAGGGTATTGGTGCACTGTGTGTGTGTGTCTGTGTGTGTGTGTCTGTCTGTCTGTCTGTGCGTGTCCGTTCACCCCTCAGTGGTGGGATGTGCATCAACTCATCAGATCCCTGTGTGAGTCAATGCTGGGGTCTGCCCCACCCTCCTGGCCTCCTCTGCATATGTGCTGCAGTGTGTGTGTGTGGGTGTGGGTGTGGGTGTGTGTGGTGAGAGATGACTTCCAGGACCCAGGTACAACTGTAACTGGTCTCCACCCCACCCCCATGCACCTCCAGTCAGGGGCAGGGCCTGGGGACAGGAGTTCAAAGACAACAGCTTTTGCAGCAGATGGGGGGCTGTCAGCACAGGAAGGACCTTGGGAGCTGAGAGATGCAGAAGCAGCCTCTTCCCTGGTCCCAGCCCCTCCCCACAATCCCCAGCCAGGAACCCTCCCAGGGTCCAGACCGCAGGCTGTCCCTCTTGACTTGCTGTGGATAGAATGCTACTCTCCCCAGTCCCCCAAGCCCTGCCACCCCCTCCCCTCCGCCTCAGGGGTTCCAGAAGCCAGGGAGCTCGTTGATCAGGCTGTCTCCTTGCTCCATGGAAGGGACTTTAAAACGCTGTCCCCTCCCCCAACACACACAGTTGTTGGGCTCTCCTTGCCTGCCTGTCCCCTCAGCAGCAGTGACGTGATACCCTGACAGCCCAGATCCCATTTCCAAACATTAATAACTTCCTTAATCTCCAGCTGGCTTTTTCCGGATCAGCCTGGCCACCCCTCCCTGAGAAGCAGGCTGGTGGTGTTGGGCTGCTTTGGAGCTGCCTAATGTCACCTGGACCCTGCCTGGTTTCCTGTTAACTTGGGTTGTCCCCCTGCCCTCCACATCAAGTCCTGGCCTGGTTCCTGTCCCCCATAGCACCTCGGCTCCTGCTGCAGAGCAATAGTCGAAGCCAGAGGGGAAGGTTCTCGGAGTTGGGGAAGGAGAAGGGGCAGACAGAGGCTCCCAGGATGTCTGTGGGGGCGCTGCTCGGAAAGGGCTGACCGTGCCCTTCCTGGCCTCGGGGAAGGGGCAGCGGCCCTGCCTTACGAGAGGGTGCTGGCCAGGGCAAGCTCTCCTGCCAAGCCAGAAAGAAGGAAGAGAAGGGCGAGGGGTGGCATGGGATGCCCTCAGCAGCCCCACTCTTGACCCACACTGCCTGTGTGCTGGAGAATAGTGGGGCGGGGCTCCTGCCTGAGGGTCCTGCCAAAGGGGGCCTGAGGTCACTGTGGCACAGCCGCATAGGATCTTCCCAGTTGGAACTGGGAATTGTTTGAGATTTGGACCTCTGGGTAGTGATGGGAGGGATCGGAGTTGGAGCTGTGAGTGGCAGCTTTTGTGAACCCAGGGTGTCCGGCATCTCTATATTTCAACTCTTAAAGTTCTGACTTAGAGGTCGCTGCTGGGGGCCCAGACTCCAGGGTGGGCGGGGCCATAGAAGGGACACTTCCAGGTGATGATTTCTGAGAACTGCCCAGTACCAGGTTCCACACTAAGTACCAGAAACCCACAGCCTTGCCTCTGTGGGAGCACGTGCCGGGAGATAGGAGCTGAAGTAAGTGAACAGAAATACTCATATATGTGATGAGAGCCTGGAGGGATGAGGAGTCTTCCTTCTAGGGGTTCATATGGCGACACCATTTCAGAAAGGAGGAAAGAGGCCAGAGAAGGGAAGACACTTGGCTAGGCTGACGGGGGAACATGCAGCATTGCTGGAGCCAAGCCCCAGGCAACCCTGAGGTGTAGGGCACTGCTGGTGGGATGAGGGAGCTTTGCTGCTGGTCTCCCTAGATAGGTGGCTCCCGTGCCTGGGAAGGGGCTGCCCCTGGCAGGAGCATCAGGGAGCATGGCTGTGACAGGAATCATGGCAGTGGCAGTGACAGCTCTTACTCTGCTTTAGAGAGGATGGAATAATTGACTGTTGTGGCTGTGGTGCTGGTGCACATGACAGGGTGTTGGGAAGCATTTGTGCGCGCACGTGTGTGTGCATGTGTGTGTGTGTGCATGTGTGTGTGTGTGTGTGCAGCCGGGGAGGGGCAGGCCAGTGCCCAGTGGGAGAATGGGCTGGGAGAGGCAGCCCCAAACCCCGCACAGCCCCTGTCCCCCGACTGCCCATATCAGCCCTGGACCTGGCCCAGGTCCGTGGCCCATGGGTGCGTGTGAGGACGCTTGGTGGCAGCCAGGAATGTTAATGGGGCTAGGCTCTGCATGAGCTAAATTTAGAAACCCAAACTGAGAAGGTGAATGGTGCTCACCTTCCCGGCAGCAGGCCCAGTTGCCGCTGTGGCCACGGCCCTTCCTTTAGCTGGAGGACCTGGGGTACCCACCCGCTGCCCTGCTCCCTCCCTCCCCCTGCTAGTGTGAGGGACTCTGGGGGGCAGGGGCCCAGGCTGCCTCCCCGCAACTGCCTCTGAGTCAGCGGGCAGTCTCTCTTCCTAAGACTGCCTTCCTAAAACAGCCTTGCTCCTGCCTTACAGCCCCAGGGCACAAGGACCCCCCAGAGAACCCCCAGACAGTGGTGGACACAGCCCCGAGCAGGACTGGGGACATGGCCTTCTCCCCGCCCCCACTGCTCACATCACTGGCCACTGCCAACCTTGCCCTGCAGGATGCCACCCCCACCATCTGGGGGCGGTGACGTGGACAGTGTGACGTGGCCAGGCGCCTGAGAGCCGTCTGTCCGTGGCAGAGGGAACTGTGTTTCTGGGAGCTAGGCCAGAGCCCCAGGAGATAGGCAGACAGGAGGGGCTGATCCCTGGGAGTCAGGGATGAGGTTCGGGTCGAGGTGGGTGGGGCAGGTCCTAGAGCCCGATGGGGCCCAGGAGCTGCCAACCGGGGAGCAGGCATCCAGGGGATTGGCCCCCACCGCGGTGACAGCCTCGCACACTGGTCCTGGCCTTGTTGCCACGGCCCGACTCCAGTCTATCTCCTTCCCCTCCGGGTCCCTGTTCTGGGGAGGTAGGGAGGGTACAGTCCTGTTCCCCAGGAGTGATCCTAGTGCTATCTCCACAGGGCAAACGCTACAAGAATTCCTTGGAGACGGTGGGCACGCCAGACTCAGGGCGTGGGCGCAGTGAGAAGAAGGCTATCAAGTAGGTGCCAGGCTGCTAGTTTGGGATGGGGCCACACAAGCAGCCCAGGTGGGAGGAGCCCCTTCTCTCCCCCAGCCCCACAGACCTGACCACACACTTTCACTTCCCCCACACCCCGATGCCATGCTCTCTACACCCTCCACACACCCCCAAAAACTCAGGGGCCCCGTCTTTTCTGCCTGTGCCCAAGCCCCTCGTAGTGCTCCGGAGTCCCTGGCCTCCGTTTCCGCTGCCCTCACCGCCAGCACCTTCTGCGCCCACCTCAACCCTGGTTGCCGCTTTCTCATCCCACCCTCCTATCACACACACTGTGCCCACCACCCGCCGGCTTCCCTGGACCTCCAAGCCCCTCTCATGGGGCCCCTGCTGCTAGGCCGGGGAGGCCCCTCCCTAGTGGGCCCCAGCTTCTTTTCTCAGATCCTGCCAGTGTTTGAGGATGACCTGGAAGTGGGGAGGCAGACACACCTGTGTCTGGGCCACTCGGGGAGCAGAGCGCTGGGGAGCAGTCCCTCCCTCCCCGTCAACCCCACCGGCCGCTGTGTGTCTGGCTGTCTCTGCCTCACCCAGGTCTCCTTGTTCTGCCGTAGAGCCCTCTTCAAGGAGTCTGCCCTCCCACTGCAGACCACCTTGGCCAGCCCTCTGCTGAGGTCACTGGGAGACACCAAGAGAAGTCCCCCACCCACCTGGCGGGGGACTCAGGCCACCTGGGCTCTGGAAATGGAGGCTTTTGCTGGGGGGGAGGCCTCTGTGCCCACTGGCCAGTGGCCCCAGCCCCTTCCTCTTTGCTGAGCCCAGAGGTCAAGGTAGGGGTGGTAACCCCACATCTCAGCCTGGCCTGGACCAAGCCTGCCAGCCAAAGGGCTCTGCCTAGAAGCCGAGCGCCCCATCCCTCCCTACCTCCACTCTTCCTCCCTCTGAAGGCCCAGCCACCCTCCCCCTGCCCTCTGGCCCCTGCCCGCTGCTGGTCTCCCCTGCCTTCCCCTGTGTGTCTTTCCCCTTCCGTTCCCTTCCCTTTCCTATTTCTCCACCTTCTCTTCTCCACTCCTCCCCCACCCTCCACCCCGCTCCTGAGGGCTCCCTCCCAGGTCCTCTTCTGCCCCATTTTATTCATCTCTTGCACTGATCCTGTTTGGGGCCTTGGTAGAAGCTGTGTGCATGTGTCTGGGGTGGGGCAAGAGGAGGCGTGGGCCAGGCTGAGGCTAGGGGAGGGCGGGAGGCTCAGGAGGAGGCTGTGGGAGACTTTGAAGCTAGGTTGGTTGCCCAGACTCCGGTCTTCAAAGCCAAGTGCTGGCAGGGCCCAGGGGCTCTTGCAGAGTGCAGGCCCGGGCTTTCTGAAGGCGAGGGAGCACGTGGGGGAGCGTGGCCAGCCCAGCACCTGTGCCTCCTCCAGGACAGGCCGTTTACAGCCGCGGGCCAGGGCTGGGGGCCTGCCTCTGCCAGGTGATCATAACCTTCCTGGATAGGGGTGCGTGTGGCAGGGCCCAGAGTCCTGGAAAGGGCCCACAAGAGGAGACAGGATTCCCAACCAGGGGGAGGGCGGGCAGCAGGCTGTGCCAGGCTGGGACCAGTGCCCATGAGGGCTCTCTAAGACAAAGTGAGGCAGCAGCGGCCGTCCAGCCTGCCTCTGTGTGGTCCTGCAGCCCCCGCACTCACAATCCTAGCCTGCCCCCGAAGCTGCTGAGTGGTCAGGCCCTCTGCCCCGAGGGACAGAAGCCACCGTGTGTGTCTGCATGCACCTAGGCCTTTGCTTCTTTCCAGAGAACAGAAAGGTCCCAAGTCAGTGGAGTCACAGGTGGCGGAGCCTCCTTCCTGCACAGCCCTTCATGGGCTTAGGACCCCCAACAGAGGATCGTCTTATCAAGGATTCTGGGAAACTGTGTTCTTTAGCAGTGCTTTCCAAACTGTGTTCGTCAGGGCCCTTGTGCCCCACAGATGAGTCATAGCTATTCCACGAACCAAGGGTCTCACGGCCAACTAAGTTTGGGGAACACTGCACACTCTGTC
Source organism: Homo sapiens (assembly GCF_000001405.40). Lineage (NCBI taxonomy): Eukaryota > Metazoa > Chordata > Mammalia > Primates > Hominidae > Homo > Homo sapiens. The sequence continues at coordinate 61,549,379 of NC_000011.10, read as the reverse complement.
TCCCTCTTGGCGATACTGATATTCATGGGCACGTTAAAGGCTCTGAGAAGTCCTGCGGTAAAGGAATCAGTGTTTCCCAAATTTCTTTAATCAAAGATCCTTTTTTCCAGTACCGCAGTGGAAAAACCTGAGAGACCCTGGAGCTCTTCAGAACACAGGGTGGGAGACAAGTCTGGCAGTGGTGACTCTGGGTGGATTTTTTTTCTGGGACCTCGGGCTGGATGGCCCTAGATTCTGGAGATCTGGAGGGAGCGGGAAAGAGAGGCTGCTACCTGCTCCATCTTTGTTATACCTGACGCAGGGAGGCCCCATCCATACCCTCGTGTGAGGCTCTGCTGGGAAGGGACATCTGTGGTGGGAAGGGGGTTTTCTGTCAAGGGATTAGGTTCCCCTGGGGCCTGTCCTGCCTCCTCCATACCCACCACTTACTGCCCCTGTGAGCTGGCTCTACGCTTTGGCTTTGAACCCTGTACACAGAGTCCCCTGTGAGACATTTCCAAGGTCTACTCTGGACAGAGAAATCTGTCTACAGCAGGGATGCCCAACGCCACCATCTCATCTGGGCCTATGGTGGCAGCTCAGCCTCTCTTCATCTTTCTCACTTTTGTGCCTGAGTCTGAGGTTGAGAACCAAGGTCAAGGTCAAATTCTAAATGGAGGAAAAAGCAGGTCCCGCAAGAACATGTTTGCTTGATCCTGGGGGGTGGGGTGTGCCCCCGCTGGCACCCTTCCCCACACTGCCCCACCTTGGCTTTGGGGAGCGGCACAGCCTCAGTCTTCCCCAGGCCCACCCCAGCGCTCTTCCTGGGGCCCCTTCCCTAGAAACATTCCCATGCCTGAAACATGGCTGCCTTCCAGAATAGTCACTGTCTCTATTCCCCCTGTACTCCCAGTCCTGCTTCTTGGGGTCCCAGTAGCCTGATGAGCTGGTGGCGCCCCTTGTCCTTGGCTCCCAGGGTTTCCAGGCCATGCCCTCCACCGGCCAAGGCTTCTGCCACCCACCCCACCTGCAAGTCCCCACGTTCTCAGGAGAAGGTGGAGAGTCCAGGGTGAGGGTCCCTTCCAGACCCAGCAGCTCCACCTTGGAAAGGGACAGGGACCCAGGGAGGGGCTGCACCAGCAGGCAGGCCAGGGACACACCCAGAGAAGGACAGGTTCCCGCTACACAGGCCCCAGAACAAAGGACCGAGGGGCCCCCTGGTTACCTTAGTGACATCCTCAGCAAGGTCAGAGGCCCAGGAATGCTCCCCTTTCAGGGGAGTGGGGTGACCCAGCTGCCACATTTGCAAGGAGTAGAGATGGTCTCCAGCTCAGCTGAGATCCCCCAGTCTTAGGTTAAGGCTGCAGCCCAGCCTCATGGAGTAGAAGAGAGAGCAGAGGAAGCCAGAGAGCCCCTCAGGCCAGTGGGAGGAGGAGGAGAAAGATGGGCAAGGGGCTGGGCCTGCCCCAGGAGGGCCTCAGTGGGGAGAAGGTGGAAGAGGAGAGAACCTTGAGTTCTCCAGTACTAGAGCTTTTATTCTGCAGTGAGAGAGTTGATAGTATAGCAGTTACAGCCAGTCTTCTCCTTTGACAGGCAGGGAAACTGAGGCCAGGAGAGGTAGGGCCCAGCAAGTTGGCACCTGGGCCTGATCTGCCTTTCAGCTCCATCTAGCCAGAAACCAGCACTCTCCTTCTCCCACTCCCCCTGCTCACCCCAGGCCTCATCCCCAACCCTTCTCCCCTCTGTCCCCCTCCTCTCATCATTTTCTCTCTCCCACCAGCTTCCCAGGTGCGAGGCTCCAGTCTGCCGCCTGCCGCTTGCCTCCTTTCTGTGTGGCTTCCCGGCCCTCGAGTGCGTGCGTGTGTGCATTGGTATGTTTGCACATGTGTGCGTGTGCGTGTATGCGTGCGTGTGCCAGGCACAGACTGCGGTGCCCGCCTGCCTTTCTTCCTCCCGCAGGAGCTGACCCACGAAGCCCCGCCCACTGTGTGCCCGGCCCCGGGGTCCTGGTCCCTTCTGCCCCCGCAGGACTTGCAGTTCTTGTTTCTTCTTGTATCTCCCTGTTTTCTCCCCTCTCTCTCTGCCCCTCCAGTGATCTAGACAGAGACTTTTGGAATAACAATGAGAGCACAGTGCAGCAGAAATGGAGCTCCTACCCTCCCAAGGAGTTTATTCTAAACATTTCACCCTACGCCCCTTATGGCGACCCACGACTGTCCCTCAAGTGAGTGACTTTACCTGGTTTGATCATATGTACCGAGTATCCGCGCACGCCCTCCTTCCCTCCTCCTGCCCCCACCCACCTCTGGACCCGCTCACTCCCTCTCTCCTCTCGCTCCTGTCCCCCAACTTCCCCACCCATCCACCCCATGGGCAGGCCGACCATGGAGACGAGCAACCCCACCTGCCCCAACCCACCTGCCTGCCCGCTCCCGTCCCCTCCCCCAGGGCCAGCCTTGCAGGAGAGCCCCCTCGGCAGCCATACCTGGCCCCCCCAGCTGGTCCCGGGGCCCACCCCACCTTCTGTGCAGTCAGGATGGGGTTGCCCGTTTGGGTCCCGCCCCCTCGGTTGTGGTCGCTTCTTCCTCCCCGCTGTGTGCTGCCGTGGCTGCTCGGTGGTCGGTGGTCGGTGGTCGGTGGTTCGTGGCGGTGGTGGCGGTGATGGTGGTGGTGGTGGTGATGAACTCTGACTAACACGGCTTTCTCTTTCTCCCTGCCTTGGGGCCTCCTGGCCTGGACAGCCCGCTCTTCCTCCGTCGTTAACCCTTCGTTGTCCTGTGGGATAGAGTTGGAGGTGGCTGCCCTCCCCCAACCCCCGCCGCCCCTGCCCCAGGCGGTGGGGAGGGGCCCCCCCTCCGTTGTCGTGGTGCGTTGTTCTCCGACCCCCAGCCCGCCCGGTCCCCCTCTCTCCTCTGCAGGCTCCGCTGTTAACCCATTTGCAGTGCTGATGTCTCTCTCTCTCTCTCTGTCTGTCTCATGTCCGTCTGTCTCTCTCCTCCTCCTCTCTCACTGTCTCTTTCTTCCTTTTATCTGTTATTGTTTTTCTTCCTCTTCCACCCCCCGACCCCCACGTATGGCCTGCCCTCTCTCCCCCACCGCCACCCCCGGTGCCCCTCTGGCCTGGCTGCCTCGTGCATGCCTCCAGTGGCACCCTCCTGTCGGGCGCCAAAGTGGCCGCCGCGGCGGGGCTGGCGGTGGAGCGGGAAGGCCGGCTGGGGGAGAAGCCGGCACCGGTGCCGCCACCCGGAGAGGACGCCTTGAGAAGCGGCGGGGCTGCCCCCAGCGAGCCGGGCAGCGGTGGCAAGGCGGGGAGAGGCCGCTGGCGGACGGTGCAGAGCCACCTGGCCGCAGGGAAGCTCAACTTGTCCAAGTGAGTGATGGCGCCCCATGGCTGCCGGAGCCATGAGCTCAGGCCTGCCCTGCCAGGGTGGACAGCGGGACCCCTGGCATGCCCGCTGCTGCCCCCAGAGGTGCCGTCCTCGGCCCCTGGCTCATTCCATCCCTTCATGAGACTCTCCCATCATCCTTGCCATCTGGCACGACGAACTCAGCCATACAGTGATGCATTTCAGCCTCTGGCTGATGCCCCATCAGTCCCTTCCTTTGCCAGTGACCAGGTCATTCCATTTTCTGCCCCCAGGGCAGCTTCATTTCAGTCCCTGGGTCATCCCATCCTCTTTGATTGGCCCCCCCATCTCAGCCACCAGGTCATCCCTCCATGGGCAGCAGGCCTGTGGTTGTTCCATCTCATCCTGGGTATCTGGCCCACTCTCAGCCTGACAATCACCCATCAGCTCCCAGGCTTTCCCTCTTACAGCCAGCAGATGGCTCTAGACCCAGAAGTTGAGCCATTCCATTTTTGACCATCGGGTGACTCCATTGGCTGTCCCAGTCTTGCTTGAACCATACATCATCTGTTGTGGAAGCCACTCACGAGCAGCCGCAGGCTGCCCCATCGGTTCATCCTCATCTCAGCCATCCCCGTTGGCTGTCCCAGTCTTGGTCACCGAGCTATCCCACCACTGGCTGTTGGGACCGTGTATTCCTGGAGGTTGGGTTGTCAAACCCCAGCTAGCTTCACTTGCCAGATGTCATGGGGTGTTCTAGACATCAGGCAGAAGGAGCCGTCCCCTCTGTAATAGCTGTCTGAGCTTGTCGAACAGTCAGGCCCACTCTTGGCTGATGGACGTAGGATTGGCCCCTGTTTTCCACAGACAGTATATCCCCTCTCATGGGGCAGCTTTATTCTCATCTTGGCCTTTGGAAACTTCTGATTCCCCTCATCAGAGCCCTTCTAGGCCCTGAGTCCTTTGAGCTGTGACCAGTCTCCCTTGGGGTATAAATTCCATTTTCAGAAGTTGGAACTCCCAGCTAATGGAGCAGCCTCCCATTTAACAGGCCAACAGCCCTGCCCCTTCCTAGCTGTTGGGCCATCCTGTTGCCTCAACTGAGGGTCCTCCTGATTCTCTTCAGAAGACCTGTGGTTCCTGCCATTGGGAGCACCGAAGGCCACCGTACCAAGATCTCTTTCGCTAGTTGGCTTGAGTGCACACAAGCCAATTTCTCCCAACATCTGGCCCCAGGAGGGTCCCACAGGGAAGCCACACACCCCTTCAGAGAGCCCGGCCCAGTGCCCCACCCTCCCAGCCTGCCCCGGCCAGTCTCCAGGCCGGTTAGGCCTCCATGCCATCCACTGGCTCCAGGCCTGGAGGAACCAATTTTAGTTTCCTGTGACTGAGAGGTTGTAAATTGGACTAATTTTGGATGTGATAGGAAACCAAAATGAGGTCACCAAGGAGGGGGAGGAGGCAGCTGCCAATGTGCCGCCCTCCCTCTGCCTTGACCTGCCCCCAGGGAGCTGTGGGCCTACCTGGCCGGCCAGGCCTGGGCCGGCCCCTGGAGGTAGCCTGGATTTCAGGCCTGAGTTAGGCAAGGCTGCCACCCCTCCAAGACCCCAGCTAAAGCTACGTTTTGCTTTCTTCTCTTTCTTTCCCTCTCTCTTTACTATACTCTTTCTCTCCCTCTTTCACTCTCTCTTTTTCTTTCTCTCTCTCAGCCCACAGGGGTAGCCTAACTGTTGTCTTTTGGTTCCCAGGGTAGGCTCAGAGGGTGAGCAAAGCTGAGGTCTGGTTGCGGTGGTGAAGGTGGCTCCCAAGGGCTCTGGGGCCTCCTCCCTTGGGCAGCCCAGGGGATACTTGGCTGCCCCATGGCCCTAGACCAGAGGTCAGCAAAGTTACTCAGTAAAAGGCCACTTGGGAAATATTTAGGCTTTATAAGCCATATACTCTCTTGCACAATGACTCAACCCTGCCATTGTGGAATGAAAGCAGCCAGAGTCACTATGTAAACTAATGCCAATGGCTTGGTTCCAATAAAACTTTATTTACAGAGACAAGCAGCAGGCTAGATGTGGCCCACAGGCAATGGCTTCCCAACCCCTCCCCAAGACCACTGGATTGAGAGGTGGAGGGAAGGGACAGAGGAGGAGAAGATTGGAACCCCTGAAGTTCCAAGATGAGAAATGATTCACCCAAAGCTGCTCATTCAGCCCAGTCTCTGGCTCCGCTCTGGTGCCTGGGGGCAGCCTGGCTCTGGCCCTGCCTGTGGGATATGGTGAAATCTCCAGCCAGCGCATGAAGCAGACAGGTTCTCCAGGGGAGGCCAGGGACTTCTGACTCCAACCACTGGCATGGGGAGCTTTTACCAATACAGCATTTTCAACACAGCCCAACCTCATTAGATCCTCATGGCAATTCTGTGACAGAGGAAGCTCGGGGATTATTTTATTACTCCCATTTCATAGATGAAGAAACTGAGGCCCAGAGAGGTGGAGTCACTTTTCCAGAGTCCCATATTTAGTAAGTGGCAGAGGTGGGGTTTGAACCCAGGTCTCTCTGAGGCTATACTGCATCTGACCAGCCATGTCCTAGTTCCTCTCTGTCCTTGCCCCACTTCCCAGTGCATTTCAGAGATTACTGATGGGCCTTTGGGAGAGCATCCCCTTGCAGATGCATCAAAGACAGTCACCCTGTTCTCTGTTAGAACTGCGGTGAAGTGTCGGATGAGGGGATACTGGGTTCCACCCTGTGTGCACTCTTTCTTGGTCCAGTCCTCTGACTGGGAGATATTTCCAAGGTCCCAGGAGAGGATGCTGGACCTTGGAAACAAAGAACCCTGAAAAGAGGGCAAAGATCCACGCCAGACCCTGAATTCTAAGGCTGTGCTGGCCACAGGGTGGAGGTCTGCCGCTTCCTTGCCTCTGTGGACAAAGTATAAGAACTGATGGCTTCCCCGGCCTCCCCAGGATTACTAGGCCAGCTCTGCACTGGCCTGGATTTCTTCCTGTCTCCAAAGGATGCCAGTACTTAGAACACAGAGGCAGACTTTCCTGGTGTCCCCCAGCGAAATAGCGGGAGGGGCCACAGCAGCTCCCTCTACCCCTCCCACTCCAACATGACAGGCAGCTGCAGGGCCCAGGGGACCTGCCTTCACCACGCAGCCTCAGCAGCACTCGCAGCCCACTCAGACCGGCAGGGAGGTCGGCCTAGCCAGGAGGTATTCTGGCACTAGCTGAGCCAGGGCCAGAAGGTGGGTGGGCAGAGCCGGCCTGGGGCCTCAGGGTGGGCGCGAGGGCTTTGCAGCCTCCTGGGCGAGGCAGTGGCGGCGACGGCGGTGGCGACAGCTCCGATGGAGGCCTGGCGAGGTCCGGCAGCGCGCACCCTGCACTGGGGCCTCCTAGTCCTGGCCCTCGGCTTCTTTCTCTTCCACTGTGATCCCTTCATCTGCTTCTCCTTTCTCTCCTCTCCTCCACCTGCCCCAAGTTTCGAGGACTCCACCCTGTCCACGGCCACTACCCTTGAGTCTATCCCCAGCTCCACGGGAGAGCCGAAATGCCAGCGACCCCGCACCCTGATGCGGCAGCAGAGCCTGCAACAGCCGCTGAGCCAGCACCAGCGGGGCCGGCAGCCCAGCCAGCCCACCACCAGCCAGAGCCTGGGCCAGCTGCAGGCCCACATGGCCTCGGCACCAGGCCCCAACCCCCGGGCCTATGGCCGGGGCCAGGCTCGGCAGGGCACCTCGGCCGGCTCCAAGTACCGGGCGGCAGGGGGCCGCAGCCGCTCCAACCCAGGCAGCTGGGACCACGTGGTGGGGCAGATTCGAAACCGAGGCTTGGACATGAAATCCTTCCTGTAAGTCCTCCCCTTGAGCGGGCCGGCCCCCACCTCCCTGACCCAGCCTCCTGCCCCCCAGATCTCCTTGGGAGCAGCTGGTTGTGTGTACCTCCCGGCCCTCCATCCCCTTGGCAGGGTGCCAAGCAGACTTGGCAGCCCCCTCCTTAGCCTCTTGTGGCTCCTGCCTGAAGGCCACCACGGAAGAATTCTCAGCCACCTCCCTATGAGGACCCCTGCCCCTCAGTGCTCTAGGGCTCAGGGAAGTTCCCCCTAAAAGGTGGAGACACTGGACAATGCCCTGAGATACATCTCTTCTCCCCAGCTAGTCCCAGGCTGCTCTTGGCCTCTTGGCCAGTCTTCCTTCACTCCTGCGACCTCTCTCCTCCCCCTTCTGCTCCAAAACCCATCCCTTTTACTCATCTCCAGCCCTGCCTCCTCCCCTGCAATTTACTTCTCCCCTGTAACCCGACTCTGCTAGCCTTCTTGGCCCACACCCCTCCCTCCCTCCCTCTCACTTCCTCTATCCCTGTCCCTGCCACCAGCCCTCCCCCATCTCTCTGACCTTCTATAGCCACCTGTCCTCCAGCTCCCGCCCTGACTTCCCAAGTCTCCTTCCTCCAGTAATGACCCATCCCCTGAGGACAAATCTGAGATGTTGCCCCAAAGCTTTAGAAAAGGTTGTTTCTAAATTGGAGCTTTCTTTCAAGTATATAGGTCTAAGAAGTAACAACACACCATCAGTGTCTAACCTTAACCATTCCCACCAGCCATTCGCCCACCCCCTGCTCTCCCTGGAGGGGCCCCACCCAGGAAGCCCCCTCCCCAGCATCTCTCTGGACATCTGCCCCCCACTCTCAGAGCCTAAGACAGGTCTGGGCTGCCATCCCCAACATCACCCCCCTCCTTTGCCCTAACGTGAGCTTCCTTCCAGGCCCTGGGGATTGTTCCCATCGCCCAGGTCTTCCCTGGGAGCACTTTTCACGGAGCAGGAGACCAGCACACTAAGCCTGGGCGAGGAGAAAGGGAGGAGGAAAGGGAAGCATTGGCAAGATATAGGGATTCTGAAGGCAAGCAAGTTCCTCGGAGCATCCTGTCTCTCCTCTGAGACCTCAGCCAGGGCTTCCCGGGCAGATGGGAGCACTGCCCTGGGAGAGACACCCCACCCGAAGAGGCCCTGCCATGCCAGCTTCCCATACCCGTGCGAGTGGCCCATGGCCAGCAAGACATGCTGCCTGTGACTCTTTGGCAAATCAGGACACCATATTCTCTGGGGCTCTACCCCACTCAAGGACCTGCAGGAATCTAACTGGACGCCTGCACAAGATGAGATGCCCAGAAGAGCCTCCGGTCTTCCAGGTGGCGGTTTGTTTTGGGACAGAGGCTGTGATCCAGGCGTGGATCTTGGAGAGTCGAGGGAATTGGGTCTGCGTGGCTTGAACAGGACTGAGAGCCTGCTGGGCCCCTGCACGTCCTTGCTCCTCCCCACCTCAGACTGTCTTATCACAGCTGTCACCCTACTTCCTGTTCCAGCAGCCATTAAACTGGGCCAGGGGCCTGCCAGGAACCCGGGTACCATCTCTTCCCTGCCTGCTGCCTTCTCAACTAACTGGGATTCGTCCAGCATCATGCATGCAACAGCATCCTCTGTCCCTGCTCTGTGCCCCAGGACAAGTCTCATGTCCCCCTAGTTGCTGGCAACCTCCAGAGCTCACCTCAAGGGTCGGCCAACTTTTCCTAGAAAGGTCCAGATAATAATTTAGGCTTTGCAAGAGGCATGTGATCATCACATATTCTTTTTTTCTTTAAAACAACCCTCTAAAAATGTAAAAACCACTCTTAGCTCGTGGGCCGTAATTTGCCCCTTGCTTTACAATTTAGCTGCCCTGTTTCTGAGGCTCTTTACTTGCCCAAACGCTGGTGGCTCCAGTAGAGAGGCAGGTGGCGAGGGTTGTCCCGACGCCCCATGATCCCACCCACCCCTTGCAGGGAGGGCAGCAGCCCTCTGCTTGATGGTCGTGACTCCCCTAACATTGCCAGCCTCTCCCTCCACTCTCCAGCCCGTGCCCCTCATCCTAACCCTCGCGTCCTGCAGAGCTGGAGAGAGTGACGAATCGGGAATTTATGCAGAGGAGCTGTTCTGGTTTTAAGAAGAGAAAAAGGAATATCTGAAAAATGCATTAACTGGGGAAAAAACATGTTGTTTTCACTGAGTTTGCCTTCCCCCAGCACAACTAGCTCCCGAGCAGCCAAATGGAATTTTACCAACTCTGAAACAGTACCGGTGGGCAGAAAACAAAGAAAAGGAGGATTCGTCCTGAGGGAGGGTATAGAGTTGTTTCCCGAAAGTTAGATCCCAGCACAAGGGTCAGCCTGGAGTAACTGTGCCCAGGACCAAAGACGCAAAGACAGGGAGGGGCACAGCAGCCACTTAGCTCCCTCCGTTCACTGAGACCCCAGAGGTAATGTCCCATTTTCCAAGACCCTCGTGCCCTCGCCCCTCACCTCAGAGGCTATTTCTCGCCTGTTTGTTCCCTGTTTGACAACTGCTCTGAGAAGTTAGAGCAAGCTCTTCCTCTGTAAACCTCGCCTCCCTTCACAGTGGTTGAAGTGGTAGACTTCCTGACCCAGCATCCTCTCCCTTCCAGAATATTCCGTCAGCCCTACTGTCTTCCCTTTGGCCCTTCTTGAGACGAGCTTTCCTGCCTGGCCTGTCCAAGAACCCCTCCCTCTCCTTTTGTTCTGATGAGAGGCCCAACGCTGGAGAAGCTCCACAAAGCACCCAGAAAACGCTCGCGGACTCTGATGGTCTTCAGGGACAGCAGGGTCGCCAATGATTCTCCCTTCTCCCCCCCTGGCAAATGCGGGTAACCTCGCAAAGACCCTGGCAAGTTGCCCGATGGTTCTCTGAGAATGCCCCCTACTAAAGGTGTCACACCTGGCCTCATACGGCTGCCCACATGTCCACTCCAAGAGAGTCTCGCCTTCTTGCCTACCCCCTCCCCGTTCAGCCTTGACTGTGCTCCCTCAAAGCACGATCTCTCACTGCAGGCACAGGCTCCCTGCAGTCCTGCCAAAACTTCTCCAGACCTTGCCAAGTTCCTGCACTTTCTCGCCGCCTTGGCTTGTGGTGCCTTCTGGACCTCTTCTCCAATGAAAGGCCCTTGACCTGGACTCAGCGGTGGTGCTCATTCCCTGGATCTCCAGCAAGGAGGACACAGGAGACAGCCACTATGGCCGAGTTGCCATATACCACAAAGGACTTTCATTCTCCTCTGATGGGCTTGTATATCCAGGAGCCAAGGGGAGGTAGCTCCTTAGACCCTACCTGGCTTCAAGGACATCTGGTTGACCATGACACAGCGTTGTCTATGAAGGGCTTCCATAAGGACAGGGTGCAGCGCCCACTGGATTTCGAAACTTTCAAAGCCTGCGCGGTGCCGGTGCAGGATAGTGACGGAGCCCCTCCCTCTTCTCCCAGTGGCCCAGATGGTCAGAGCGAGTCCAGCTGGGCATGCATTAGCAGTTGGAAATCTGTGGGGTCCCAGGGCCTGTGCTCCATTCCCCCCACCCTATCCCCCGTGTTCCCTTGGGACTGTCCCAGCCACAGGCCACCTCTGCAGGCCTCTGCCCAGCCCCTTGCAGTTTAGCTCTGGAGAATCTTGCTCTTGGCTCAGACCAGTGGAGTCTCAGGCCGTAGTCAACTCCCCTCCCTCCCTGCCTCCACTCTCCCCACTCTATCCTGCAACTGTTGACACTGCTGAAGTTTGTTTTCTTTCCTGCAGGGCCAGTTTCTTACACTTTTTTCTTCTCTCTCTTTGTCTCTGTCTCTCTCTCTCTCTTTCTCTCTCTCTCTCTCTCTCTCTCTCTCTCTCTCTCTCTCTCCCTCTCTCTCCTTCCCCCCTGCCCCCGCCCACGGGGCCTCCTCGTTTCACCCTGGCCTGTGGGCTGCCCTCCCCGGGCAGGGAAGGCCGGATGGTGGTGCTATCCTTGGTCTTAGGGCTTTCGGAACAGGATGACTTTGCCAATATCCCTGACCTGCAAAACCCAGGAACCCAGCAGAACCAGAACGCTCAGGGGGACAAGAGGTACGAGCACAGGCGAGGGCCTGCGGCGGCGGCGGCAGAGAAGGAGGCGCGGAGAGGCCGCCTGCCTCGACCGGCCCCGGCTGCTGGACGAGGTGGTGGTGCCTTCAGCGGATGCTGGAGCGGAAGGACAAGCCCCCTCCCCAGCCGGTGCCCTCACGCACTGCCACCTCGGTGGTGTCCCTGGGGTCTGAGGCCACTTGCGGCCATCCTGGGACCATTCTGGATCAGGCCTGCTCTCTGGCATGCTTGCCCCGGCCCGGAGCAAGCGCAGCCTTTTCTGCCCCATCTTCCTGCTTGGCTCCTCTCTGCTGCCCCTCCATCTTTCATCTCTGTCCCCACCCCAACTGGAAATCCCTGTTTCTCTGGTGGTTGGTGGGCGGGGGGGATGTAAGGGAAGGGGCGCCAGCCCGTTCTCCCTCATCCCCACCCCCTCAACCTCCCTCTTGCCTGGAGGTCCTGTTGGGCTGCTTGGCTGATGGAAGAGGAGCCCATGGTGGGAGGGTCTGGGGCATGGGAGAGGCCTGGTGACCAGAAATAACCAGAAGGCTCTCCCCTGAGCCCGGGCACCAGGAGGGAGCTGGGGAGGGCCCGGAGCGGTGCAGGCAGCCGTCCTGAGCAAGGGTGAGGCCTGGCTTTGTTGGGCTCCTTTTCACTGCGGCTGGCCTCGGGACCCTGTGGAGACTGGGCATAGCCTGTGTGGCCACAGCACAGGCCAAGCAGAAGGCTGGTCACTTAAACTGCCACAGCCTCAGCTATCAGGAATTCAGGGAAGCATCTCCTACTGTCTCCGTCTCAGGGAGGGGGTGGGGCGCTGCTCATGGGCAAGGGGTAGGGTGGGAGGTCCCAGGGTTCAGGCGGCATCCCACAGCTGGGGCCAGTGGATGCCTGACCTTAGGTTGGGTTGACCACACCTGTGGTTTCCAGGATGAATTAGCCTTTGGGAATCATGGGAGGAGGGCTTGTCACCTTGATTGGGTCTGCTTCCCATCAGACCAAAGGCCTGCAAGGGAGCATGGGGCCTGGCAGCCCAGACATCTGCCTTCCAGCTCTGGTTCTGCCAGAGCCTCATTCTGCAGCCTTGGGCAAGTCACAGCCCCTCTCTGGGTTCTCTGCTCACTTATCTGTCCAGTGAAGGATTGGACAGGCTAACCTCTAAGGAATGGCCCCTCAGGCTCGGATATGCTAAGCTTTTCATGAGGGAAACAGGCCTTTGGGCTGGGGCATGTGTCCTGTGAACTGGGCAGGGACTGTTTGGACAGGCCATCCTGAGGCTCTTGAGAGGCCCCTAGGGGCCAGAAGGGACTGTCCCAGGCTGCTGCCCTGGGCTTGTGGGCTAGGGAGGATGGATAGGCTGAGAGGCAAGATGGCTGGCTTGCCTGTCCCTCTGGTGGCTCCTGGAGACCACCCCTCCCAGTTTCTTCCCATCCCGAGTCCACAGTTGCATGGTCTGTGGTGGGCAAGGCTGAAAGTCCCCAGAGAGTGGGGTCAGGTCTTTCACTGAGTGGCACAAATGCTGTCAGGCGCTGAGCCCATGTGCAGGGGTACTGGAGGAGCGGAGTCTGCCACCCCTGACCCACCTGGGCACTACAGGAGCTGTGACTTCCTGAGCCAGGATCTCAAGGCTGGGCTGCAGGGCAGTCAGAGGGCCACTGGGAGGGCCGGGGGCCAGGGGCGAGAAGGCACACAGGGGGTGGCTGGCGTCCTCTGAACGCCCACTAAGAAGCTGAGACTGGTGCTGGGAAAGGTGTGAAGCGTGAGGGAGCAGAAGCAGGCTGGAAACGAGATTTCACATCACCCATGTGTTAATGAACCGGCTCCATTGTCACCCACAGTCTATTTTTACCTCCTTGCCACTTAGGTCTCACTCCATGTTTAACACACCCATCCCTTCTGATCTTCACATCAGCTTGTCCCCTGCCTTCCTGGGAAAGGCGGGTGTGGGGGTGGAGGCCGCGTGCCCTCGCCACCACCCAGCCTGACTTTCCGAGTGGACCGTGCCATTCCCACCTCGTCATGCCCACCCATCCTGGAAACATTTCTCATGGCCACTGGGGTGCTTCTCGGGTGGTGGGCTGCCACAGGGGTCCAGAATCCAATGCTTCCTTCCCAGCAGACTCTCCCCTTCCCAAAGCTTGGCACCAGCACCACCCACTGGGCACCTGGCAGCTTAGGGCCCCACCCCTCTGAGCTCCTGGACCCTCAGAACTTGGAGTGGTGGCCTTGGAGCGGCTGTCCCTCCCTCTTCAGCCTTTCCTTCTAGACCCAGGGTCTGCCCTTCTGCCCCCAGCCCCACCTTTCCCTCCCCAGCTGACCCCTTGACCAGATGTCTCTGGAGGAAGGGGTGGTGGCCCTTGGCTGTCACCGGGGAGGACACTCAGCCCCCTTGGTCTGTGAGCAGCAGGCTCATGGGAGACAGCGTCCCGGGAGGAGGAGTGGCCATTCCAGGTTCCAAGCAGCGTGGGAGTGTGTCCAACAAGCAGCGGGAGATGGGAGGGCCAGTCACTGCCTCTGTCCCCACGATTCTTGGTGTCCCTGAAGTCCCCCATCTGGGATCCTTCAGCTCCTGGGCCTCGGCACCACACTTCAGACTGCGCTCCCGGGAGGGAGGGAGGCCCTGGCTCCACGCCCTGCTGCGCCCATTCCACCCTCAGCCACTCTGCTCGTGTCCACCCCCTCATGCTGTCTGCCATCGTTTCACCACTGCTCTTTGGGATCCAAATGGTTTCCACCGCGGCCCACCCCCACCCCAAGTGGGGGACAGGGCAAGGCGGGGACCAGGCCACCCCCATTGCTCTCCCTACTCTGAAGCCACCATGTTCCTCTGTCACGGTGTGTGTCCCCCGCCTCCTCTCTGCCTCTCCTGTTGGCCGCACGCTCCTCCCTGTCCCCTCGTCCACCCGGCAGCCTTCGCCCGTCTCTGACTAACTTTCTTGGCCTCTCTCTCCTTCTGTCTCCTTTCTCCCATCTGCTCCTCACAGGGCTGCCCTGGGCCGGTGATGGGCCCCTCGGCCTCTCCCTCTGCCTCTCTCTGTGCCTCTCACCTCTGTCTCTCTGTCCTGTGACCTCCGACAGCTTCAGTGGCGCTGACTATCTTTCCCAGGCTGCTTGGCAGCTGTGCCGACGCTGCAGCGTGGCCAAATAACTCTAACGTTCTCATATCTTCAGCAGTCAATCTCACACTCTCCCTGCTCTTCCACTCTGTTTCTAACCTGACTTTACCTCTCCAGCTGTTTCGGGCTCCTTTCCTTCCCCCTGCCTGCCCGTGTGAGCACGTGTCCTCTCGTGTGTGTGTGTGTGTGTATGTGGTGCGTGCGTGTCCACATGTCCATGTGTGCCATGGCCCTCTGGGAGGGGCGCCCGCGTGTCGCTGGGTGGAGTGGGCGTTTCCGTGTTGTAGAGGCAGGGCCAGGTTGTCACAGCAGGTGTATCGTGCTTCTGATAATCAGGATGTTGGGCCCTGAAACCACTCCCTGCCCTTTCCGTTTCAGTTTGTCTCCCTTCACGTGCACACGTGGCATGCCTGGGTCTCCCCAGTGCATCTCCTCTCGGGATCCCTGCGTGCCATCGCTGTATGTGTGTCGTCACTGCTGCTGTGGTTGGCCTGACTGTGGCCTCTGCCATCCTCTCCCTGCCCCTCTGGATGTCTGTGGGGCTCATGTGCATGTGTGTGTGTACATATGCACGCACGTGCGTGTGTGCGTGCGTGTGCGTGTGTGTATGCGCATGTGTGCGTGCGTGTGTACATGTGTGTGCATGCATGTGCGTGTGTGTGTGCGCACGTGCACCCTGCTTTGGGATCCTGATGTCTCCCCTCCAGGGCCTGGCATATTCCATGCATGTCTGTCTGTGCCTGTCGTGGTCACCTGTGTGCTGGAGGCTGGTCTCTACCAGAGGGCCATGGCTCATGTCCACCCTCAGCGTGTGGCTCCCAGTTTGTGGCTGTGTGCTCTCAAAGCTGTTCTATTTTAGCCTGTCCTGAGCCTCATGCTACTGGTCCCCCGTCTCCTCCTCCCTACCTACCCCTACCTCTCTTCCTCCTCATGGGACATTCCATCCTGGTCCCTGGGCAGGCTTTTAGTGCCCCCTTCCTGACCCCCAGCTGAACGGAGCCTGGGCTCACCACCCAGCCATTGGGTCAAAGAACCCAGCATCCTGGGAACGGCATGGAGTCAGGTACAGACAGGGCTTCTCGGTGGTGCCCGTCTTTCTGTGACCCTGGGTGAGAGCCTTACCAAATGCACAGTCTTCAGCAAGTGGGAGAAGGATGGGAACTGAGGAGCAAGGGGGTGTAGGCTCACCCTATCCAATATGGGGCCATTAAACTAAATGAGCTTACATTCAACAAAATTAAAATTTCAGCTCTCAGCCACACTGGCCACATTGCAAATGCTCAAGTGCACACGTGTGGCATGTGGCTGCTCCACTGGACAGCACAAATACAGAACACTCTGTCACTGTGGAGAGTTGTCCTGACCTCACCTGGTCAGTCTCACGTCTGGAGGGTGGGAAGAGAACTCTTGATGAGCCCAAGCAAACACAGGTGGGGCATCTGGGAAACAGACATTCTGGGCGTGTTTGCAGAGGGTAATGACGCGGAGAGGCACCTGGACACACCACACCACGGTGGAGCCTCCCCCTTCCAGGCTGGGGGCGGATGGGATAGAACAAGCCTCTGAGGACTGGGGGCAGTGGCCACCTCAGAGACCGACTATGCAAGCCAATGACTGGAGGGTGGGGGGTTTCTGGGGAACAGGAAGAATGGGGACACCCCCCAAAATATCCCCTATAGGAGTAGTTAAGCCACAGTCGCCTGGGGTAGAGGCTGCAAGGAGAATGGGCCCCGGGCATGGGTCTCCAGGGAAAACCAGGTGTCCACGTGGACTGGAGTACCGCTCCTGCCGGCCCGCCGGGCATGGCAGCTGCTGGGGTCTTCAGAGAAGGTCCTGCCACCCCCCAGGCCGGGGTGCCCAACGCAGCTCACTTCCCAGCCCAATCTCATTTGGACTCCCCTGCCCTCAGGTTGCCTGCAGGAGGGAAGGCGGTGAACACAGCCCCCGTGCCAGGCCAGACACCCCACGATGAGTCCGACCGCCGGACCGAGCCACGTTCCTCCGTCTCAGACCTCGTCAACTCCCTCACCAGCGAGATGCTCATGGTGAGAATGAGGGAGCCTGCGCTGCTCCAAGGAACTGGGCTGGGAGGCCAGGGGCAGGAAGAAGAGGGATGTGTGTGGGAATGATTAACAGCATGGGAGTGGCCAGGCAGGGAACTGGGTCAGAAGCAGCCTGGAGAGCCAGGCCCAGCATGGTGGCCACTCGGCGCTTGGTGACTGAGCGTCCAAGGCCTGGGTTTGCTTCCCAGCTCTTTCACCAAAATATCTTCTCCATGTCTCAGTTTCTTCCTTTGACAAGTGAAAATAAGAATACCCATCCTGCTTGGATCCCTTTGTGGATTGAGAAGGGGCCAAAGAAAACCCACTCATGCAAGATACTTTCAGGATCCTAGAGGGAAAGGCTGGTGGGCAGAGGACTCAGGGCAGAAGATGTCCCCTCCTGAGAGTGATGTCCCCTTAATTGGAGGTCTGGGGTAGAATGCCTAGCCCAGTGACCTGCCCCATTCCCATGGCTGGTGGCCCCTGAGAACAGGAGAGCAGGAATCCACTGGTCCCGGCTCCTCTGAGGGGACAGCTGTGATGGGGGCTCCTGTCCACACCCACGCCCCACCAGATGCCACCAACCCTGTGGGATCCTAGTTCTAGGTTGTTTGGCCCAGACAGAGGTTGTGGTTCCCATGGTGCCCCCAGGGGGGCAGCAGTGAGTCACAGCCACTTGCCCCACCTGTACTTTCCAAAGAGGCCCTGGAGGGAGAAAACTGGGGATTAGCTCAGAAGTCTCAGGAAGGCTTGAAGAGGCGATGAGGCTGGGAACCCAGCACCTGCTCTGTTCCTACTGGACTTGACCTGGGACACTTCATCTCCTTGGATTCAACCCCTCCCTTCTGTAGAGAGAAAGAAGTAGGCTTGGGAGCTCCCAGCCCTCCCCTACTGCCCTGGCACCAGAGCCCCCACCCTTCTGCCATGTAGGGTTCCAGCCAGCTCTAACCATCCATCCCCACTGCCCCTTCTAGCCTGGCGTTTCTCAAATTGCTACGTGCACAGGAATCAGCCGGGAACCTTGGTAAAATGCAGATTCCTGGTCAATGGGCCTTCGGTGGGGCCTAAGAGCCTGCTTTTTTTTTTTTTTTTTTTTTTTTGAGACAGAATCACTCTGTCCCCCAGGCTGGAGTGCAGTGGCACAATCTCAACTCACTGCAACATCTGCCTCCCGAGCTCAAGTGATTCTCCTCCCTCAGCCTCCCGAGTAGCTGGGATTACAGTAGTACACCACCACGCCCGGCTAATTTTTCTATTTTTAGTAGAGACGGGGTTTCACCATGTTGGCCAGGCCAGTCTCAAACTCTTAGCCTCAAGTGATCCACCTGCCTCGGCCTCCCAAAGTGCTGTGATTACAGGCATGAGCCACTGCGCCCGGTCTATCCTGTGGTTTTCTTGAATCCACATTAGAGCATCAGATTTTCCACATCCTAGATCTGGTCACCTTGGGCCTCCCCACCTCTCCCCTTCTCCCTGCCCACCAGGCCCCTGTGTGTCTGGCCCTCCACTGCCCTCCTTCCATCTTCCCCCCCCCAGGAAGACTGGCCCCAGCTGTCTTCTCTTCTGGATGGGCCATTGCCACAGCCCACCCTGCCTCCCTGCACAGCCCCTTAATTGGTTACAGCTTCCTGGCAGCCAGGTTCCCAGAAGGGACAGCCCCTTCCCAGCCAGCTTGCCTGCCCCTTGCTGCCCCCAGGGAAGGGCCGACAGCTGCAGCCAGCGGAAGGAAGGGCAGGCCTCATCTCCCTCTCCTGTGCTGGGAGGATGCTCAGAGGTGGGAGGGCAGAGTCTAATTGCACAGCTCTGTGCCAATGCTAGGTCGTTGATGTTAACAGCCATGATAAGATAAGCAGGGCAGAATCAGCCCACTGTGACCTCAGCCTGTCCTGGTCTCTGGACCCTGGGCTGTGGAATCTGGGGGTCAAGAGACAAGAGTTAAGCACCCAGAGCTGGCCAAAGAAGGAGCTGAGGGGCAGAGGTGTCTGAGAAGAGGCGAGGCCACACCTGCTTCTGGGCACCTCCTGCCCTGGTATAGGGGTGGCTTGCTGCTTTTCGAGGCTGACTTCTGCTGGTGCAAGCGCTCAGGAAGCACCTTCCCTGACTGTGATGGGGTGGCCAACCTGGCTGCCACAGAGATGGCTCTGTCCCAGCTGAGTAAGTAGGGCTCAGGGTTGTGGCTTAAGAAGGCTGGGAGTGGGCATAGAGCTGCCACCCCTTTCCCAGGTGAAACCTACCTGGCCAGCCCAGGCCTTCCCAAGACCACACTGTTTGGCAGCCAGGAGCCAAGGGACCAGAGGGACCTCAGGTGGGGCTGAGGCCAGCTGGGCTTCAGTCACCAGCAACTCCACCCCAACTTCAGAAGCAAGGGGGAGGGCGAGTGATCTTTGCTGGCACTGTCTACCCATGCTATGCCCCAGGTGCTCGATCCCTCTGCCAGTGGGTCAGGTCGCGGGGCAGAACTCTAGAAGGAACCCCTTCTAGCTCTCCCAGGACCCCGCAAAGTAGGTCTCATGGTCCCCACTCTGCAGATGTAAAAACAGGGTCAAAGGGTGTGGGGCTGGCATGAGCAGGGAAAAGAGCGTCGGGAAAAAGCAGGCTGTGGGCAGGAAAGCCACATTCTCAATGGGCCTGCGGTGGCGCTTGCAGGTTTGTCTGGATCGGCCAAGGGGTGGGGGCTGGAGGGAACATCTTCTGCTGTAAGGCAGCTCGGTGCCCCCAACTAGGCAGGACCGGGGTAAAGCCTCAGACTGTAGATCTGAGGGCAAGAGCAAGGCGCAGGTGGAAGGGCACTCAGGATTCCTGGCCGATAAACTGGGTTCCATTCCCACTGGCCATTCAATCGCAGGTGACTTGAGGCAAGTGACCTAACCTGTCTGTGCTCGCAGCCACAGTTGGAACACCGGGAAACTGTTCCAGCTGTGTTCCACGTGTTCCAGCGGGAGTGCTTGCCTCATTGGGATGTTGTAAGAGGTCAGTGAGGACAAGGCACAGGGCACAGGGCAGGGTCTGGTGAGGTGGGCGGCCAGCCAGTCTAAGATAGTTACTGCTGTGAGTGTGAGGCCGGGTGTGTGGCTCATGCCTGTAATCTCCGCACTTTGGGAAGCTGAGGCGGGCATATCACTTGTGGCCAGGAATTAGAGACTCGCCTGACCAACGTGGCAAAACCCTGCCTCTACTAAAAGTACAAAAATCAGCCAGGCGTAGTGGCACGCCCCTGTGGTCCCAGCTACTCAGGAGGCTGAGGCATGAAAATCGCTTGACCTTGGGAGGTGGAGGTGGCAGTGAGCCAGGATTGCACCACTGCACTCCAGCCTTGGCAACAGAGCGAGACCCTGGCTCAAAAAAACAAAAAACTATCATGAGGGTGATTCCGACGCTTTTCACCTGGCACGGTGTCTGTGGGTCTTTGCCGGCTTGAGGGGAAACCTCAGTGTTGCCCTGGGGTGTGGGCCTGCTTTAGTGGAAAGAGCAGGATTTTGAGTCAGAGAGGGTTCCTACTGCCGTCAGCCTTGGCCATGTGACTTCACCTCTCTGAACCAGTCTCTTCAGCTAGAGGGTGGTGACACCTGCCTCGCCTGGCTATTGTCAGGATTCAGTAAGGAGACGGCGATGCGAGAGTCGCTGGTCATGGTAAGAGCCCACTTGATGCATTATTATTATCTGTATTATTTAGTCTTTCAGAGCCTAGGGCTGCCTCTCCAGGATGAAGGAAAGGGCACAAAGCAGGTTTCTACAGGGGAAGTTGGGGAGAGAAGAGATGCCTGCAGTTTTTCTTAACTGTGGTACCCAGGGTCCTACTTCTGTCCCTCATCCAGTCATCACGGGAGATTTTCGAGCCAGGGTACCTGAGCCATACAGCCCCCTAACTGGGTCTGTTGTGGTCAGTGGTCTGGGGCTCAGGCGGCTGGGGGGTGGGTAGGGTTCTAAAACCTCCTAGGTACTACTGGTGTGCTCACAGGTTCAGACACGTGGCTGGGAGACCCTCCTCCCAGCTGCTTCCTGTGGTTCAATGTCAGAACGGGATGAGATGCTCACCCTGCCTCTGTGTGACTGTCTGTTGCTGGGTCAGGCCATGCGCCCTCCCTCCCAGCAGTCCTCAGCCCCCATGGACGGTACAGTCATCTGAGGCGCCTTTTACACAGCACTGATGCCCAGGCCCACACCAGCCCCATCGTCAAACTGCTTGGGGACGGGGCCTGGGGAGTCTGCAATTTTCTTGTCCCTAGTGATTCTGCCTTACACAAACAGACGTTGCTCCTGAAAACTTGCCTCTCTCATTTTGTAAATCACACCATTCTCCGCACCCTAGAGAGTCACTTTCCAAAGAATTGTTGCGGTAAACTCTTTTGTGATGTGAACAGCCTCCCTCATCTGCTGTGTAGCCCAGGTTTGTGTCGGTGCCTCCCACAGTTGGCCCTACCGTGTCACAAGAAGGCAGGGAGGTCTGGGGGGCTCAGGAACCCCAGCACGCGCCAGGGAAGCTGCAGCCAGGAAGGCGAGGCAGCTGAGCTGGAGCTTGGGGCAGGCAGCAGACCCAGGGCTGCGAGGAGAGCCTGGGAAGTGAGTGTCGTGCATACCACTCTGAGGTTCAGGAGACAGGGCTGTCTCGGCTCTGCCCTCCCCCTTCCCCTCCCCTCCTGGGAGACCCTGGTCAAGGCACCTGCCCTCTGAGCCTGAGCAGCGTCCGTGGGATGTGAGTGTGGGCTGGGCCACCGCCTCTGGCCTCTCACCCGTGCTAGCCAGCGGTGGGGACATGGGGGAAGCAGAATCCTCCCCAAACCCTGCCGGCCTCTCCCCCACCCCCAGCTCTCCCCAGGCTCCGAGGAGGATGAGGCCCACGAGGGTTGCAGCCGAGAGAACCTGGGCCGGATCCAGTTCAGTGTCGGCTACAACTTCCAGGAGTCCACGCTCACCGTGAAGATCATGAAGGCCCAGGAGCTGCCGGCCAAGGACTTCAGCGGCACCAGCGACCCCTTCGTCAAGATCTACCTGCTGCCCGACAAGAAGCACAAGCTGGAGACCAAGGTGAAGCGGAAGAACCTGAACCCCCACTGGAACGAGACCTTCCTCTTTGAAGGTGAGTCTAGTGCCACCTTCCCCCGCCATGGTCACCTCTTGCTGTCTACCATCCCCCTACCCAACCACACTTGTGGCCACATGCACAGACACATATGTGTACACACACCTGCAGGCCCACAAATGCACAAACACACATGCAAGCAGATACACTTATGTGCACACCTGCATGTGTGCACAGGCACAGATCCACACATGTGCTCTCGCACACGCCCACACAGGCAACGTCCTGGCCCGGTTAACCTGATGCGTTTTGTGTCTAGTTGGGATCAGGTCACAGGAGCCCAATGGAGCCAGCATCACAGCCAGAGGCCGAGGAGGGAAGCTGGGCCACCGCCTGGTGTTTCAGCCCAGCCACAGAGCTCATCCTGAGGAGGGCAGGGAGGGAGGGAGGCACCCGTAGGACTCAGAGCTGGAGCACTCTGGAGCCACCAGATCATAGTGGTTCAGTGCACAGGCTGTGGCCCAGGCTGCCTGGGTTTGAATCCCAGCTCTTGCCACTTACTCGCTGCGTGACCTTGGGCAAGTTCCTGAGCCTCCCTATGACTTGGTTTCCTCATCTACAAAATAGAGATAATAACAGCGAGGGTTCAATAAATGAGTGAATTGTAAAAGCACTTAGAACAGTGCCTGACACCCAGCAAATGCTTAATACCAGGTTGTTAAACACACTCCATCTGTTGCCGTTCTCTGACCCCCTCCCCCGCATGGGACGGGAACCACAGCTCTGAACCATGCCTGGAGGCCGCTGAGACAAATGTCCTTTCTCTCTCCTGCAAGCCCTCTCTGAAGGCCGGTCTTTATCTCTTATCTCTGAGGATTCAAGGTAACCAGGAAGCTGGGCGTGTGATTAAGGAGTGATTTCTATCCCAGGGCCTTTGGGTGCCAGGACCCCGCTTAGACAAACCGTAACCCTTTGCCAATGGCCCCCGGTTCAACCAGGGAGAGTAAATCCCTACCCCAGCTGCCCCAAGCCCTAGCCTTCCAGAATCTTCACCGTGTACCCCAGGGACCTTTCCCCACCTGCCTTCCCAGCCACTTAGCACCCCACCTCTTCTGCAAGATGACAGCCAGGTCACCCACTAAATGGCACTGAGGGTGAGCAGTGAGTGTCCATGTGTTTCTGGACGCCCTCCTTTGCAGGCACCATGAGGGCCCGTTTAGAGATAGCTCAACCAGCAAGAGGTTCAGCTGTCTGGAGGTATATGTAGGCAGCTGGCAGGGCGAAGTTTTTGAGCAGAACTCCAATCCTCCGGTCTCTTCCACGAGCATGTACCCAGCAACAGCCATGAGCTGGGCACTCTTCTACGTACTGGGGATGTAGAAAAGAATGAGGCACCATTATGGCCCTCAGGGCATTTCTGGCCTAATGGAGACCCAGATGTGTAGATAACTCAGCCACACACAGCATGACAGGAGCTGCAGGAAGCCAGTATGAGCTCCCTTTGGTGGTGCTGAAGAACATTTCCCAGAAGAGGGGCCATTCAAAATGGGTTCTGATGGATGAGTAGGAGTTTGCCAGCTAGGAGCCTGCCTCCTCTGGTGTTGATGAGAGCTGACTGGGGTGCAGTGACCTCTTGGAGCTTCCAATATTCCCAGAACACTTGTCCTCATGCATTTTACCTAAATTGATGCCAAGGGTCCCCTGGGCAAGGTCCCTGGGAGGCTCTGAAATAAGCAAGACACAGCTTCCCACAATATGAGGAAAGGGACCCTGAACAAATTCAGAGTCTCCTCTTCCAGCTCACCTGCTCCTGTCAGAGCTCCTCGGTGCTTCCAGAGTCTCTGGGGGAAGGTGCTGGAATCTTCTAGAGCTCCTCCTTCCCTTCATCTTCTGCACCAGCCAGGCTGAGGTTCCAGGCGTCCTCCTTCCTGCTCATACCTGGTTTCAGAATCTCCTCACCTCAGGCCTCCAGGCTGGCCTGTGCCCCCCGGCACCTCCTGGGCCAGTCCCACCTCTGACTAAGCCTCCAAAGAGCTAATGACTCCTGGCTTCAGACCTTCACCTGGCCCCCTCTTCCCTTCTGCATCCCATCCAAGCCCCTTCTGCTCCTCTCCCTCTGACCTTAGCGGACACCTCACCTCAGCACAGTCCTGCTGCTCCATCAGGCCATTTCATTGGCATTGATTCATCTGTTCAATTATGCATTCACTTAACAAATATGTATTGAGTGCCTACTATGTGCCAGAAGCGGTGTTAGGCACCGAGAGCCAGTGGTTGGTAACAGAGAGGCCTTTGTGGGAATCCTTGCCTTCCGGGAGAGCCAGACAAAAATCAGGGAAAGAGACAGAGAAATCTATTACCGCGTGTGTTATGTTTTGCGGAAAAAAAGGTGCTAGAGCGGATAATGGGATCCGACACTCTCTGGGGTGCCAGGAAAGAATGCTGAGACCTGAAGGATGAGAGTAGCCAGGAGGGGGGTCATGATGGGGCCAGTGTGCGCCCGGCCCTGAGGCGGGAGGAGTCGGGGTGTTGAAGGGCCAGGAAGGAGGCCGATGTGGCTGGAGCCCAGTCATTGAGTGAAGAGAGGTCACAAGCCAAGCAGGGAGAGGACAGCCGGGCCAAATTGTGGAAGGACTTGAAGCCAAGGTAGGGTGCCCGGCTTTTATTCTAAGTGCACTGGGAGCCATTGAAAGGCTTTAAGCAGGAGCATATCATGATGGAATTTCTATTTTTAAAAGGTCTCTCTGGCTGCCGCATTGAGAATGGACGGTAGGAGAAAGCGTGGATGCGGGGAGGGCGGTTTGGAGACACTTGCAGCTGCCTAGGCAAGAGGTGCCAGCGGCTCGGATGAGGGAGGTGGCAGTAGAGAAGGGGACGCTGCGGTAGGAAGGATGGAAGCACAGGCAGGAGGAGAGGGGTGTGGAGTCACAGGACACTTGTCACCTCCTGCTTCTGTGCCTTTGCCTTTTCCCTCCCACCGATGCTTCCCCATGTCCCTCTGCCCTGAGTCCTGGGGCCTGCGTACTGGCAGCTGTGGCCACCTAGACAGAGCCACTTGCCCAGACCCGCCTCGGGACGATTGGCAGAGGCTGCTCAGCCACTGAGATGGACACAAGGTGCATGGGTGAATGGATGATCGCAGTTCTACTCTTTACTAGCTGGGAGTCTGGGCAAGTACTTTAAGCCGTCTGAGCCTCATCTGTAAGATGGACGAGATGCCATTCACCTTGGAGAATTGTTGAGGGAATCCCATGAGACGGTGACAGTTCTTGCTAGCACTTCAGTAAGGTCTAATTGCAATCCGGTGTGCCTGCTGGCCCGGTGGGGTGGCAGCGGGAGGGCACAGGGCCTGCCTCCTCTTCCCAGGGCCTTCCTTGCCTCCCGGGCCCCGTGCAGCCCCTCTGTCCCCCTCTTCACTCACACTCATCTATACCCCCAGGTTTTCCCTATGAGAAGGTGGTGCAGAGGATCCTCTACCTCCAAGTCCTGGACTATGACCGCTTCAGCCGCAACGACCCCATTGGGGAGGTGTCCATCCCCCTTAACAAGGTGGACCTGACCCAGATGCAGACCTTCTGGAAGGATCTGAAGCCATGCAGCGATGGGAGTGTAAGGCCCCATGGGTGGGTCTTAGCTGGACAGGCAGCAGGGCAGGGCTGGGAGATCTGGTCCCAGACCCTTGTCAACCTTAGGAAGGCCAGGAGGGCTGTGGGAGAGGGTGCAGATGGGTGGACCCGATGGAGCTCAGCCCTCGCTAGCAGTCAGAACATTGGTGCTTGGCACTTGGGGGGACTCACCCGATCTGTAAGAAGGAACCTAGGGCTATGTTCAGGGAACAGGGAGGCGATGGTGACCCTGGGAGGGGCAGTACACACACCTGCCAGATGGGGGGAGACAGAGTGAGACAGAGGTGACAGACAGGGGCATGGGTAAGCACCAAGGTCAGGGTAGAGGGGACCTGGGGGCAGCTAGGCCAATCAGAGAGCTCTGCTAGCCTAGTTCCCCACACCCCTCCTGTCGTGCCTCCCAGGGGAGCCGAGGGGAGCTGCTCTTGTCTCTCTGCTACAACCCCTCTGCCAACTCCATCATCGTGAACATCATCAAAGCCCGGAACCTCAAAGCCATGGACATCGGGGGCACATCAGGTACGGGGCTTCTCCAGCAGAGGATGGGCGGGCCGGGGAGGTGCTGGTGACACAAGGTTTACACCGGATGTGGAGAGCAGGGTCTGCAGTGGTCCTCACCCCAACCCGCCACACCCCGACCTCCAGTCCTCACTCCTTACCCTAGAGACCCTGGGGCCCCCCTTTGGAGCACCCTCATCTCGGACTCTGTTCAAGAATCAAGATGTCAGCATCATCCTGGATTATGTTCTTCCAAGAATCAGAAAGAGGGAACATTGTGGGAAGACCTGGGTTCTATCCCCAGCTCTGATGCTACTTGTCTGAGATTTTGGGCAAGACCTGGCCTCTCTGGGGCTCAGTTTCCTCATTGGTAGTAATAGGAGGGCCCCAGGTGATCGCTAAGGTCCATCTGCTGATTCTCCCAGGTCCCTCTTGTTCTTGCCTGGGTCTTTCCTTGCCTCTGGGGAAAGCACACGGCCCTCCTGCCTCAGCTTCCATTCCTGGAAGGGGAAAAGGATCCTAGGAAGTCCCTCCCCCACGGTCCCTCTAACCCTTCCCCACTCCCTCCCCTAGACCCCTACGTGAAGGTATGGCTGATGTACAAGGACAAGCGGGTGGAGAAGAAGAAGACGGTGACGATGAAGAGGAACCTGAACCCCATCTTCAATGAGTCCTTCGCCTTCGATATCCCCACGGAGAAGCTGAGGGAGACGACCATCATCATCACTGTCATGGACAAGGACAAGCTCAGCCGCAATGACGTCATCGGCAAGGTAGGGGCGAGGCAGGTGGTGTGGTGCACCTGCTGGCACCAGTGAGGCTCCGTTCCTTAAAAGAAGCAGCGGGGGTAGTGGACGGGCACAGGCTGGACACCAGGAGAGATTGGGATCAGTCTCCTCTCCTCTCAGGCCTCTGTTTCTTCATCCAAAAATAAGGGGATGAGATGACCCCCTCCCTAGGGTTCCTCTCTGAGTGTCCTCCTATGGGTAAGTCAGCTCAGGACAGACTGCCAGCTGAGCAGGGAGAAAAGGAGTGCAAGAGAGGAATGGCCTGGATCTCAAAAGAAAGGTTTACTGGACAGGATGATGACGTTGGAGCAGTATTGCCCGGGGTCCCATCTGCACAGGGTGAGCTGCGTGGGGCAGTGTTGGGAGCTGCAGTCAGACTCCAAAGACCTCGTTTCAGTTCCCACTCCATCTGCCGATAAACAACCATATCACCTTGGGCAAGTGGCTCGGCCTCTCCAAGCTTTAGTGTTCTCATCTGTAAAATGGAGCAACTAATACTGTCCCTGTAGAACTTTACAGGGTGGCGTAAGAATTGCTTGAGGTATGTGGATGTTCTTCTTGTAGAAAGTTGGCCGGGCACAGTGGCTCATGCCTGTAATCCCAGCACTTTGGGAGGCCAAGACGGGTGGATCATCTGCGGTCGGGAGTTTGAGACCAGCCTGGCCAACATGGTGAAACCCCGTCTCTACTAAAAATAGAAAAATTAGCCGGGCATGGTGGCGGGTGCCTGTAATCCCAGCTACTCAGGAGGCTGTGACAGGAGAATCCCTTGTACCCAGGAGGCAGAGGTTGTAGTGAGCCAAGATTGCAAGACTGCACTCCAGCCTGCGCAACAGAGAAAACTCTGCCTGAAAAAAAAAAAAAAAAAAAAAGTGATCTCTTCATATCACGTAACCAAAAAATTCATACCTGACCTTGAGTTTTCCCAGGACGGGATTCTGTGACATAAACCCTTCCATGCTTCTACCTTAAAATGTCTACTCCTGTGTTTATTTATGGTTTAGTGTTGAGAGCATGGGCTCGGGAGTCAGATTGCCTGGGTCCAAATCCTAGCGTTACTTTTTAACGCTGTAACCTCTCTGAGCCTCATTTTCTCCTCTCAAAATGAGAGTGGGATGGTCCTACCCTTACAATGTGCTGAGAGGATTAAGTAAGATCACACAGGTGAGCTGTTTAGCATAGGACTTGGAACATATGTTAGCTAGTATGATAATAAAGGGGCATGTATATCCATTCAGGCAGGACAGTTTGACCAGGAGTATGTGAGGAACCAGTGCTCAGGGCAGTCATGGAGGAAGGGGAGATGCCAGGAGTGAGTGAGGGGCACATACCTGGGCATTATCCTGTGTGGGGGAAAGGGAAAGGGGGACTGGATACCCACAGGGAAGGGAGCTGAGTTGGAGGCAACCCTCAGACAGATGGGAATGGAGAACTCACCTGCTGGGGTGAGGGAAGCAGCCTGGCCTAAAAGAGGAGAGCTTCCCCTGCTTGCCATCAGGTATGGCACGGGGAGTATGACTGGCCAATCTGTGGTCACAGGTGAGACAACTCCCCAGGACATTGCCACTCATACTCCAGAAAAAGTATGTGGCCCTCCCTGGCCAGGGCTCGGGTCTTGCCAAGCACCCCGTTTGACCAGCTCAGCCCAAAGGCCAAGTGACCATATCTCCTTTGATGTTCTTTTGAAGCTTCGCCTCTTGGTGTCGGATATTCCTTAGATACCAATTAGAGCTCCTTCTGAAACAGGCCTACCTTCTGTTGGCTGAACCAAAGCAAATGTGGATTTGTTCTCACTTTGGCCTGGTAACTTACGGAGCCCAAGGATCTCTGAATCCTTCTGACTCCCAGCTCCTGCTCAGCCCCTGGAAGCCAAGAGTCTGCCCCTTGTCTGCCTGGCATCATCCAAGGCTATCAGTATCATGCTGGGCTGAGGTTGCCATGGGGGCAATCCCAGAGCAGGGCAGGCCCACAGTGGCCCTAGAGCTCCGTGACCTCCGAATAGTTAACCAGCTCCAGCAGGATGGAGCCGCTGGCTGAGAGAACTCACCACACAGAGGCAGGCCACTGTTCCCAGCTGAGCACATGACATGCACCATCCCAGCTATCTGTGAGGCAGGTACAGTCATCAGCCCGCTTTACAGAGGAAGGTCTGGGGCTAAAAGAAGTTCCACCATGTGTTACAGAGCTGGAGCTTGCTCCCCATCCTTTTCGTTTTGTTTCGTTTTGTTTTGTTTTTTGAGATAGAGTCTCACTCTGTCACCCGGGCTGGAGTACAGTGGCACAATCTTGGCTCACTGCAACCTCTGCCTCCTGGGTTCAAGCGATTCTCCTGCCTCAGCCTCCCAAGTAGCTGGGATTACAGGCATCTGCCACCATGCTGGGATAATTTTTGTATTTTTAGTAGAGATGGGGTTTCACCATGTTGGCCAGGCTGGTTGAACTCCTGACCTCAAGCAATCCGCCCGCCTTGGCCTCCTAAAATGCTGGGATTATAGGCAGGAGCCACCGTGCCTGACCTCCCTATCTTTTTTTTTTTTAGACAGAGTCTCACTGTAGTCCAGGCTGGAGTGCAGTGGCACAATCATGGCTGACTGCAGCCTCGACCTCCCCAGGCTCATGTGATCCTCCCACCTCAGTCCCCAAGTGGCTGGGACTCCAGGCACGTACCACCATGCCCAGCTAATTTTTTTGTATTTTTTGTAAAGATGAGGTTTCACCATATTACCCAATCTGGTCTCAAACTCCTGGGCTCAAGTGATTCTCCCACTTTGGCCTCCTACAGTGCTGGGATTACGGGCGTCAGCCACTGTACTCCTCCACTGAGGCCACAACCATCCTTTTTAAAAAAAAAAAAAAATACACTGTTTATTGGCTGGGCGTGGTGGCTCACACCTTTAATCCCAGCACTTTGGGAGGCCAAGGCGGGCAGATCACGAGGTCAGGAGTGTGAGACCAGTTTGCCCAGATCACGAGGTCAGGAGTGTGAGACCAGTTTGCCCAGATCACGAGGTCAGGAGTGTGAGACCAGTTTGCCCAACATAGTGAAACCCATCTCTACTAAAAATACAAAAATTAGCCGGGCGTGGTGGCGGGCGCCTGTAATCCCAGCTACTCGGGAGGCTGAGGCAGGAAAATCACATGAACCTGGGAGGCGGAGGTTGCAGTGAGTCGAGATCGTGCCATTACACTCTAGCCTGGGCGACAAGAGTGAGACTCGGTCTCAAAAACAAACAAACAAACAAACAAAAACACTATTTTTGAATAATTTTAGATTTACAGAAAAGTGGCAAAGATAGTAGAGAGAGTTCCCATCTACCCCTTACGCAGCCTCCCCAGTTGTTAGCGTCTCACATTTGATGGGACATTCGTCACAGCTTGAGGAACCAACATGGGCACTGCGTTGCTGTGAACTAGACTCCGGCCGTTATTTGTATTTCACCAGTCTTTCCGTTAATGTCCTCCTTCTGTCCCAGCATCCAATCCAGGACACCACATTGCATTTAATAGGCATGTCTCCCCTGTCCCCTCTGGCCCTTGACAGTTTCTCAGTCTTTCCCATTCTCTATGATCTTAACGGTCTTAAGGAA
This sequence comes from Homo sapiens, assembly GCF_000001405.40. Classification (NCBI taxonomy): domain Eukaryota; kingdom Metazoa; phylum Chordata; class Mammalia; order Primates; family Hominidae; genus Homo; species Homo sapiens. The sequence continues at coordinate 61,519,472 of NC_000011.10, read as the reverse complement.
TACTGGCCGGGTGTCCTATAGAAGGCCCCATGTACCTGTTTTTTCTCCAATGCTCATACTCTTAATCACCCCCAAGTCCCAAAGCTGAGGTCAGCTGGGCCAATCCTGGGGGTTCCGGAGGGATTCATGCATGCAGCCGGGTGAGGCTGCGAAGCAGGATTAGGCCGGTAGCATAGAGCTCCAAAGACCTGGATTTCAATCCCTCTGCACCACTTATAAACCCTGTGACTGTGGGTAAGTCTCTTAACTCTTCGTACCTTAGTTTCCCCATCTGAAAAATGGAGATAATCATATAATCCTACCTCACAGTTGTAGGATTTGATGATCTATGTGTATGAAGTCCCTAGCTCAGTACTCACATGTAGCAAGTGCCCAGGAGTTGGGAATGATTATAATTCAGGGGGGCTGGACATCACCCAACAGATAGGGCAGGGAAGGCCATGGAGACAAGCTGCCTCCAACCCCACCTTCCAGACCCCACTGCAAAATAGGTTGGCAGTCTAATTCCGAGAGGCCTGGCGTGCCCAGGCTTGGGGGTGTGGGGGTAGACAACCAGGAAAATAGATCAGGCTGACTGGGGGAGGGAGGAGAGCGCCTCTGTGGGGTAGGTTGTCACAGCATGTGGAGGCTGGGGGGCCACAGGCTAGGGTATCATGGTGGAGTTGGGGTGTCACCCCTGTGGGGGAAAGGGCCAGTGCCCTGGAGCCTGTGCCGATGCCATCGTCTCCCCTTTCTCCCCAGATCTACCTGTCCTGGAAGAGCGGGCCAGGGGAGGTGAAGCACTGGAAGGACATGATTGCCCGTCCCCGGCAGCCCGTGGCCCAGTGGCACCAGCTGAAGGCCTGAGTGGGGCCAAGGGAGGCCCAGGGGGCCGAGGGCCCAGGTCCCCATCATGCCCTCACCACTTTATGCACAACGCCCGGCCTGAGCCCCCTGCCATAGGGAGGGGAGGACCCTGAGGGCTCAGCCAGGGAGGGGTCCCAGGACTCAACTGGGCCCCGTTTCTAGGAAGTACCAGCCCCATCCCCCACAGTCCAGCTCCGGGGAAGGGGCTCTGGGAGGCATTTTCCTGCTTTGCCCCTTTTCTTCCTGACTTACTAATACTAAAGAAGTTGGGGGAGCTCGAGAGCCAGACGGCCAGACAGGCAGACCCCTCCAGAGGCCCGCCAGGTGGGCATGGTCCCCCATTTTCTTTAAGGCAGCACCTGGAGTGGAGAGAGGCCACTCCCTCTCCAGCCCCCGATGTGGACCCGGGGAGGGGAGGCTGAGGCGTTTGGCCCCGGCCTGGCCAGGAGAGGCCCATCCCCAGGGCAGTTTCAGGTGCCGGCTGGGCCCTGAATGTCGAGGATAGTATATAGCCCGCTCCTGGGTCCTGGAGCTGTGGCCCTTTGTACTCGTGTTGTGTCCATTGTGTGTGTGCGTGGGGACAGAGGCCTGGAAATGCGGAGGACTATACAGAGAAGGCAGGTTTTGTGAAGGCCAGGCAGGGTTGGAGGCCGGGGGTGTGAGAGGAGAGGCCCATAGGGCTGAGTGGGGTCGGGTGAGGCAGAGGTCAGAAACAGAAGAGCTGCAGTTGCTGGAGCTGGGCTGAGAACTGGGCTGCCTCCTGCCATCCCCCCGTCTCCTCCCCTTCTCCCCTTGGTGCCCCCCTCTGCTCAGAATCTGAAGTAGTTCCCTCCTCAGCAATTTCATCTCTTGAACACTGACTCACACCTTTTAGGCACCTACTGTGTGCATAGCATTCCACCAGGACTCATCTCCCTTCCTTCTCAGGGGGTCCCGAGCCCCGACTAGCTTTGCCCTAACTCCTTCATCAAAAGACCCCCCGCCAGCTTCCCACACCTCATACGCAGCCACATCTGCCCTATTCTCCATGCTTTCCAGCTTGCCTGCCCTTCCTCATCTCTCCCTGCCTGTGCAGACCTCCACCCTTCTTTCCTCCACCCCTCCATCCCCCAATGCTTGTAGACCTTCCATTCATTCCGTCTCATCGTGCGTGGTCTCTGATCGTCCATCACCTGACCTTCTCCAGGACTGTCTTCTCACCCTTCCCCACTCCCTGGTCCCCGGGAGCAGCTCCTTCTGCCCGACTCACTCACAGTGCAGGGAAAGGAGGCAGGGAAAAGACCAGGATTCTGTGAGTTCTGAGGTTGCCACACACAAAGAAGCTGTGGTTTCTCTGCCTCGGCCACTGATGAGACTAAAACTGGCTTCCCCTTGGAGACGGCAGATTTCAGGCTGATCCCTGCTTAAGCCCTCTCATCCCCACGCTGGTCCTGGTATTGATACAAGACCCAGCTGGTGACAAAGCCTCCAATCCTGGGGGTCCACGAGCCTGGGCCTGACATTCCCAGAACTACCGCCAGGTGGCGCCAGGCCCCCACAGTCTGTGGCCGTGGTCTTAGCCCCCAGTTCCACTCTGGATGGGCCTGTGACACCCCAAAGAGAAGAAGGGGACTCTGGATAGGGTCCCCACATCCAGGGCGTGGGGAGACCATTGGCATTTGGGAACCATTTTCCTTCGAACGGCTTCCCCTTGAGCTGAGCATTCTGCTTGCTGCAGTAGACGGGTCGCCTTTTGCCCATACCGAAATTTTCTGAAATTAAATCGCACACCCCCACCATTTCCTCTCCCTGGGATCTGGAGGAACATCATACATAGTAGGTGAATCGTTTTGTAGAGTGAAGAATGCTAATGTAAAGCAAATAGTCACCCACGTTCCTTGTAAATCCAAATGTTTCTATATTGTAGCTTTGCTTAAAATGGGGTCGGCCCCAACTGCATCCTCCTCTTTGGCGGGCTGGGGAGCGGCCCCCAGCCGGGACGGGAGGGCAGCGACCCCGAGGCCTCGTGGACGTGGGAGAGAGTGTGGTGGGAAGTCTTGAGCGGAGGAGGGGATCTGCCCTTCTCCACTCCTCTCTTGGATCCGCCTCGGTTTCCTGTCCCCCCACCACCCGCCTGCCCCGCGGAAGACCGCCCAGTGAGCCAGCCCCCACCTTCCAGGCGCCTTCGCCCTGGGGATCCAACCAACTTGTATCGAGTGGGCGGGGCAACGGCTCCCCATTTTTCCCGAGCCCCGCCCACAGAGCTCTTAGCCAATCCTATGCAGAGAGCATCTCCTGGCAGGGGTCTCTTCCCAACCAGACCCCACCCAGGCACATTAGCGACCAGGCTTGGGCTTCCCCAGCGCCCCACCACCACCACGTGCAGGTGGAGCTCTGGGATGCTATGTTGGGGCGGCAAGCGGTGGGCCGAGGGCCGGGTAGGCTAGCACGGGAGGTAAGGGTGGTATGGGATGGGGCGGGGGCGGTCTAGGGCAATAGGAGAGCAGAGAATGGGGGAACTTGAGGGTGGGGGGAGGGCACCGGAGCCTTGCCACCATCCCAGGACTTTGGGCAAGTCACCCGCACTCCCTGGGCCTCGGTTTCCCCATCTGTAAAATGATGGTAATAATACTTCACCTACCTCATAGGGGAGGTTGTGAGGCCACCATCACCTGACCTGGGGGTCAAGGCAGGAGGACTCCGAAGGTGCTACCCGTGAGCAAAGTGTAATTACCGAATCCTGACTGCAAGGCCCACCTGCCCCTCCCCCACAGAGCCTCCAGAGCTAGCTGAGGCCAACGCAGGCCCATCCGTCTCTTCACTCTGTCGCAGGCCCTTTCATGGGCTTCGTCTGCCATCTTTGTGGGTGCCCTAGACTTAGTCCTTATCTTGTCCTGGTTTCCTTTCTTGTGACCATCTCCCCATGAAAGTGCTGTACAAATTCCACCCGCCCCAGGACCCCCGCACCTGCCCTCTGGCACCAGATGCCAGGGAAGGGACAGAGGAAAACAGCCACAAACAAGCCAGGGGGGCTCCCCGGAGCCCCAGGGGTGGGGATTGGTGGCCACTGTTTGTATGTTCTTGAGTGCAAGTGTTTTATAAAAAATAAAACAAAAACCCACCATCACAAAAAAAAAAATTTTGCAGCGAAGAGAAATGAAGAAAAACTGAAGAAAAAAAAAAAACAGGAAAAAAAGAACCATACAAAATTTTTCCACCACACATACCCTCTAAGCCAGCAAGATTTCCTCTTTGCAAAATCATATTTTTGTGGGAATGGGCCCTGCTTTTTGTGGCAAGGCCTGTTCTGATTAATAAAGGATCGTGAAAAAGTAGGGCCTTGGCTGTTTCCTCCGTGGGTCCCAGCCCTCCCTCACCTCCCTGGGGGCAGAGGCAGTGGGGTGAAGGGGATGGGGGCCCCGGGGCTGAGCCTCCCCTCAGTGTGTCACCTTTGGGATTTGACTTCACTGGTGACCAGGCCCTTCCCGAGTGTCCAGCCATCCTCAGATCTCTATAGAATATGATCCCACTGGCTTCCCAGAAAGCAGAGAGGCAGCTACATCTCCCAGATCAGGCCTGACACAAGGCTTTTTGGGAGTAGAGTCCTCTCTAGGCCTCAGGGGTGCCCTCCAGGGTCACCCAGCCTGACGTCCCCTCCCTCAGTTCCCAGAGGACACTTGCCACCCTCCAAGGCAGCTCAGACAAACCAAAGGGGGACGCTCCAGCTTTCCCACCACCATCCATGGGGCCACTGTAGTTTCAGGCCAGCGCCTCCTTCCTGGTCCCTGAGGTGGGAAAAGGAAAGACAATGAGCTCTGTGTCTGTTGGCTGGACCTGCGGCTTCTCTCAGCCCTCTTCTAGTTTCATTCTTTAGGATTAGAAAAGTCTCTTCCACTCAATAGAACAGGTTCCAGCCTGAGGTGTGGGAAGCTGGGTTGTAATCCCTTCTGCAGCCTCTGTGGCCCTGGGCAAGCTCTTTCCTTCCACCTGTTTCTTCTGGCCACAACAAAGCAATAACCATCCCCATCCCCTGCCCTTTCTTCCCCACCCAGCCCAGGGGAAGCTGAGCCCCCGCAGCTCTCAGGGTACTTCAGAAGGAAGGTGCTACATCTGGTTCAGACACAGGCACAAAAGGAACGAGCACATCCCCATTGTCATGTGTCCACCTGCTGGCCCCTGCCCCCACCAGGAGTGAAGCGGGCCATCCCATCCGCCCTCTGCTCCCAGCACTTGGGGCCAGCAGCTGCCTCCCGGAGCTGCACTAAGTACCCCATCCAAAGCTGTCTGTCCCTCATTTCCCACAACCTGGTTTAGATATCACTTCTGATCTCTGTTCCAGAGATCAGAGGAAGCCCCGGGGTCAGGTAAGTAGCCTCAGGGGCTCCCTTGGCCAGAGCTTCTGTTCAGGCGCTCTCCATGAAAGCAGCCCTGGAAAACTGAGCCTGAAGTCAGAGACAGCTCAGGCCCAGCACAGGGGGCAGTCCCTTGCCACTGGCTCGGGCCCTTCCCTGGACTTTTTGCCTTCCTCCATTTTTGCTTCTCTGGGTCTGTCTTCGTCCATGCCTGCTCTGAGATGCTCCCCCACCCCTCCCTGTACCTGGGACCACCGCCCTCTGGTGTTTTCTTTCTCCTGTGAGTCCCCCCCTGGATACTGCTGCTTTCTGGAAGGCTGTCCTGGGTTACGTCCTGCGCTCCTCTCCCTCCCACGCAAAGACAACCAGAAGGACAAGCCTTGAGCACGCCGATGCCCCAGCTCGTGGCTCCCCAGACCATCTGTTTCCCGTGAAGACGCCCCGCTCCCCGTGTCTGTGTCCTGCGTGTATGTGTCGTGTCTTGTGTAGATTGTGAGCCCCCTGGGCAGGGATCCCTGTCTGCATACATGTTCCATGTGGCACGCCCAGGTGTGCTAATAAACGTTCATCTTCAGAACAAGATCGCCAGGTGTCTTGGGGAAGCTTTGGGACAGATGGCTGAGTAAGCCAGTGTGGTGGCATGGGAGGCAGGGAGGGACTTCTGGGTAGGGCCCCCAGCTCCAAGAACCTGTTCTCCCACTTTCCTGAGTCCCATGAGGGTGGGTGGGAAGGGGGTGAGGAATGGCATTCACAAGGTTAGAAAAGGCTCCAGGCCTGGGTCTCTGCTGCCACACTGGCCAGCAGGGCTGCTTGCCTGGAGGCTGGTGGGGGCGGGGGCCTCAAGAACAGGCGCAGTTCTCAGCCATTCCATTCCACTCACAGACCTGACTGCCAGCCAGGGACCAAGCAGCTCTTCTGTGACACAGTGAGCACTGGGTTGGGAGTCCTCACACCGCTTACGGGTGAGTCACTCGCGCCCACACCCCCCCCAACCCTGTTTCTTGCCCTGCCGCCTCCTCTGCCTTTCCCTCCACTTGGTTCCCACAGTAGGAAGGAAGCTTCTTGCTCTGACCACCAGCGCCCTTGGCCTCTGCCCCTGAATCCCTGGTACAAACATGACTCTTGCAGAACTTCCCTGCCCTATTCCCCCATGGCCTGCCCACCTCTGACTGCCCCAGGACGATGTGGGGAACCGCAGAGGCAGCCCATCCATCCCGTCCCATTGTTACAAGCGTCCCTTCCAGTCTCCCCTGCCCCCTACTCCCCAGAGGCCAAGTGGGAATCACAGGAAGTTGTGGGTGGGGGAATGCTAGGACTCCTAATACAGTGCTATCTCCATCACCGAGGGGAGCCGTGACACCCAGTTTTCCCTGGCAGTTAGCTCCCTCCCTACTCACATGGAGACAGAGACCCTCAATCGTGCTCTGTAGCATCAGCACCCAATTTAGCCAAACTCAAACTTTCCAGAAGGGACTGGCTTCTGAGGGTGGAGAGCAAGTGAGTAGCAGGGCCAGGGACAGAGCCCATTCCCATTCCCTGGGGGAGCGCCTGCTCAGCTGGCAAGCAGTCATGGCTGCGGGTGCCACGTTTGACAAAGCAAAAGGGTAAGGCCCTGAGTGCCTCAGGATGGCCCGGGGGACTCATTGCCAGGACTTTGCCCCAACCTAGAGTCCTCAGGTGAGAGCAGCAGGGGAGGAGGTACAGGGAAACAGATCAGACAGAGGGAGGAGACCTGAGCTCACTAATGACAGCAGTTATTGCAGGTGACCATGGCTGCCTCTGCACCCTGCTGCTTCTGTGTCTAAGATTTGCATGAAAGGAAGGTAAACAAACCCCTTGCATGAAGTATTGAGCTGCAGCATCAGATCTAAATAAACCCAATTCCTTGGGCCAGGTGCAGTGGCTCACGCCTGTAATTCCGGCACTTTGGGAGGCCGAGACAGGCAGATCACCTGAGGTCAGGAGTTCGAGACCAGCCTGGCCAACATGGTGAAACCCCGTCTCTACTAAAAATACAAAAAAATCAGCCGGGCGTGGTGGTGCACACCTGTAATCCCAGCTACTCAGGAGACTGAGACAGGAGAACTGCTTGAACCTGGGAAACTGAGGTTGCAGTGAGCCAAGATCATGCTGCTGCATTCCAGCCTGGGCAACAGAGAGAGACTCCATCTTGGAAAATAAAATAAAAGTAAAGTAAATAAATAAATAAACCCAACTCTTCGTGTACAGACGAAGAAGCTAAGGCCCAGGGGGGTCGTGACTTGCTCAAGATCACTTGGTCAATAGCAGAACCAGGCCTGCAACCCCTGCCTTCTGATTGTAGGCCCAGGGGTATTTTCCCTATGCTGTGATACAAGTGGCAGGTCAAGAGGAGAGTCCCCAGTCAGCTGCAGCTCCTACCCCACCTGAGTGATCTTCTCTCAAATTACTTTCTCCAAGTTTCCAGACCCCTGAAAGGCCCACTGGCCCTGATGGAACCCCAACAGGGGGAACTCTGGGAGGGACAAGGTCTACAGCAGCCAGGCCCCAGACCCTCTTCCTCCTTGGGAAGGTGGCAGTCTCCAATCTTCCCCACCCACCACCTCTTTCTGTCCGTTCAAGGCCTTCACTCTCATTTGCAAGCTGACAGCCCCAGACCCATGCCCAGCCTCCTCCTTAGCCAGGGCCCAGCCCAGTGTGCCAGCAGAGCTGCTGGGCAGGGCCTGACCTTCTGGCCCCATATGCCCCTGTTGCCATGGTGATGAAGATCTGGCAGGATCTTCTCCGGGGAGATGGGCCTCCAGGCTTGGGTTTTACAACTTTCTTCCTTTCTTTAAATCGTTAATTTATTATTTTCCTGAACAACAAGGGGAGAAAGAAATGCCAAAACTGAGCAAAAAGAGACTAAGAAGGAGAGAGACAGAAAGAGGAAAATAGAGCGAGAGAGACGGAGGGAGGCGAGTCTAGAGTCATGGAGGGGGTGGAGGGGCAGTGCCAGTGAAAGAGTAGGGAACCATCGGCCCAGCTCGAGGGTGACTCAAAAACATACAAAATCTTCTGCAGAATTAAGCTGCGGGATTCCGCAAGACAGGAGAGCAGCCTCGAGGGACAAAAGCCACTTCTGACGACAGCACTTGTTCCCCAGACAGACAGCACACCACAGTTGGCAGGGTCGGTCTGACATGGAGCGGGGAGCACGTGGGGCGGGGGCAGTGCCAGAGGGAGCCCAGGGTCCCCACAGCAGTGGGTTCCGGTGCTCCCAGGGATTATAAATAAACAGGCACATGGGAAATGCACATTCTTTCTCCAAGAAATATAATTTACGTTTACAGCCAGTTGTTTTTTCTTCTCTCTAAAGAAAACATTACCATGTGGGGCCGCTGCCCCAACAGTGTCCCTGAGTGTCCTTGGCCCTGGCTCCCTCGTCCCGTTATTGCTTGGATGAGGAAGATCTGGCTCTGGGAATTGCAGAGCAAGGCCCCTCTCCTCACCCCCTCGGGGCTGTCCCTGGTGACGGAGTGGAGGTACAGAGTGCCAGTCCCATGCCAGCCACCCTGGCTGTGCCCATTTAAGGGAAAGGAGAGTGCAGGCCGTGGGAGAGGCGCTGAGCAGCCTCCCAGAGCAGAGAGCCCCTCTCTGCGGTGCAGGAGGCCCTGGAGGCACGGTGGCTTCTTTTCAAACTTGACAGCTGGAAGGCTCAGGCTATGGGGTGGGGAGTGGAGGGGGAGCTCTCTCTTCCCAGCAAGGTTCCAGGCACATGCTGGGAGGCTGGGAGAAGAGAACAGAATAGGGTGGGGGTGACCCCCTGCCTTCTGTGCCCCATACCAATCTCAGGGGGCCGAGGAGGGAGGTATGTACGATCAGCCCTGATGGAGGGGTGAGGGCAGCTTCGGTGTTGGGGCCCCCATCTATTTCCCACTTCTGTCCCGGGCACCAGCCCCACTCCAAGCCCCTGCTCCTGGGCCAGGCCCTCCTCGCAAGGGCAGTCCTGCCCCACACAGGCACGCAGTCCATCCCAGAGGTAGCGGCTCCTGTCCTAGAAAGGGTGGGCCTAGGAGACCCAAACCCCAGAAAGAGGGAGGGTGTTGGGTGCCCTGCATCCAGACTCAGGGAGACGTGACAATTCTGTGGCCCTCAGAGACCCTGGTTCCAGGAGGAAGCTGGTGCCTCTGTTATCAGTGGCTCCATCGGGGACTGGACCCAGCCCAGACTTCTTGGTCTGACAATTGCCCACAGATCAGCCAGGGTATAGTCAGTCCTCTTACTACCTAGGAGTGTCTGAAGATGAGCCCCAGCCCTGCCTGTGCCCGGCAACTCGCCAAAAGTAGCCGTTCCATTGACCTAAGTAGGGACCCACCAGTCCCGCAGGCCTAACCAGCCAAAGCTTCCTAGAGCCCCTCCTCTCAGAGTGGCTGAAGCCCATCAGCCAGAACATAGGCTCAGGTGCCCAGTCCTGGAGCGGCTTCCAGGGCGCGGAAGCTGCCCCCGGGGGCGCCCAGAGCCCGGGAACCAGCGCCGCCTATGAGCAGGTCTTCCTCCTCCTCATCCTCAAAGGCCCGCGCTGGGCGCCGGGGCGGAGGCCGGGGCGTGGGCTCGTCGCGCTCCGCCATGCGCTCGACGGCGCCCTCGCCCACGAGGAACACGGTGTCCGCGACGCGCGGGGGCCCGGTGACGGGGTTGTGGTCGTAGGAGAAGACGCGCAGCGCGCGCAGCGGGTGCAGGTCGGGGAAGCCGCCCAGGCGGTTGCGGTCGAGGTCGAGGATGTGCAGGCGGCCCATGCGCAGCAGCGCGGGCGGGAACTCCTCGAAGCGGTTGCCGTAGAGCCAGAGGCCGCGCAAGCCCGTCATGCGCGGCAGCTCGGCCGGCAGCGCGCGCAGCCGGTTGTCGCCCATCTGGAGCGACTGCAGCGCCACCAGGCGCAGCAGCGGCCGCGGGAAGCGCCGCAAGAAGTTGCCCTCGATCCAGAGGCAGCGCAGGCTCTGCAACTGCGCGAAGTCGGCGGGCAGCGCCAGCAGCCGGTTGCCGCCCAGATAGAGGCGCGTGAGGCGCGGCAGGCGGCACAGGCCGTCAGGCAGTCGCTCGAGCTTGTTGAAGTCCAGCGCCAGGATGCGCAGCTCGCGCAGCTCCTCGATCTCCTCCGGCAGCTCGCGCAGCCCCGTGCCGCTCACATACAGCTTCTGCAGGCGGCTCAGCGCGCACACTGCGCTGGGCAGCCGCCGCAACCGCCGCCCGCTCAGCTCCAGCTGCTGGTCGCCGCTGCGCAGCTGCTCCTCTGCGTCCGACGGCAGCTCATCCGGCGTGGACTCGGCGATGCCCATGGTCACGGGCCCCGGCCGGGGCCGCCGCCACTGCCACCGCCAGGCATCGCCCCGCCCCGGCCGCCCCCCAGCCGCCCCGACGGTGCCGGAGCCGCGCCGGCCCCCGGGCCCCCCGCCCCGGCCTTCCCCCGCGCCGGGAGGGGGGCCGTGCGGGGCCGGGAGGAGGCACCCACTTGGGGCACCGCCGCCGCGCGCCGCGCTCCACCGCCCGCCCTCGGGCCTCCCCCGTTGCCTCCGCCGGAGGCCGACTGGCTAGGGTTCGCGCTGACTCGCAGCTTAGCGACCCGTCGCCCTGGCAACCCCGACGCGCGTGCGGCTGCCAATGAGGCGGAGGGAGGGCGGGGCGGGGCGGGGCCAAGGCGCCACCCTAGTGGGGTCCCAGCGCCGGAGCCCGCCCCCTACCTGCCCATCCAGCCCACCGCGGAGCAAGCACAAGCCGAGAGATTCCCCGCCCCGGCCAAGCCTGGCACTGAGACCCGACGCCCGACGCTGTTTGGTGTGCGGTTGTGTGCGCCCCAGAGCCGCGGGTCCAAGAAGGCGAAGGAAACGCTGGCGGTGGATCAAAGACTCTGGACTAGAGGCTCACAAGGAGGGGCTGAGGGGCGCGGTCACTGCGAGCCATTCACGTCCAGCGGCGTGCGGCCGGCCTACCTGCTGGGATCACTTCAGTGTAGTAACTCGAAACAGTGTTACTGTCCGGCCCTTTTCACATCTGCTGGTTTTACCGGGCCCCAGGGCTTGGCTCCGCCCCGCCTAATTGCCCTACAGCTTCCTCATTGCTACACTCACACCCCTCTCTCCTGCCAGGATCCCTCCACCGACGCTCAAAGTCTGTGTGTGGCTGCGGTGGACAGAGGACTGGGACACGTGAACGCCTTTGAGCCACCAATCATGGCCACTCTCATTCCATGACTCTTCTTCCTTCGCCTGCTACCACCAGCAGCAGTTCCCCCCTGCCTTCTCCCCCCACCTCCCATCCGGAGCCCTCCTGCGGGAGCTCCTGGCAGAAAAGCACTGGCTGTCACTGGCTTCGAGCCCACGTGTGCCCAGCACTATGCTGAAAGCATTGCGTTGAGTCCTTGGCACAGCCTATGAGGTAGACACCCTCATCACCCCGATTTTAAAGATGGAGAAACTGAGGGTCAAAGAGACATGACTTGAGCTGGGTCAGTCTGAGCTGAGTGAAGTGCCCAAGGTCACCCAGCTGATGAGCAGCTGGATTCGAAGCCAGGTAGTGTGACTCCAGAGCCTGTGTTCCTAACCATAAACCATACCGATAGATGGAAACAAGGTTCACTCCACCTCCAGCAATGAATTTTCTCACAACAGAGCCTCTGATTCTCTGGACAAAGCTACAAAGACAGCACTATAATCCCACATGAAAGATGAGAGAAGTGGCCTCGCGGGGATTAGGCACCCTGCTTACGGTCACACAATGCATAGAGGTTGCAGCCCGGGAGCCAAATTTTCGGGCTCCAAGCCTCCTGCCTCCTGCCTTCTCTTGAACCCGGCTGGTGTGACCCATGTAACTGGCTGAGTGGACTGACTTCAGGAGAGCACGCTGCCCTTTGGCCCACCCCCATTGCCATCCCCACTGCAGGGGAAGGGGGATGGAAGACAGCCCAAGGGCAGAGAGCAGTTGCCAATGCAACGGGAGGAAGGGAACCATCCCCACTGGAAAGTAAGCTGCCCAGCCAGGGAGGTTTGGGCATCTCCTTCCCTGCTGGCACAGGCTCTAGAGCATACAGTAGACATTCCATGCAAATTTTTATTTATTTATTTATTTATTTATTTATTTATTTATTTATTTAGAGACAGAGTTTTGCTCTTGTTGCATAGGTTGGAGTGCAATGGCGTGATCTTGGCTCACTGCAACCTCCGCCTCGCCTCCTGGGTTCAAGCGATTCTCTTGCCTCAGCCTCCCAAGTAGCTGAGATTACAGGTGCCCACCACCACGCCCAGCTAATTTTTGTATTTTAGAAGAGACAGGGGTTCACCATGTTGGTCAGGCTGGTCTCGAACTCCTGATCTCAGGTGATCCACCTGCCTCAGCCTCCCAAAGTGCTGGAATTATAGGCATGAGCCACTGCGCCTTGCTGAAAAAAACTTAACAAAAAAAGTGGAGGCAAACATTGCATACAGTGAAATGCATAGATCGTAAGTGTCTTCTTGGATGCGTTTTGACAAATGTACACACCCCTGTCCCATTTCCATCAACCCAAGAGTTCTCTCAAGCCTCTTGCGGTCAATCCCCACCTCACAGAGGCAACTATGATCCTGACCTCTATCCTTATGGATCAGTTTTCCCTGTTCTTGAATTTCACACAAATGAAATTATTCAGCACATGCTTTTTTTCAGATAATATATATTTGTTGGATACATGAATGAAAGGACAGAGCAATAGCAATTCTAATATGGCAAGAGGTGTTAGGGGGCGGACAGATGATGGGGGGACACAGAGGCAGATGTTGCTCTGAGCCACGAACCAGCCATGCACCCCCATCCTGGGAGAGACTGGCAAAACGAAAGCAGGAATCCAGGCCAAGGTAGAGGACCCAGGTGGAACCCAGACACCAGACCTAGGGTATAGGAGTCTCAGCCCCAACCGGAGGGGCTTCAGGCTCCTCCCAGATGTCACTTAAGTTCCAATCCAGCTCTCTCCCTTCTACTCATTCGGGAGGACTTCTTGGAAGAGGTAAGTCTCTCAGAGACCAGAAAGGTAGGGAATACCCAGCCAGGCTAATGGGATGAGGATGAGTCCCTCCCCCCACCCCCAAGCAGTTTGAGGGAACATTGGCTGTGGAGGAGGAGGCTCAGCAGCCCAGCCTCGCCACATGCTCAGGCTGGCACCCAGCGCCAGGCTGCCCTCTTGGGCTCCATCAGCACAGGCAGCACCACATGAGCCCACATGAGCCTCTCCACCCCGGCACCAGCCTGGCAGAGCTTCCTGGGGCCGAGAGCATGGAGGACCAGCCCTCTTCTTTCTCAGAGTCTTTTTCTTGCTCTCGGCAGATCCTGTACCTTCACCTCCCACCAGGCCCTTCTCAGTGGGTAAAGGTAAAATGTGCTGGCGTTCCAGGCCCACGCAGGCTGGCAGTGGGGCAATCATCATGATGAATCACGCTGGCACTGCAGGCACCCGGTCCTTGTTGAGGCGTAACTAATGAATTAGCTTCACCCCCAGCACGGGGCCTCTCAGCCTTTCCCCACTTCCCAGGAAGGCAGGAAACTGAGACCTGGGAGGGGGAAGCAGGGGAGGAGAGAGGACTCTGTCAGCTCCAGGCATGGGTCCCAGACCCTGGCCAGCCCCTCTGCCCCCACACACACTGCAAAAACACCCAAAGTGCAGGTCCCCCAGGGCCCCAGAAACTGCCTCTCTGTTACTAATCATGAGCTATAACTATTAGTGCCCACCCCCAACTCTGTATTTTTTAAAGGATTTCTTAAAATATAGGAAAAGTGTGGCGCTGTGATAAACACCCCCATGCCCAGTACCCAGCATTGACAATTGTTCACATTTCATCAAACTTGCTTTAAACCTATTTTCTTTTAAATAAAAGGAAGAAAACGGCACACGTAATATACAAGTCTCCTTTGTCTCCCCTCCAATGTCCCCATAGGCACTACCGCCCCCTCCACACTGACCCTGCCAAAGTCCCCTCTGGATTCCCCTCCCTGCCTTGGGGCCAGGACCCCCCTGGCTGCTGAATAAGATGATGGGATCTTAGCATCCTAGGTTCTTAGAAAACAAGGATTCAAACCTATTAGAGCCAACTATACGATGTCAGAGCTGGAAGGGTGCTTAGCGCCTCTGGGAGGTCACAGGCTCTCTTCAATGTCTGCAAGAAGGTAGGGACCCTTGTTCCAGAAAAATGCATGGAGGCAGAGACTCACCCAATGATGTACGCAATTCCCAGGGGTTCATGGTCTCTTGGGTGTCTAGGCCAACCCATTCATTTGGCAAAAAAGGAAAGCGATGATGTCCTCACCTCATGGCCCACTCCCCTTTCCTGCATCAGCCAGAACTTCAGTTCCTGCCATCTTTCAGGTATTCATTCAACAAACCTTAAGCACCTACTTCTATGCCTAGGCACTGGGGATTACTATGAATGTAAACATAATAGACAAACCCCCTGCCTTTGTGGAACTTATATTCATGCGAGTGGAGATCATCAACAAAACACGTGTCAGGTCATGATCAGGCTACGGAAGAAATAAAGCAGGGAAAAGAAAGGAGGAGGACTGGCCGGGCATGTTGGCTCACACCTGTAATTTCAGTACTTTGGGAGGCCAAGGTAGGTGGATCACTTGAAGCAAGGACTTCAGGACTAACCTGGCCAACATGGTGAAAGTCCATCTCTATTAATAAAAAAATTTTAATTTTAATTTTAATTTTAAAAAAAGAGAGAGGAGGACTGAGAAATGTGTGGGGGGTGGGGAGGGGCTGTCCTTTAAAACTGAGTGGCTAAGGCCGGGCACGATGGCTCATGCCTGTAATCCTAGCACTTTGGGAGGCCGAGGCGGGCAGATCACCTGAGGTCAGGGGGTCGAGGCCAGCCTGACCAACATGGTGAAACTCTGTCTCTACTAAAAGTACAAAAATTAGCCAGGGTGGTGGTGGGTGCCTGTAATCCCAGCTACTTGGGAGGCTGAGGCAGGAGAATTGCTTGAACCCGGGAGGCAGAGGTTGCAGTGAGCTGAGATTGCCCGTTGCACTCCAGCCTGGGCAACAGATCTGGACTCTGTCTAAAAAAAAAAAACAAAAAAACATCTGAGTGGCCAAAGGAGGTCTCATTGAGACCATGGCATTGAGCAAAGATGGCAGGGTACACTCCTGGCAGTGGAGATGGCAGTGCCAAGCCCCTAGGGCAAGAGTATGCCTGGGACTTTGGGAGCAGCAAGGGGCCCAGCCCAGGGAGCAAGGGGAAGCATGGTGGTCCAGGAGATCAGAGACAGAAAGTAAGGACTGGGCAGGCCGAGGAGGGCCCCTGTCCTTCATGAGGACTTTGGCTTTGACTCTAGGTGACAGGTCATCCGGGAATTTTGCACAGAGGACACATGTTTTAACAGGATCCCTTTGGCTATGGCTGCAGGATATGGGGGGGTATGTGTGTGTGTGTGCACGCACACGTGTGTGCATGCGTGTACGTGTGTGCGTGCATGCGTGCATGCATGTGTATGTGTGTGTGTTGGGGAAAGGGTTTTGTGCAACTTTAACCTCTCTCCTCTTGGTTCTCTCCCACAGGATAATGCTAGCTGTCGTTTACTCAGCACATACAGGTTGTCAAATTTATTCTTCACAACAGCTCTGCCGAGCAGGTACTATACTCTCCACCACCCTCTGGCTCTACAGATGAAGAAACAGATTAGATTCAGAGAGGTTAAGTAGTTTGAGTTTCAGTGTGGTTAAACAGCCACTGCCAAGCTACAAGGTCACACAGCCGGTAAGGGGCGGAGCCAGGATTCAAACCCAGTCCATCTTATTGCAAAGCCCGGGCTTTGTCGACGATGTCTCATTGACTCTGTGGTCTAGGAGAAATTAGAGAAACCACCCTGGGTGCTCAAACGCTCACCTCCATCCTGCAAACAGCAAAAATATTTCTAGGGGTGCCCTGCTTGGAGGTTTTGATGTTGTCAGAGAGGACAAGAGTGGCTATGAGCCACACCACTTCCCCTTTCCCATCCCAGGCCCCAGGGCTCATATGTTTGCCTAACTAGGGGGTATCCTGAAATCCACAGGGCAAGCCTAGGAACCCCAAATCAGGTCCCACAAGACAGAACAAAGAGGTCCCCAGGTCCTGGGTCATCCTAGGCCTGTGATCTGGGCTCAGGGCTTATATGATACCAAATTCCAGGCAGTCTCTGGCCCACCGTTAGACTAGAGCCCATCAGTGATAGCCAAACTCACCAGGCTGGCTCAGCCACTGCCAACCTACTCCTCCCATCCTGCCTAAGAAACCAGAGCCCAGGCGTGGCCTGGGGATCATGTTTACCTGGAACCCTAGCTCTGTGAGTTACCTGC
Source organism: Homo sapiens (assembly GCF_000001405.40). NCBI lineage: Eukaryota > Metazoa > Chordata > Mammalia > Primates > Hominidae > Homo > Homo sapiens. The sequence continues at coordinate 61,502,975 of NC_000011.10, read as the reverse complement.
CTGATCTGTTGAAAGCTGAGAGTCCTCCCAGGTCCCCCTCAGAGACACCAGAGCTGGAGCAACAGAGGCCACAGGAGTGTGAGGAGGGGGAGAAGCTGACTGGTTCCCAAGGCCACATTCCAGAATGTTGTGGATGGAACTCTGACCACCCCAGTGGGTTCTGTTAGGCCATCAAGCTACAAAGTGGACTTGATGACTCCTTCCTCCTGGGAGGAATGCTGGGGTCATGGCTGGCAGTCGCTCTTTATGTTAATACCTTCTTGGATCTGTGGCCAAATGCAAATCAGATCATCTGCTCCAAGAATACAGATCCAGGTCCCAACCAAGACTACCAAGGACTTGTCTGGCCTGGTCCCCCTGGGGCAGAGGCTACTGAGAGTGACCAACTTCTGTTTTTTCCCCCTCTTCTTCCTGAGCCCTCAGTAAAACTACTTTTCCTAGCTGAGAGGGTAAGACCCTGGGATGACTGCTGGGCTAATGGATGTGGGCAGAAGTGAAACATACCACATGAATGCACAATCCTCCATGCTCCATTTATCTACTGTGATGTTAAAGATGGAAAGGATCCTGGATCCCAGAGTCACCACTTGGAGATGAGCTAACCTGAAGAGCTTCTTTTCACCCCAGGACCTTTGGACATGCCAGTCCCTCTGCTTGGAATTCTCTTCTTCCCACTCTGCTTGGTTCACACTACTCATCCTTAAGGTCTCAGCTGAAACCTCCTGATATGGTTTGGATGTTTGTCCCCTTCAAATCTCATGTTGAAATGTAATCCCTGGCTGGGCGCGGTGGTTCACGTCTGTAATTCCAGCACTATGGGATGCCAAGGCAGGCGGATCACCTGAAGTCAGGAGTTCGAGACCAGCCTGGCCAACATGGTGAAACCCCGTCTCTACTAAAAACACAAAAATTAGCCAGGCGTGATGGTGCCCACTTGTAATCCCAGCTACTCGGGAGGCTGAGGCAGGAGAATTGCTTGAACCCGGGAGGTGGAGGTTGCAGTGAGCCAAGATCACCCCATTGCACTCCATCCAGCCTGGGCAACAAGAGCAAAACTCCATCTCAAAAAAAAAGAAAAAGAAATGTAACGGCCAATGTGGGTCATGGAGCCTAGTGGAGGTATTGGGGTCATGGAGGCAGATCCCTCATGAATGGCTTAGCACTGTCCCCTTGGTGATGAGTGAATTCTTGCTCAGTTCACTCAAGATCTGGTTGTTAAGGAGTCTGGGACCTTCCCTCCTATCTCTTGCTCCCTCTCTCACCAAGTGATAACGCTACTCCCTTTTACCTTCTGCCATGACTGTAAACTCCCTGAAGCCCTCACCAGATGCAGATATGGCACCATGCTTCCAGTGCAGCCTATAGAACCATGAGTCAAAATAAACAGCTTTTCTTTTCTTTTTCTTTTTTCTTTTTTTTTTTTTTTTTTGAGAAAGTTTCTCTCCTGTTGCCCAGGCTAGAGTACAATGGAGCAGTCTAGGCTCACTGCAACCTCCGCCTCCTAGGTTCAAGCAATTCTCCTGCCTCAGCCGCCTGAGTAGCTGGGACTGCAGGTGTGTGCCACCATGCCCAGCTAATTTTTGCATTTTTAGTAGAGATGGGGTTTCACCATGTTGACCAGGCTGGTCTCAAACTCCTGACCTCAGGTGATCCACCCTTCTCGGCCTTCCAGAGTGCTGGGATTACAGGAGTGAGCCAATATGCCCATCTTGTCTTTTCTTTATAAACCACCCAGCCTCAGGTATTTCTTTATAGCAACGCAAGAACAGACTAACACACTTCCCTTCCAGGATCTTTCAGAGCACGTCAAGCCCCTGTTATAGATTCTTGAGCTCCCACATTTCTCCTTCAAAGTAATTATTCCAATCACACTAAATAAATAATAACTGTGAATTATTTGCTTGAAGTCTGTTTCCGATGGACTAGGATGTGAGCTCCATGAAGACCAGATCAGAGGGCCAGGCGCGGTGGCTCACGCCTGTAATCCCAGCACTTTGGGAGGCCAAGGCGGGTGGATCATAAGGTCAGGAGTTCGAAACCAGCCTGGCCAACATGGTGAAACCCCGTCTCTACTAAAAATACAAAAATTAGTCAGCCTTGGTGGTGTGCACCTGTAATCCCAGCTACTCGGGAGGCTGAGGCAGGAGAATCGCTTGAACCCAGGAGGTGGAGGTTGCAGTGAGCTGAGATTGTGCCATTGCACTCCAGCCTGGGTGACAGAGTGAGACTCTGTCTCAAAAAAAAAGGAAAAAAAAAACAGATCAGTGCCAAGTGCCAGTGCTGTGTGGAGCCATTATTGGAACCTTCGAGCAAAGGAAAAATCAGTAACACGAATCTCATCTTCGTTTAAAATTTTGATTTTTTTTCATCATGGATTTTTGGCAATAATTTTTACTTTTACAATGATTGCATCAAACTATTACTTAATTATGGAGGTGGGTTTTTTTGGCACTTCTTTAAATATGGTGTCTAGAGCAAGTGCCTTGCCCCCCCTCACCCTAGTCTCAGCTCTGGATCGGGCAAAATCACCCTTTCTCAAAGGATTATCACAAAGCGTCAGTGACAGTGTATGGGAGCTGAATGCTGTCATTTTGAGATACTAACTTATTCCACTGTAGACAATTTCCTTATATCCATTGACTTGCATTCATATGCTAAGTTGGTTTCCTATATTCCCTGCTCTCCAGGGAAACTCAGAACAAAGAGTCAAATCCTTGGCTTTGAGTTGCAAAAGAGGCTTTGAAACCCAGAGCTGAGACTATACCCTTACAACAACCAGTTTTGAAAGAGAAATCTTTTGTGTAGGTCCAAAAAAGCTTGGCTTTGAACTTCGAGAGCAGAGAGCTGATGCCATAAGCCCTGGAGAGGGGAAGGATGCGTCATCGCAGAAGATAGCACCCAAAAGGAGATTAAGGTTCAACCGGCAGGTGGGAGAGAACGGGCAAGCAGCGCCCGGAAACACGGATGCCAGCCCAAAAACCAGTCGTCAGCCCCATCTGGGCAGAGCCTGGGGGTGGCATGAGAAAAAGTATATACCCCCAGGTATCCTGAGGGGGGCACCAGGGCAGGTGGGACCCACCTGCGCTTCCCTTACCAGGTGTGGCCTGAGGATGTAACAGGCCTCCCACAAGTCACTCTACCTGTATGGAGAGGCCTCAGTAGAGTAGACATAGAGGTGAACTCACAAGAGCAGGCATCCAGAAGTTTCCACACCTGCAAGACAGACATGGGTGTAGCCGAGAGATTAGGCTGGGGAAGTCCACATCTTTGCTAAATCCAGTTGTTACTGATAGACCAAGATACACTTTTTTTTTTTTTTTTTTTTTTGGTCACCCAGGCTAGAGAGCAATGGCGCAATCTCGGCTCACTGCAACCTCCACCTCCCGGCTTCAAGTATTCTCCTGCCTGGGCCTCCCAAGTAGCTAGGATTACAGGTGTGTGCCACCATGTCCGGCTAATTTTTGTATTTTTAGTAGAGACAGGGTTTTGCCATGTTGGCCAGGTTGGTCTCAAACTCCTGACCTTAGGTGATCCACCCGCCTCTGCCATCTGAAGTGCTGGGATTACAGGTGTGAGCCACCACGCCCGGCCCCAAGATACACTTTTGAGGTCTTGAGTATTGCTTATGAAGTCCATACTCACATATACCTGCTCTGTCTGGCTATACAAGTCATGCCATGTACAATGGAGCCGTATCTGATTCCTTTTGACACCAGGATCCTATACTGGAGGTAAGTATCTCGAGGAACAGCACTTTTGATCCATGTCCCATAAAGGGTCTTCGCAGGCCAACAGCAAACTCCCTAGGTGTGTAAAAGCACCGAGAGCACCCCGCTTACAGAAGGTACCCCACAAATGCCCTTCTTAGTGATGGTAACTCACGTGGGAAGGACATTTGATTTCTTTGGGCCTCCCAGCATCTGTAGCCCCTGGCTATGTTGGAGAATCCACCTGCCTTACAAAACAGAGCCCACTCTCCTCCCAAGGCAGCTGAAAACGCTGGGAGCTCACTTTCCCGGCATCCCTTGCAAGCGAGGTGGAAGCCTGTGACCCGGAAGTCGCCCCCAAGTACACCCACGTCAGATTCTGAATAGGAAATGAGAACTGCTGAGCAGAAGGGATCACTCAGATCCCTCCTGAGGGCGGTGTGAGGAGCGGCAGCAGGGGCTGTGTCCCAGGAGCAGCGGTGGGGAGGCCTGGGGTCTTTGTGGTCCCAGGGCCATGGGGCGATTTTCTTTGTGCTTCCTGGCTGGGTGGGCTCTAAGTTTTTTGGTTTTTTTTTTTCTTTTTCTTTTTTGAGATGGAGTTTTGCTCTTGTTGCCCAGGCTGGAGTGCAATGGCGCCATCTCGGCTCACCTCAACCTCCACCTCCTGGGTTCAAGCGATTCTCCTGCCTCAGCCTCCTGAGTAGCTGGGATTACAGGCGCCTGCTACCACGGACCCGGCTAATTTTTGTATTTTTAGTAGAGACGGGGTTTCTCCATGTTGGTCAGGCTGGCTCGGAGTCCTGATCTCAGGTGATCCGCCGGCCTCGGCCTTCCAAAGTGCTGGGAGTACAGGCGTGAGCCACCACGACCGGCCGGGCTCTAAGTTTTATTCTCAGGTCCACCTGAAGATTCTGTGAGTGACCAAGTCCTTTTAAGAAATTCCTTTTCTGCTTAAATTAGCCAGCTGTGGTTTTTGTTGCTTGTGATGAACTCTGACTGACAGCCTCCATCGTCAGACCTCATCAGCCTGTGACCACTCAGGGAGTCGCGTGATCATTCTCCCTCTGCCCCTGCTTGCACTGTCCTCCCAGAAGCCCCACACTGTCAAATGCTGTTCTGTGCTCAGGAGAAGCTTTGCCCATGTTCTTCAATGCCAGCCCACCGCCCCCAGTGCCAGAGCCCACCAGGAGAGCATGGCTCTGCGCCAAGGCCGTCTGACCGTAGGGACCACAACCTTGTCATCAGGCTCCATAGGAGGCTGCTTGGCCCAGGGGCTCATATAGCCTTTTCTGAGCACAGCGCCTTCAGCATCTCACCCAAGCTTAGGCCAGGTGAGCGACACACACACCTTCCTGCCCTGGCCCTTTAACTGGGGACTCTAAAGACACACACACACAGGCTCTCCAACCTGAATCACACTCTCACACTCATACACTCACACCCACACACATACACTCACACATATATACACTCACACACACTCATATTCACACTCATACACACTCATACACTCACTCTAACACACACACATTTACACCCAGATATACTCACACACATCTACACACACACATACACACATACACTCATACCCACACGCTCTAACACACACCCACACATCTACACACACACTCACATACACACACTAACACACTCATATACCCACACACGCAGACACACATACACAAATACACACAATCATCTTCACACACATACACACACTCATACACTCCCACTCCCACACACATACACTCACACTCACACTCACCTATATACACTCACACTCATATTCACACACATTCATATACGCACACTCTAACACACTCACACCCACACACACACATACACTCACACATATATACACACATATACTGTCTCATATTCACACTCATACACACTTATATACTCACACTAACGTATACTCACACCCACAAACACATTCACAAAATACACACGCATACACTCTCACACACTCATAATCACACACTCATACACTCATATCCCACACACTTAACACATACCCACACATATACACTTACACACATAGACACACGCATACCCACACTCATATACCCACACACACCCACACACACAGATACATACACACAAATACACACAAATCATCTTCGCACACATACATTTTCACATATACTCACACTCCAACACACACCCACACATACACATACACATACACATATACACTTACACACCGCACTTACATATACACTCATACATACAACTCTCACACTCACATTCACACACATATACTCACACTCTCAGGCACATACACTCACAGTTCCAAATTCACACTCATGCACTTACACTAATGCTCTCACACACACAGTCACATTCACACACTCTAGCACTCAAACACACACACACACTCTCACACAAGTGCACTCACCTCTTTAGCAAAAGAAATCACAGCCCATCCCTATCACTGCCTGGCTCTCCCAGGAAGTTCCCAGGCCCCATTCCTGCTCATCCGAGACCCCCAGGGAAGCGATGGGGTGGGGAGAGGCTTGGATTCAGAAGAGAGTGCGAGCGCGCTCACGGGGCCGGCACCGCATGGCTTTGGGCAGGTCGCCTCACCTCTGGTCAGGTTGACCTGCCCATCACAAAGGTCCTGGGCAGAGCCTGTCTGCAGCAGTGTGGGGAGGAAGCGAGGCATGGCGGGATGTCCCACAGGCCCTGCCAGACCCCTCTGATCTTCAACGGGGGCCCTCAGTGGGACCTGCTGGGTCTGATTCATCCTCTGCCCTTGCATACTTGCTTGTTCGGGGAACAGTTCCTCAGGAATGGGTGGCCCTCCAGATGGTCAGAGAGGAGACTGGGGAACCGATTCAGAGCCTCACACACTCCATCTGTCTGGGTGTATCATATCCCCCGTCCTCAGCCTCCCCACGCAGGGCCTCCCACCACCCCCAGGCCTCCAGTTCCCAAAGACAGATGCCTCTAACCGCCCCCACCCCCAGGAGCCCTGTGTTCCCAGCTGGACAGCTGTCAAGCCAACGAGCCGGTGGTGCTGCCTGCTACCACGTGACTCAGGCCAGATGGCACCTGTCAACATTAGCCGCCACCAGGCCATGACGAACAAACAGCAACCTCACACGCGTCCACACGCGTCACAAGCCGTGTCTGATCTCACGGCGCCCAGCAGCCACCCCACCTGCTGTCCCGTCAGCCCTCTAGGCTCCACACCCCCACACCAAAGCCGTCAGCGCCGCACCCACCTGTGTCCCTAAACTTCCCCCAGAGGGAGGCCCCTCTGTGTTCTTGCTGGAAAGGTGAAGGCCCACGGATATTCTCAGCACCCGCAGGCTGTGGGGGCTTAATAAAGGTTAATCATCATCCCTGTACACCTCAGCAAGTTTTTAAAAATATTCGTTGAGGAGGGGGCAGGAAACTTCTGGCAGCAACTGCAATGTCACCTGCCAGAAGGACTGACTCTGTGAACACCCAAAGCCTGGTTACCAGGTGAAGGGAGAAGCAGGCAGCTGCCAGGAGGGCCTGGCAGAAGCTGGACTTAGGGACGGGGGCTTAAGTGGGAGTAAACCACTGGAAGGGCAGCCAAGGCCTTCCAGGTCAGGCTGTGCAGGTGATCACCCACCCTTGATAGAGAGGAGGGCTGCTCTCAGGGAAGGGTTTTGTTTTGTTTTGTTGAGACAGGGTCTCAGTATGTCACCCAGGCTAGAGTACAGTGGTGTGAACATGTCTCACTACAGCCTCAACTTCCTGGCCTCAAGCTCTCTTCCCACTTCAGCCTCCCGAGTAGCTGGGACTACCGGCATGTGCCAACATGCTCAGCTAATTCTTTAATTTTGTGTAAAGATGGTCTCACTTTGTTTCCCAGGCTGGTCTTGAACTCCTGAGCTCAAGTGATCCTCCAGCCTCAGCCTCCCAAAGTGCTGGGATTATAGGCGTAAGCCACCTCGCTCGGCTTCAGGCAAGGGTCTTGAGGGGGCCCACCCAGGGCCAAGCAGGAGACAGAGACCAGACCCTGTGACAATCTGCAGCATGGGCTTTTTTGGGGGGGTGCTGAGGCGGAGGGCGTGGTGGAGTTTCACTCTGTCGCCCAGGCTGGAGTGCAGTAGCGCGATCTTGGCTCGCTGCAACCTCTGCCTCCCGGGTGCAAGCAATTCTCTGCCTCAGCCTCCTGAGTAGCTGGGACTACAGGTGCCCACCACCACGCCCGGCTAATTTTTGTATTTTTAGTAAAGACAGGGTTTCACCATGTTGACCAGGCTGGTCTTGAACTCCTGACCTCGTGATCCACCCACCTCGGCCTCCCAAAGTGCTGAGATTACAGGCATGAGCCACCGCGCCCGGCCTGCAGTGTGGCCTTGACCAAGTCTCCACCTCTGTCTTGGCCTCCGTTTCCTCTGCTCCAGCATCAGGGCAGCTTCTATTTGTGTGCACTCTGTGCATGTTGGATTTTATCCAGAAGGCAGCTGCTGCTATTAGCTGAAGCTCAGTGTGGTTAAGTGACAACTGGAGGTCA